>NC_000009.12:64656643-64998124 GCF_000001405.40 Homo sapiens | reverse complement strand
AATTCTTCTGTGTAATTTTTATGGGAAGATATTTCCTTTTTCACGATAGGCCTCAAAGAGCTCCAAAAGTCCACTTGCAGATACTACAAAAAGTGTGTTTCAAAACTGCCCTATGAAAAGGAATATTCAACTCCGTGAGTTGAATGCTAACATCAAAAACAACTTTCTGAGTATGCTTCTGTCTAGTTTCTATGTGAAGATATTCCCGTTTCCAGCGATGGTCTCAAAGCTGTGCAATATCCACTTGCAAATTCTACAAGAAGAGTTTTTCAAATCTGCTGTATCAAAACAAAGGTTCAACTCTGTGAGTTGAATGCACACATCACAAAGAATTTTCTTAGAATGCTTTTGTTTAGTTATTATGAGAAGATATTCCCGTTTCCAACGAAAGACTCAAAGTTGTCCAAATATGCACTTGTAAATGTTTCAAAAAGAGTGATTCAAAACTGCGCTATCAAAAGAAAGAATCATCTCTGTGAGTTGAGTACACACATCACAAGGAAGTTTCTGAGAATGCTTCTGTCTAGTTTTTATGGGAAGATATTTCCTTTTTCACCATAGGCCTCAAAGCACACAAAATGTCCACTTGCTGATCCTACAAAAAGAGTGTTTCAAAAATGCTCTATCAAAAGAAAGGTTAAACTCTGTTAGTTGAGTACACACATCACAAACAAGTTTCTGAGAATGCTTCTGTCTAGTTTTAATGTGAAGATATTCTCGTTTCCAACGAAAGCCTCAAAGCTATCCAAATATCCACTTGCAGACACTACAAAAAGATTGTTTCAAAACTTCTCTATCAAAAGAAAGGTTAAACTCAGTGAGTTGAGTACACACATCACAAAGAAGTTTCTGAGAATGCTTCCGTCTAGTTTTTATGTGAAGATATTCCCGTTTCCAATGAAGGCCACAAAGCGCTCTAAATGTGCACTTGCAGATTACACAAAAAAAGTGTTTCAAATCTGCTCTATCAAAAGACAGGTCCAAATACGTGAGTTGAGTGCTCACATCACAAATAAGATTCTGACAACGCTTCTGTCTAGTTTTTATGTTAAGATACTTCATTTTTCACCATAGGCCTCAAAACACACCAAAATGTCCACTTGCAGATCCTACAAAGAGAGTGTTTCATAACTGCTCTATAAAAAGACGGATTCAACTCTGTGAGTTCAATGCACATATTGCAAAGATATTTCTGATAATGATTCTGTCTAGTTTTTATGTGAAGGTATTCCCTTTTCGAACGAAGGCCTCAAAGTGCTCCAAATGACCACTTGCAGATTCTACAAAAAGAGTGTTTAAAAACTACTCTGTGAAAAGGAATGCTCAAATCTGTGTGTTGAATGCAAACATCACAAAGAAGTTTCTGAGAATGCTTCTGTCTAGTTATTATGTGAAGATATTCCCGTTTCCAACGAAAGCCTAAATCCTATCCAAATATCCACTTGCAGATTCTACAAAAAGAGTGTTTCAAAACTGCTCTATCAAAAGAAAATTCAACACTGTGATTTAAGTACACACATCACAAAGAAGTTTCTGAGAATACTTCTGTCTAGTTTTTATGTGGATATATTTCCTTTTTCACCATGGTTCTGAAAGCGCTCCAAATGTCCAATTCCAGATACTACAAAAAGAGTGTTTCAAAACTGCTCTATGAAAGGGAATTTCCAACTCTGTGAGGTGAATGCAAACTTCACTAAGATGTTTCTGAGAATGCTTCTGTCTCGTTTTTATATGAAGATATACCCGTTTCCAACGAAGGCCACAAAGCACTCCAAATGTCCACTTGCAGATTCCACAAGAAGAGTGTTTCAAATCTCCTCTATCAAAAGAAAGGTACAACACTGTGAGTTGAGTACACACATCACCGAGAAGTTTCTGAGAGTTCTTCTGTCTAGTTTTTATGTGAAGATATTTCCTTTTTCACTATAGGCCTCAAAGCGTACCAAAAGTCCACTTGCAGATACTACAAAAAGTGTGTTTCAAAACTACCCTATGAAAAGGAATGTTCAACTCCATGAATTGAATGCAAACATCACAAGGATGTTTCTGAGTATGCTTCTGTCTAGTTTTTATGTGAAGATATTCCCGTTTCCAGCGAAGGTCTCAAAGCTGTCCAAATATCCACTTGCAAATTCTACAAAAAGAGTGTTTCAAATCGGCTCTATCAAAAGAAAGTTTCAACACTGTGAGTTGAATGCACACATCACAAAGGAGTTTCTGAGAATGCTTCTGCCTAGTTTTTATGTTAAGATGTTTCCTTTTACACCATGGGCCTCAAAGCACACAAAATGTCCACTTGCAGATCCTATAAAAAGAGTGTTTCAAAAATGCTCTATCAAAAAAAGGGTTCAACTCTGTGAGTTGATTGCACACATAACAAAGGTGTTTCTGATAATGATTCTGTCTAATTTTTATGTGAAGTATTCCCGTTTCGAACGAAGGCCTCAGAGTGCTCCAAATGACCTTTAGCAGATTCTACAAAAAGAGTGTTTCAAAACTGCTCTATGAAAAGGAATTTTCAACTCTGCGAGTTGAATGCAAGCATCACAAAGAAGTTTCTGAGAATGCTTCTGTCTAGTTTTCATGTGAAGATATTTCCTTTTTCACCATAGGCCTCAAAGCGCTCTAAATCTCCACTTACAGATACTACAAAAAGAGTGTTTCAAAACTGCTCTATCAAAAGAAAGGTTCAACTCTGTGAGTTGAGTGCACACATCACAAATATGTTTCTGAGAAGGCTTCTGTCTAGTTTTTATGTTAAGATATTTCCTTTTTCACCAAAGGCCTCAAAGCACACCAAATGTCCACTTGCAGATTCTACAGAGTGTTTCAAAACTGCTCTAGAAAAGAATGGTTCAACTCTGTGAGTTGAATGCACACATCAGAAAGGTTTTTCTGATAATGCTTCTGTCTAGTTTTTATGTGAAGATAGTCCCATTTTGAACGAAGGCCTCAAGGCGCTCCAAATGAACACTTGAAGATCCTACAAAAAGAGTGTTTCAAAACTGCTCTATGAAAGGGAATTTTCAACTCCGTGAGTCGAATGCAAACATCAAAAAGAAGTTTCTGAGAATGCTTCTGTCTAGTTTTTATGTGAGGATATTCCCGTTTCCATGGAAATCCTCAAAGCTATCCAAATATCCACTTGCAGATACTACAAAAAGATTGTTTCAAAATTGGTCTATCAAAATAAAGTTCAACTCTGTGAATTGAGTACACACATCACAAAGAAGTCTCTGATAATTCTTCTGACTAGTTTTTATTAGAAGATATTTCCATTTTCACCATAGGCCTCAAATCGCTCCAAATGTCCACTTCCAGATACTACAAAAAGTGTGTTTCAAAACTGCTCTATGTAAGCGAATTTTCAAATCTGTGAGTTGAATGCAAACATCACAAAGAAGTTTCTGAGAATGCTTCTGTCTAGTTTTTATGTGAAGCCATTCCCGTTTCCTACGAAATCCTCAAAGCTATCCAAATATCCACTTGCAGATTCTACAAAAAGAGTGTTTCAAAACTGCTCAATCAAAAGAATAGTTCACCTCTCTGAGTTGAGTACACACCTCACAAAGAAGTTTCGGAGAATTCTTATGTCTATTTTTTATGGGAAGATATTTCCTTTTTTATCATAGACCTCAAAGCCCTCCAAGCTTCCACTTATGTATTCTACAAAAAAAGTGTTTCAAAACTGCTCTATGAAAAGGAATGTTCAATTCTGTGAGTTGAATGCAAGCATCACAAAGAAGTTTCTGACAATGCTTCTGTGTAGTTTTTATGTGAAGATATACCCATTTCCAGCGAAGGCCTCCAATCTGTCCAAATATCCACTTCCAAATTCTACAAAAAGATTGTTTCCAATCTCCTCTATCAAAAGAAAATTTCAACTCTGTGAGTTGAATGCACACATCACAAAAAAGTTTCTGAGAATGCTTCTGTCTAGTTTTTTGTGAAGATATTCCCTTTTCCAAAGAAATCCTCAATGCTGTCTTAATATCCACTTGTAAATTCTACAAGAAGAGTGTTTCAAAACTGCTGTATCAAAGGAAAGGTTTAACTCTGTGAGTTGAGTACACACATCACAAAGTAGTTTCTGAGAATGCTTCTGTCTACTTTTTATGTGAAGATATTTTATTTTTCACCATAGGTCTCAAATCACTCCAAATATCCAATTGCATATTCCTCAAAAAGAGTGTTTCAAAACTGCTCTATGGAAAGGAATGTTCAACTCTGTGAGATGAATGCAAGCATCACAAATAAGTCTCTGAGAATGCTTCTGTCTAGTTTTTATGTGAAGATATTCCCGTTTCCAATGAAATTCTCAAAGCTATCCAAATATCCACTTGCACACCCTACAAAAAGAGTGTTTCAAAACTGCTCTATCAAAAGACAAGTTTAACTCTGTGAATTGAGTACACACATCACAAAGAAGTTTCTGAGAGTTCTTCTGTCTAGTTTTTATTGGAAGATATTTCCTTTTTCAGCATATGCCTCAAAGAGCTCCATGTTTCCACTTACAGATACTTCAAAAAGAGTGTTTCAAAACTGCCCTATGAAAAGGAATGTTCAACTCTGTGAGTTGAATACAAGCATCAAAAAAAAAGTTTCTGAGAATGCTTCTGTCTAGTTTTTATGTGAAGACATTCCCGTTTCCAACGAAAGCCTCAAATTTATCCAAATATCCACTTGCAGAGTATACAAAAAGAATGTTTCAAAACTGCAGTATCAACAGAAAGGTTCAACTCTGTGAGTTGAGTACACACATCAAAGAGAAGTTTCTGAGAATGCTTCTGTCTAGTTTTTATGTGAAGATATTTCCTTTTTCAGCATAGGCCTCAAAGCGCTCCAAATGTCCTTTTCCAGGTACTACAAAAAGAGTGTTTCAAAACTGCTCTATGAAAGGGAATATTCAACTGTGTGAGTTGAATGCAAACATCACGAAGAAGTTTCTGAGAATGCCTCTGACTAGTTTTTATGTGAAGATATTCCCGTTTCCAACGAAAGCCTCAAAGGTGTCCAAATATTCCCTTGCAGATCCTACAAAGAGAGTGTTTCAAAACTACTCTAAAAAAAGAAATGTTCAACTCTGTGAGTTGAGTACACATATCAGAAAGAAGTTTCTTAGCATGCTTCTGTCTTGTTTTTATTTGTAGATCTTCCGGTTTCCAGTGAAGGCCTCAAAGCTGTCCAAATATCCACTTGCAAATTCTACATAAAGAGGGTTTCCAATCTGCTCTATCAAAAGAAATGTTCAACACTGTGAGTTGAATGCACTCATCACAAAGTAGTTTCTGAGAATGCTTCGGTCTAATTTTTATGTGAAGATATTTCCTTCTTCATCATAGGCCTCAAAGCGTTCAAAATATCCACTTCCAGATACTACAAAAAGAGTGTTCCAAAACTGCTCCATGGAAAGTAATGTTCAACTCTGTGAGTTGAATGTACACATCACAAAGAAGTTTCTGAGAATGCTTCTGTCTAGTATTTATGTGAAGATATTTCCTTTTTCAACAATGGCCTCAAAGTGCTCCAAAAGTCCCCTTGCAGATACTACAAAAATATTGTTTCAAAACTGCTCTATGAAAGGGAATGTTCAACTCTGTGAGTTGAATGCACACATCACAAAGAAGTTTCTGAGAATGTTTCTGTCTAGTTTTCATGTGAAGATATTTCATTTTTCACCATAGGCCTCAAAGCACTCCAAAAGTCCGCTTGCAGATACTGCAAAAGGAGTGTTTCAAAACTGCCCTATGAAAAGTAATGTTCAACTCTGTGAGTCGAATGCAAACATCACAAAGAAGTTTCTGAGAATTCTCATGTCTACTTTTTATGTGAAGATATTCGCGTTTCCCATGAAAAACTCAAAGTTATCCAAATATCCACTTGCAGATTCTACAAAAAGAGTGTTTCAAAACTCTCTATCAAAAGAAAGTTTCAACTCTGTGAGTTGAGTACACACATCACAAAGAAGTATCTTGGAATTCTTCTGTCTAGTTTTTATGGGAAGATACACCCGTTTCCAATGAAAGCGTCAAAGCTGTCCAAATATCCACTTGCAAATTCTACAAAAAGAGTGTTTCAAATCCGCTCTATCAAAAGTAAGTTTCAACTCTGTGAGTTGAATGCACACATCACAAAGATGTTTCTGAGAATGCTTCTGTCCAGTTTTTATGTGAAGATACTCCCGTTTCCCATGAAAGCGTCAAAGCTGTCCAAATATCCATTTGCAAATTCTACAAAAAGAGTGTTTCCAATCTGCTCTATTTAAAGAAAGTTTCAACACTGTAACTTGAATGAACATATCCCAAAGAAGTTTCTGAGAATGCTTCTATCTAGTTTTTATGTGAAGATATTCCCGTTACCAACCAAAGCTTCAAAGCTGTCCAAATATCCACTTGTAAATGCTTCAAAAATAGTGATTCAAAACTGCTCTAGCAAAGGAAAGATTCATCTCTGTGAGTTGAGTGCACACATCACAAAGAAGTTTCTGAGAATGCTTTTGTCTAGTTTTTATGTGAAGATATTTCCTTTTTCACCATAGGCCACCAAGCGCTCCAAATCTCCACTTGCAGATTCTACAAAAAGACTGTTTCAAAACTGCTCTATGAAAAGGAATGTTCATCTCTGTGAGTTGAATGAAAGCATCACAAAGAAGTTTCTGAGTATGCTTCTGTCTGGTTTTTATGTGAAGATATTCCCATGTCCAAGGGAAGCCTTAAAGGTGTCCTAAGAGCCACTTGTAAATTCTACAAGAAGAGTGTTTCCAAGCTGCTCTATCAAAAGAAGGGTTTAACTCCGGGAGTTGAGTACACACATTATAAAGATGTTTCTGAGAATGCTTCTGTCTAGTTTCTATGTGAAGATATTCCCGTTTCGAACGAAGGCCTCAAAGTGCTCCAAATGACAACTTACAGATTCTGCAAAAAGAGTGTTTCAAAACTGCTCTATGAAAAGGAATGTTCAACCCTGTGAGTTGTGTGCACACATCACAAATAAGTTTTTGAGAATGCTTTTGACTAGTTTTTATGTGAAAATATTCTCGTTTCCAACGAAAGCCTCAAAGTTGTCCAAATATTCCCTTGCAGATCCTATAAAGAGAGGGTTTCAAAGCTGCTCTATGAAAAAGAAATGTTCAACTCTGTGAGTTGAGGACACGCATCACAAAGATGTTTCCCAGAATGTTTCTGTCTTGTTTTTATGTGAAGGTATTCCCGTTTCCTGTGAAGGCCTCTAAGCTGTCCAAATATCCACTTGAAAATTCTACAAAAAGAGTGTTTCCAATCTGCTCTATGAAAAGAAAGGTTCCACTGTGTGAGTTGAATGCACACATCACAAAGAAGTTTCTGAGAATGCTTCTGTCTACTTTTTATGTGAAGATATTACCTTTTTCACCATAGGACTCAAAGCGCTCCATATATCCAATTCCAGATACTACAATAAGAGTGTTTCAAAACTGCTCTATGAAAGGGAATGTTCACCTCTGTGGGTTGAATGCAAACATCACCAAGAAATTTCTGAGAATGCTTCTGTCTAGTTTTTATGTGAAGATATTCCCGTTTCCAATGAAGGCCACAAAGCACTCCAAATGTCCACGTGCAGATTAAACAAAAAGGGTGTTTCAAAACTGCTGTATCAAAAGAAAGGTTCCACTCTGTGAGTTGTCTGCACACATCACAAATAAGTTTCTGACAATAATTCTGTCGAGTTTTTATATTAAGATATTTCCTTTTTCACCATAGGCCTCAAAGCACACCCAATGTCCACTTGCAGATACTATAAAGAGAGTGTTTCAAAACTCCTCTAACAAAAGAAAGGTTTAATTCTGTCAGTTCAATGCACACATCACAAAGATGTGTCTGGTAATGATTCTGTCTAGTTTCTATGTGAAGATATTCCTGTTTCAAAAGAAGGCCTCAAAATGCTCCAAATGACCACTTGGAGATTCTACAAAAAGTGTTTCAAAACTCCTCTATGAAAAGAAATGATCAAATCTGTGAGTTGAATGCAAACATCACAAAGAAGTTTCGGAGAATGCTTCTGTCTAGTTTTTATGTGAAGATATTCCCGTTTTTAAGGAAAGCTTGAAAGGTGTCCTAATATCCACTTTTAAATTTTACAAGAAGAGTGTTTCAAAACTGCTCTATCAAAAGAAAGCTTTATCTCTGTGAGTTCAGTACACACATTACAAACCAGTTTCTGAGAATGCTTCTGTCTAGTTTTTATGTGAAGATATTTCCTTTTTCACCATAATCCTCAAAGTGCTCCAAATGTCCACTTCCAGATATTACAAAAAGAGTGTTTCAAAACTGCTCTATGAAAAAAAATGTTCAACTCTGAGAGTTGAATGCAGACATCACAAAGAAGTTTCTGAGAATGCTTCTGTCTAGTTTTTATGTGAAGATATTTCCTTTTTCAACATAGGCCTCAAAGCACAACAAATGTCCACCTGCCGATTCTACAAAGAGAGTGTTTCAAAGCTTCTCTATCAAAAGAAGGTTTCAACTCTGTGAGTTGAATGCACACTTCACAAAGGTGTTTCTGACAATGCTTCTGTCTAGTTTTTATGTGAAGATATTCCCGATTCGAACAAAGGCCTCAAAGCGCTACAATTGACCACTTCCAGATTCTACAAAAAGAGTGTTTCAAATCTGCTCTATGAAAAGCAATGTTCAATTCTGTGAGTTGAATGCAAACATCACAAAAATTTTCTGAGAATTCTTCTGTTTAGTTTTTATATGACGATATTTCCTTTTTCACCATAGGCCTCAAAGGGCTCCAAGTGTCCACTTACAGATTCTACAAAAAGAGAGTTTCAAAACTGCTCTATGAAAAGTAATGTTCAACTCTGTGAGTTGAATGCAAACATCACAAAGTAGTTTCTGAGAATGCTTCTGTCTAGTTTTTATGTGAAAATATTCCCATTTCCAGCGAAGGCCTCAAAGCTGTCCAAATATCCACTTGCAAATTCTATAAAAAGAGTGTTTCAAATCTGCTCTATCAAAGGAAAGTTTCAACTCTGTGAGTTGAATGCGCACATCACAAAGAAGTTTCTGAGAATGCTTCTCTCTGCTTTTTATGTGAAGATATTCCCATTTCCAACGAAAGCCTCAAAGCTGACCTAATATCCACTTGTAAATTCTACAAAAAGTGTGTTTCAGCACTGCTCTATCAAAAGAAAGCTTTTACTCTGTGAGTTGAGTACACACATAACAAAGTAGTTTCTGAGAATGCTTCTGGCTACTTTTTATGTGTAGACATTTCTTTTTTCACCATAGGCCTCAAATCATTCCAAATGTCCACTTGCAGATTCTACAAAAAGAGTGTTTCAAAACTCCTCTATGAAAAGGAATGGTCAACTCTGTGAGTTGAATGCAAACATCACAAAGATGTTTCTGAGAATGCTTCTGCCTAGTTTTTATGTGAAAATATTCCGTTTCCAACGAAAGCCTCAAAGCTGTCCAAGTATTCCCTTGTAGATCCTACAAAGAGAGTGTTTCAAAACTGATCTATGAAAAAGAAACGTTAAACTCTGTGAGTAGAGGACACACATCACAAAGAAGTTTCTTAGAATGCTTCTGTCTTGTTTTTATGTGAAGATATTCCTGTTTCCAGTGAAGGCCTCGAAGCTGTCCAAATATCAACTTGCAAATTCTACAAAAAGAGTTTTTCCAATCTGCTCTATGAAAAGAAAAGTTCAACTCTGTGAGTTTAATGCACACGTTGCAAAGAAGTTTCTGAGAATGTTTCCGTCTGGTTTTTATGAGAAGATATTTCATTTTTCACCATAGGCCTCAAAGCGCTCCAAATGTCCACTTCCAGATGTTACAAAAAGAGTGTTTCAAACCTGCTCTGTGAAAAGGAATGTTCAACTCGGTGAAATGAATGCAAACATCACAAAGAAGTTTCTGAGAATTCTTCTGTCTATTTTTTTGTGTGAAGATATTTCTTTCCCACCATACTCCTCAAAGCTCTCCAAATGTCCACTTTCAGATTCCACAAAAAGGGAGTTTCAAAACTGCTCTGTCAAAAGAAAGGTTCAACTCTGTGAGTTGAGTGCACACATCACAAACAAGCTTATGAGAATGCTTCTGACTAGTTTTTATTTTAAGATATTTCCTTTTTCACCATAGGCCTCAAAGCACACCAAATGTCCACTTGCAGATTCTACAAAGACAGTGTTTCAAAACTGCTGTATCAAAGGAGGGGCTCAACTCTGTGAGTTGAAGGCACACATCACAAAGATGATTCTGATAATGATTCTGTCTAGCTTTTATGTGAAGATATTCCCTTTTTGAACGAAGGCCTCAAAGCGCTCCAAATGACCACTTGCACATTCTACAAAAAGAGTGTTTCAAAACTGCTCTATGAAAAGGAATGTTCAACTCTGTGAGTTGAATGCAAACATCACAAAGAAGTTTCTGAGACAGCTTCTGACTTGTTTTTATGTGAAAATATTCCCGTTTCCAATGAGAGCCTCAAATCTCTCCAAATATCAACTTGCAGATCGTACAAAGAGTGTTTCAAAATTTCCCTATCAAAAGAAATGTTCAACTCTGTGAGTTGAGGACACACATCACGAAGAAGTTTCTTAGAATGCTTCTGTCTTGTTTTTATGTGAAGATATTCCCGTTTCCTGTGAAGGCCTCAAATTTGTCCAAATACCCACTTGTAAATACTACAAAAAGAGTGTTTCCAATCTGCTCTATCAAAAGAAAGGTTTAACTCTGTGAGTTGACTGCACACATCTCAAAGAAGTTTCTGAGAATGCTTCTGTCTAGTTTTCATATGAAGACATTTCCTTTTTCACTGTAGGTCTCATAGCACAACAAATGTCCACTTGCAGATTCTACAAAGAGAGTGTTTCAAAACTGCTCTATAAAAAGAAAGGTTCATCTCTCTGACTTCACTACACACATCACAAAGAAGTTTCCGAGGATGCTTCTGTCTAGTTTTCATGTGAAGGTATTTCCTTTTTCGCCATAGGCCTCAAAGCCCCCCAAATATCCACTTCCAGATACTACAAAAGAGTGTTTCAAAACTGCTCTATGAAGAGGAATGTTCAATTCTGTGAGTTGAATGCAAGCATCACAAAAAGTTACTGAGAATGCTTCTGTCTAGTTTTTTTGTTAAGATATTTCTTTTTCACCATAGACCTCAAAGCACACCCAATGTCCACTTGCAGATCTACAAAGAGAGTGTTTCAAAACTGCTCTATCAAAAGAAGGGTTCAACTCTGTGAGTTGGATGCACACATCAGAAAGATGTTTCTGATAATGATTCTGTCTAATGTTTATGTGACGATATTTCCTTTTTCACCTTAGGCCTCAAAGCGCTCCAAATGTCCCCTTCCAGATACTACAAAAAGAGTGTTTCAAAACTGCTCTATCAAAAGAAAGGTTCAAGTCTGTGAGTTGAGTGCACACATCACAAAGAAGTTTCTGAGAATGCTTCTGTCTAGTTTTTATGTGAAGATAGTCCCGTTTCCAAAGAAAGCGTCAAAGCTGTCCAAATATCCAATTGCAAATACTACAAAAAGAGTGTTTCCAATCTGCTCTATTAAAAGAAAGTGTCAACACCGTGAGTTGAATGCACACTTTACAAAGAAGTTTCTGAGAATTCTTCTGTCTAGTTTTTATGTGAAGATACTCCCGTTTCCAATGAAAGCCTCAAAGCTGTCCAAGTATCCACTTGGAAATGCTTCAAAAGGAGTGATTCAAAACTGCTGCAGCAAAAGAAAGGTTCAACTCTGTGAGTTGAGTACACACTTCACAAAGAAGTTTCTGAGAATGCTTTTGTCTCGTTTTTATGTGAAGATATTTCCTTTTTCACCATAGGCCACCAAGCGCTCCAAATGTCCACTTGCAGATTCCAGAAAGAGTGTTTCAAAACTGCTCTATGAAAAGGAATGTTCAACTCTGTGAGTTGAATGCAAACATCACAAAGAAGTTTCTGAGAATGTTTCTGTCTGGTTTTTATATGAAGATATTCCCATTTCCAAGGAAAGCCTCAAAGCTATCCTAATATCCACTTGCAAATTCTACAAGAAGAGTGTTTCAAAACTGCTCTATCAAAGGAAAGATTTAAATCTGTGAGTTGAGTACACATATCACAAAGAAGTTTCTGAGAATACTTCTGTCTAGTTTTTATGTGAAGATATTTCTTTTCACCATTGGCCTCAAAGCGCTCCAAACGTCCACTTCCAGATTCTACAAAAAGAGTGTTTCAAAACTGCTCTATGAAAGGGAATGTTCAACTCTGTGAGTTGAATGTCAACATCACAAAGAAGTTTCTGAGAATGCTTCTGTCTAGTTTTTATGTGAAGATATTCCCGTTTCCAACGTAGGCCACAAAGCGTTCCAAATGTGCGCTTGCAGATTCCACAAAAAGAGGGTTTCAAAATTTCTCTCTCAAAAGAAAGGTTCAACTATGTGAGCTGAGTGCACACATCACAAATAAGTTTCGGAGAATGCGTCTGTCTAGTTTTCATGTTAACATATTTCCGTTTTCACCACAAGCCTCAAAGCACACCAAAAGTCCACTTGCAGATTCTACAAAGAGAGTGTTTCAAAACTGCTCTATCAAAAGAAGAGTTCAATTCTCTGAGTTGAATGCAGAAATCACAAAGATGTTGCTGATAATAATTCTTTCTAGTTTTTAAATGAAGATATTCCTGTTTCGAACGAAGGCCTCAAAGTGCTCCAAAGGACCACTGTAGATTCTGCAAAAAGAGTGTTTCAAAACTGCTCTATGACAAGGAATGTTCAACTCTGTGAGTTGAATGCAAATATCACAATGAAGTTTCTGAGAATGCTTCTTTCTAGTTTTTATGTGAAGATATTCTCGTTTCCAACGAAGGCCACAAAGTGCTCCTAATGTCCAGGTGCAGATTGCACAAAAATAATCTTTCAAAACTGCTCTATCAAAAGATAGGTTCAACTCTGTGAGTGGAGTGCACACATCACAAATAAGTTTCTGAGAATGCTTCTGTCAACTTTTTATGTTAAGATACTTCCTTTTGCATGATAGGCCTCATGCACAACAAATGTCCACTTGCACATACTACAAAGAGAGTGTTTCAAACTGCTCTATCAAAAGAAGGGTTCAACTCTGTGAGTTTAATGCACACATCACAAAGTTGTTTCTGAAAATGCTTCGATCTAGTTTTTATGTGAAGATATTCCCGTTTTGAAGGAAGGCATCAAAGCACTCCAAATGACCACTTGCAGATTCTACAAAAAGAGTGTTTCGAAACTGCTCTATGAAAAGGAATGTTCAACTCTGTGAGTTGGCAGCACACATCGCAAAGTAGTTTCTGAGAATGCTTCTGTCTGGTTTTTATGTGAAGATATTCCCTTTTCCACCATAGGCCTCAAAGCACTCCAAATGTCCAAGTGCAGATTCTACAAAAAGAATGTTTCAAAACTGCTCTATGAAAAGAAATGCTCAACTCTGTGAGTTGAACGCAAAAATCAAAAAGCAGTTTACTAGAACGCTTCTAACTAGTTTTTATGTGAAGATACACCCGTTTCCAAAGAAGGCCTCAAAGCTGTGCAAATATCCACTTGCAAATTCTACAAAAAGAGTGTTTCCAATCTGCTCTATCAAAAGAAAGTTTCAACTCGGTGAGTTGAATGCACATGTCAGAAAGCAGTTTCTGAAAATGCTTCTGTCCAGTTTTTATGTGAAGATACTCCCCATTCCAACGAAATCCTCAAACCTGTCAGAATATTTAATTGTAAATTCTACAAGAAGAATGTTTCAAAACTGCTCTATCAAAAGACGGTTTAACTCTGTGAGTTGAGTACACACAACACAAAGGAGTTCCTGAGAATACTTCTGTCTAGTTTTTATGTGAAGATATTTCCTTTTTCAACATAGGCCTCAAAGCGCTCGAAATGTCCACTAGCAGATACTACAAAAAGAGTGTTTCAAAACTGCTGTATGAAAAGAAATGCTGAACTCTGTGAGCTGAATGCAAACATCACAAAGAAGTTTCTGAGAATGCTTCTGTCTAGTTTTTATGTGAACATATTCGCGTTCCCAATGAATGCCACAAAGCTGTCCAAATATCCACTTGTAAATGCTTCAAAAAGAGTGAATCAAAACTGCTCTAGCAAAAGAGAGATTCATCTCTGTGAGTTGAGTACACACATCACAAAGAAATTTCTGAGAATGCTTTTGTCTAATTTTTATGTGAAGATATTTCCTTTTTCACCGTAGGCCTCCAAGCGCTCCAAATGTCCATTTGCAAATTGTACAAAAAGGGTTTTTCAAAACTACTCTATGAAAAGGAATGTTCAACTCTGTGATTTGATTGCAAACATGAGAAAGAAGTTTCTGAGAATGCTTCTGTCTGGTTATTATATGAAGATATTCCCGTTTCCAACGAAAGCCTCAAAGCTGTCGAAATATCCACTTTAAATTCTACAAGTAGAGTATTTCAAAACTGCTCTATCAAAAAAAAGGTCTAACCCTGTGAGTTGAGGGCACACATCACAAAGAAGTTTTTGAGAATGCTTCTGTCTAGTTTTTATGTGAAGATATTTCCTTTTTCCCCATAGACCTCAAAGCGCTCAAAATGTCCACTTCCAGATATTAGAAAAACTGTGTTTCAAAACTGCTCTATGAAAGGGAATGTTCAACTCTGTGAGTTGAATTCAAACATCACGAAGGAGTTTCTGAGAATGACTCTGTGTAGTTTTTATGTGAGGATATTCCCGTTTCCAACGAAGGCCACAAAGCGCTCCAAATGTCCTCGTGCAGATTCCACAAAAAGAGTGTTTCAAAACTGCTCTATCAAAATAAAGGTTCAACTCTGTGAGTTGAGTTAACACTTCACAAATAAGTTTCTGAGAATGCATCTGCCTAGTTTTTATGTTAAGATATTTCCTTTTTCACCATAGGCCTCAAAGCACACCAAATATCCACTTGCAGATTCTACAAAGAGAGTGTTTCAAAACTGCTCTATCAAAAGAAGGGTTCAACTCTGTGAGTTCAATGCACACATCACGAAGATGTTTCTGATAATGCTTCTGTCTAGTTTTTATGTGAAGATATTCTCCTTTTGAACGAAAGCCTCAAAGAGCTCCAAATGAACGCTTGCAGAGTCTACAAAAAGAGTGTTTCGAAACTGCTCTATGAAAAGGAATTTTCAACTCTGTGAGATGAAGGTAAACATCACAAAGAAGTTTCTGAGAATGCTTCTGTCTAGTTTTTATGTGAAGATATTTCCGTTTCCAACGAAAGCCTCAAAGCTATCCAGATATCCACTTGCATTTTCTACAAAAACAGTATTTAAAAACTGCTCTATTAAAAGAAAGGTTCAACTCTGTGAGTTGAGTACACACATCACAAAGAATTTCTGAGAATTCTTCTGTATAGTTTTTATGAGAAGATATTTCTTTTTTCACCATAGCCCTCAAAGTCCTCCAAGTGTCCATTTGCAGATTCTACAAAAAGATTGTTTCAAAACAGCTCTATGAAAAGGAATATTCAACGCTGTGAGTGGAATGCAAACATCACAAAGCAGTTTCTGAGAGTGCTTCTGTCTAGTTTTTATGTGAAGATATACCTGTTTCCAGTGAAGGCCTCAAAGCTGTCCAAATATCCACTTCAAAATACTACAGAAAGAGTGTTTCAAATCTGCTCTATCAAAAGGAAGTTTCAACTCTGTGAGTCGAATGCACACATCACAAAGTAATTTCTGAGAATGCTTCTGTCTAGTTTTTATATGAAGATATTTCCTTTTTCACTGGAGGCCTCAAATCGCTCCAAATGTCTGCTTGCAGATTCTACAAAAAGAGGGTTTCAAAACTTCTCTATGAAAAGGAATGTTCAACTCTGTGAGTTGAATGCAAACATCACAAAGAAGTTTCCGAGAATGCTTCTCTCTAGTTTTTATGTGAAAATATTCCGGTTTCCAACGAAAGCCTCAAAGCCGTCCAAATATCCACTTGCAGATCCTACAAAAAGAGTGTTTCAAAACTGCTCTATCAAAAGAAATGTTCAATTCTCTCAGGTGAGGACACACATCAATAACAAGTTTCTTAGAATGCTTCTGTCTTGTTTTTATGTGAAAATATTCCCGTTTCCATTGAAGGCCTCAAAGCTGTCCAAACATCCACTTGCAAATTCTACGAAATGAGTGTTTCCAATCTGCTCTATCAGAAGAAAAGTTCAACTCTGGTTGTTGAACGCACACATCACAAAGAAGTTTCTGAGAATGCTTCTGTCTAGTTTTTATTGGAAGATATTCCCGTTTCCAACGAAGACCACTAAGCGCTCCAAGTGTCCACTTGCAGATACCACAAAAAGAGTGTTTCAAAACTGATCTCTCAAAAGAAAGTTTCAACTCTGTGAGTTGACTTCAGATATCACAAAGATGTTTCTGAGAATGCTTCTGTCTAGTTTTTATGTGAAGATATTTCCTTTTTCATCATAGGCCTCAAAGAACAACAAATGTCCACTTGCAGATTACACAAAAAGAGTGTGTCAAAACTGCTCTGTAAAAGAAGGGTTCAAATCTGTGAGTTAAATGCACACATCACAAAGAAGTTTCTGAGAATGCTTCTGTTATTTTTTATGTGAAGATATTCCCGTTTCGAATGAAGGCCTCAAAGCACTCAGGATGACCACTTGCAGATTCTACAATAAGAGTTTTTCAAAACTGCTGTATGAAAAGGAATGTTCAACTCTTTGAGTTGAATGCAAACATCACAAAGATGTTTCTGAGAATGCTTCTGTCTAGTTTTTATGTGAAGATATTTCCATTTTCTCTATAGGCCGCAAAGCTGTCCAAATGTCCACTTGCAGATACTACAAAAAGAGTGTTTCAAAAGTGCTCAATGAAAAGGAATGTTCAGCTCTCTGAGTTGAATGCAAACATCACAAATAAGTTTCTGAGAATGCTTCTGTCTAGTTTTTATGGGAAGATACTCCCGTGTCCAGCGAAGGCTTCAAAGCTTTCGAAATATCCACTTGCAAATTCTACAAAAAGAGTGTTTCAAAGCTGCTTTATCAATAGAAAGTTTCAACTCTGTGAGTTGAATGAGCACATCACAAGGAAGTTTCTGAGAATGCCTTCAGTCTGGTTTTTATGTGAAGATATTCCCGTTTCCATCGAAAGCTTCACACGCGGTCCTAATATCCACTTGTATATTCTACAAGAAGAGTGTTTCAAACTGATGTATCAAAAGAAATGTTTAACTCTGTGAGTTGAGTACACACATCACAAAGAAGTTTCTGATAATGCTTCTGTCTAGTTTTTATGTGAAGATATTTCCTTTTTCACCGTAGGCCTCAAAGCGCTCCAAATGTCCACTTGCAAATAATATGAAAAGAGTTTTTCAAAACTGCTCTATGAAAAGGAATGTTCAACTTTGTGAATTGAATGAAAACATCACAAAGAAGTTTCTGAGAATCCTTCTGTCTAGATTTTATGTGAAGATATTCCCGTTTCCAATGAATGCCTCAAAGCTGTCCAAATATCAACTTGCAGATTCTACAAAGAGAGTGTTTCAAAACTGCTCTATCAAAAGAAAGGTTCAACTCTGTGAGTTAAATGCACACATCACAAAGAAGTTTCTGACAATGCTTCTGTATAGTTTTCATGTGAAGATACTCCCGTTTCCAAAGAAGGTCACAAAGCACTCCAAGTGTCCACTTGCAGATTCCACTTAAAGAGTGTTTGACAACTGCTCTATCAAAAGAAAGGTTCAACTCTGTGAGTTGAGTACACACATCACAAAGAAGTTTCTGAGAATGATCCTGTCTAGTTTTTATGTGAAGATATTTCCTTTTTCACCATAAACCAAAAACACACCAAATGTCCACTTGCAGATTCTACAAAGAGAGTGTTTCAAAACTGCTCTATCAAAAGAAGAGTTCAAATCTGTGAGTTGAAAGGACACATCAGAAAGAAGTTTCTGATAATGCTTCTGTCTAGTTTTTATGTGACGATATTCCCATTTCGAGCGAAGGCCTCAGAGCGCTCCAAATGTCCACTTGCAGATTCTACAAAAGGAGTGTTTCAAATCTGCTCTATGAAAAAGAATTTTCAACTCTGTGAGTTGAATGTACACATCACAGAGAAGTTTCTGAGAATGCTTCTGTCTAATTTTTATTTGAAGATATTTTCTTTATCACCATAGGACTCAAAGTGCTCCAAATGTCGACTTGCAGATACTATAAAAAGAATGTTTCAAAACTACTCTATGAAAACGAATGTTCAACTCTTTGAGTTTAATCCAAACATCAGAAAGATGTTTCCAAGAAATCTTCTGTCTAGTTTTTATGAGAAGATACTCCCGATTCAAGTGAAAGCCTCAAAGTTGTCGAAATATCCACTTGCAAATTCCACAAAAGCAGTGTTTCAAATGAAAATAAAAGTTTCAACTCTGTGAGTTGAATGCAAACATCGCAAAGAAGTTTCTGAGAATGCTTCTGTCTAGTTTTTTGTGAAGTTATTCCCGTTTCCAATGAAGGCCACACAGCACTCCAAATGTCCACTTGCAGATTCCACAAAAAGAGTGTTTCAAAACTGCTCTGTGAAAAGAAAGGTTCAACTCTGTGAGTTGAGTGCACACATCACAAACAAGTTTTTGAGAATGCTTCTGTCTAGTTTTTATGTGAAGATATTCCCGTTTCCAATGAAAGCCTCAAACCTGTCCAAATATTCATTTGCAGTTTCCACAAAGACAGTGTTTCAAAACTGCTTTATCAAAAGAAAGATTCAACTCTGTGAGTTGAGTACACACATCACAAAGAGGTTTCTGAGAATGATTCTGTACAGTTTTTATGTGAAGATATTCCCGTTTCCAACGAAGACTTCAAAGCGTTCCAAATGTCCACTTGCAGATTCTACAAAAAGACTGTTTAAAAACGCTCCATCAAAGAAAATTTTCAACTCTTTTTGTTGAGTGCGCACATCACAAAGATGTTTCTGATAATGATTCTGTCTAGTTTTTATGTGAAGATATTTCCTTTTTCTCCAGAGGCCTAAAAGTGCTCCAAATGTCCACTAGCAGATACTACAAACAGAGTGTTTCAATACTGCTCTATTGAAAGGAATGTTCAACTATGTGAGTTGAATGTAAACATCACAAAGATGTTTTTGAGAATACTTCCGTCTAGTTTTTATGTGAAGATACCCCGGTTTCCAGCGAAGGCGACAAAGCTGTCCAAATATCCACTTGCAATTTCTACAAAAAGAGTGTTTCAAATCTGCTCTATCAAAAGAAAGTATCAACTCTTTGAGTTGAATACACACATCACAAAGAAGTTTCTGAAAATGCTTCGGTCTAGTTTTTATGTGAAGATATTCCCTTTTCCAAGGAAAACCTCGAAGCTGTCCAAATATCCACTTGTAAATGCTGCAAAAAGAGTGTTTCAAAACTGCTACAGCAAAAGAAAGGTTCATCTCTGTGAGTTGAGTATACACATCGTGAAGAAATTTCTGAGAATGCTTCTGTCTAGTTTTTATGTGAAGATATTTCCTTTGTCACCATAGGCCTCCAAGCGTTCTGAATGTCCACTTGCAGATGCTACAAAAAGAGTGTTTCAAAACTGCTCTATGAAAAGGAATGTTCAAATCTGTGAGATAAATGCAAACATCACAAAGAAGTCTTTGAGAATGCTTCTGTCCAGTTTTTATGTTAAGATATTTCCTATTTCACCATACGTCTCAATGCACACCAAATGTCCACTTGCAGATGCTACAAAGAGAGTGTTTCAAAACTTCTAGATCAAAAGAAGTGTTCAACTCTGTGAGTTGAGGACACACATCAGAAAGAAGTTTCTGAGAGTGTTTCTGTCTAGTTTTTATGTGAAGATATTCCCGTTTCCAACGAAAGCCTCAAAACTATCCCAATATCCACTTGCACATTCTACAAAAAGAGTGTTTCAAATCTGCTCTATCAAAATAAAGGTTCAACTCTGTGAGTTGAATACACACAACACAAAGAAGTTTCTGAGAATGCTTCTGTCTAGTTTTTATGGGAAGATATTTCCTTTTTAAACATAGGCCTCAAAGCGCTCCAAATGTCCACTTGCAGAATCTACAAAAAGAGTTTTTCAAAACTCCTCTATGAAAAGGAATGTTCAACTCCGTGAGTTTAATGCAAAGATCACAAAGAAGTTTCTGAGAATGCTTCTGTCTAGCTTTTACCTGAAGATACTTCCGTTTCCAGTGAAGTCTTGAAAGCTGTCCAAATATCCACTTGCAAATTCTACAAAAAGAGTATTTAAAAGCTGCTCTGTCAGTAGAAAGTTTCACCTCTGTGAGTTGAATGCGCACATCACACAGAAGTTTCTGAGAATGCTTCTGTCTGGTTTTTAGGTGAAGATATTCCCGTTTCCAACCAAAGCCTCAAAGCTGTCCAAATATCCATTTGCAGATTCTACAAGGAGAGTGTTTCAAAACTGCTCTATAAAAAGAAAGGTTCTACTCTGTGAGTGGAGTACACACATCACAAAGAAGTTTCTGAGAATGCCTCTGTCTAGTTTTTATGTGAAAATATTTCATTTTCCAAAATAGGCTTCAAAGCACTCCAAATGTCCACTTCAGATTTTACAAAAAGAGTGTTTCAAAACTGCTCTATGAAAAGGAATGTTCAACTCTGTGATTTGAAGGCAAACTTCACAAAGAAGTTTCTGAGAATGCTTCTCTCTAGTTTTTATGTGAAGATATTCCCGTTTCCGACGAAAGCCTCAAAGATATCCAAATATCCACTTGCAGATTATACAAAAAAGGGTTTCAAACTGCTCTGTCAAAACAAAGATTCAAATCTGTGTGTTGAGTAAACACATCACAAAGAAGTTTCTGAGAATGCTTCTATCTAGTTTTAATGTGAACACATTTCCTTATTCACAGTGGGCCCCAAAACGCTGCAAATGTCCACTTGCAGATTCTACAAAAAGTGTTTTTCAAAACTGCTCTATGAAAAGGAATGTTCAACTCTGTGAGTTGAACGCAAACATCACAAAGGAGTTTCTGAGAATGATTCTGTCTAGTTTTTATGTGAAGATAAACCCGTTTCCTGCGAAGACTTCAAAGCTGTCCCAATATCCACTTGCAAATTCTACAAAAAGAGTGTTTCAAGCTGCTCTATCAAAGGAAAGTTCCAACAGCACACATCACAAAGATGTTTCTGAGAATGCTTCTGTCTACAATTCATGTGAAGATATTCCAGCGAATATCTTCAGGATTACCAACGGAAGCCTGAAAGCTGTCCTAATATCCACTTGTAAATTCTACAAGAAGTGTGTTTCAAGACTGCTCTATCAAAGAAAGTTTTAACTCTGTGAGCTGAGTGCACACTTCACAAAGAAGTTTCTGAGAATGCTTCTGTCTAGTTTTTATGTGAAAATATTTCCTTTTTCACCATAGGCCTCAAGCGCTCCAAATGTCTACTTGCACATACTACAAAAAGATTTTTTCAAACTTCTCTATGAAAAGGAATATTCAACCCTGTTAGTTGAATGCAAACATCACAAAGAAGTTTCTGAGAATGCTTTGTCTAGTTTTTATGTGAAGATACCCCCGTTTCCAGCGAAGGCTTCAAAGCTGTCCAAATATCCACTTGCAAATTCTTTAAAAAGAGTGTTTCAAAGCTGCTTTATCAAAGGAAATTTCAACTCTGTGAGTTGAATGCACACATCACAAAGAAGTTTCTGAGAATGCTTCTGTCTGGTTTTAATGTGAAGATATTCCCGTTTCCAATGAAAGCCTCAAAGCTGTCCTAATATCCACCTGTAAATTCTACAAGAATAGTGTTTCAAAACTGCTCTATCAAAGGAAAGGTTTACCTTTCTAAGTTGAGTACACACATTACAAAGAAGTTTCTGAGAATGTTTCTGTCTGGTTTTTATGTGGAGATAATCCCGTTTCCAGTGAAGGCCTCAAAGCTGTTCAAATATCCACTTGCAAATTCTACAAAAAGAGTGTTTCCAATCTGCTATATCAAAATAGAGTTTCAACACTGTGGGTTGAATGCACACATCGCAAAGAAGATTCTGAGAATGCTTCTATTTTTCACATGAAGACATTCCCGTTTCCAATGAAAGCCTCAAAGCTGTCTAATATCCACTTGCAAATTCTACAAAAATAGTGTTTCAAAACTGCTCTATCAAATGAGTGGTTCAACTCTGGGAGTTGAATACACTCATCACAAAGAAGTTTCTGAGAATGCTTCTCTCTAGTTTTTATGTGAAGATATTTCCTTTTTCACCATAGGCCTCAAAGAGCTCCAAATATCCAGTTGCAGATTCTACAAACGGTGTGTTTCAAAACTGCTCTATGAAAAGGCATGTTCAACTCTGTGAGTTGAATGGAAACATCACAAAGAAATTTCTGAGAATGCTTCTGTCTAGTTTTTATGTGAAGCTACTCGCGTTTCCAGCGAAGGCTTCAAAGCTGTCCAAATATCCACTTGTAAATTCTGCAAAAAGAGTGTTTCAAAGCTGCTCTAACAAAGTAAAGATTCAACTCTTTGAGTTGAATGCGCAAATCACAAAGAAGTTTCTGTGAATGCTTCTGTCTGGCTTTTATGTGAGGATATTCCCGTTTCCAGCGAAAGCCTCAAAGCTGTCCAAATATCCAGCTTGAAAATTCTACAAGAAGAGTGTTTCAAAACTGCTCCATCAAAACAAAGTTTAACTCTGTGAGTTGAGTACACATATCAAAAAGAAGTTTCTGAGAATGCTTCTGTCTAGTTTTTATACGAAGATATTTCCTTTTCCACCATAGGCCTCAAAGCGCTCCAAATGTCAACTTGCAGATTCTACAAAAAGAGAGTTTCAAACCTGCTCTATCAAAGAAATATTCAAATATGTGAGGTGAATGCACACAGCCAAAGGAAGTTTCTGAGAAAACTTCTGTGTCGTGATCATGTGAAGGTACTCCCGTTTCCAATGATGTCCTCAAAGTGGCCCAAATAACCACTTGGAGATACTACTAAAAGAGTGTTTCAAAACTGCTCTAGGATAAAGTATGTTCAACTCTGAGAATTGAAGGCAAACATCACAAAGAAGTTTCTGAGAATGCTGCTGTTTAGTTTTAATGTGAAGATATTTCCTTTTCCACCATAGACATCAAATCGCTCATAATGTCCACTTGCAGATTCTGCAAAAAGAGTATTAAACCTGCTCTATCAATAGAAGGGTCAACTCTCTGAGTTGAATGCACACATCAAACTGAATTTTCCTAGAATGCTTCTGTCTAGTTTTTATGTGAAGAAACCCCCGTTTCCAGGGAAGGCCTCAAAGCTGTCCAAATATCCACTTGCAAATTCTACAAAAAGAGTGTTTCAAATCTGCTCCATCAAAAGAAAATTTCAAATCTGTGAGTTGAATGCACACAGCACAAAGACGTTTTTGAGAAAGCTTCATTGTGTGAAGATACTCCCGTTTCCAACGAAAGCCTCAAAGCCGTCCAATTATACACTTGCAGATACTACTAAAAGAGTGTTTCAAAACTGATCTATGATAAAGTATGTTAAACTCTGAGAGTTGAATGCAAACGTCACAAATAAGTTTATGAGAATGCTTCTGTCTAGTTTTTATGTGAAGATATTTCCTTTTCCTCCATAGGCCACAAAGCGCTCCTAATGTCCACTTGTAGATTCCGCAAAAGAGTGTTTCAAACCTGCTCTATAAAAAGAAAGGTTCAACTCTGTGAGTTGAATACACACAGCACAAAGAAATTTCTGAGAAAGCATCATTATATAAAGATACTCCCGTTTCCAATGAAGGCCTCAAAGCCCTCCAATTATCCACTTGCAGATACTACTAAAAGAGTGTTTCAAAACTGCTCTATGATAAAGTATGTTAGACTCTGAGAGGTGAATGCAAACGTCACAAATAAGTTTATGAGAATGCTTCTGTCTAGTTTTTATGTGAAGATATATCCTTTTCCACCATATGCCAAAAAGAGCTCCAAATGTCCACTTGCGGATCCTGCAAAAAGAGTGTTTCAACCCTGCTCTATGAAAAGGAAGGTTCAACTCTGTGAGTTGAATGGACACATCACAAAGTAGTTTCTGAGAATGCTTCTGTCTAGTTTTTATGTGAAGATATTCCCGTTTCCAACGAAGGCCTCAAAGCGGTCCAAATATCCACTTGCAGATTCTACGAAAATAGTGTTTCAAAACTACTCTATGAAAAGGGAGGTTCAACTCTGTGAGTTGAATGCAAACATCACAAAGAAGTTTCTGACAATGCTTCTGTCTAGTTTTTATTTATAGATATTTCCTTTTCCACCATAGACCTCCAAGCTCTCCAAATGTCTGCTTGCAGATTCTACAAAAAAAGTGCTTCAAACCTGCTCTATCAAAAGAAAGGTTCAATTCTGTGAGTGAAATGAACACATCACAAAGAAGTTTCTGAGAATGATTCTGTCTAGTGTTTATGTGAAGATATCCCCTTTTCCAACGAAGGCCTCAAAGTGGTTCAAATATCCACTTGCAGATTCTACAAAAAGAGTGTTTCAAACCTGCTTTATTAAAGGAAAGCTTCAACTCTGTGAGTTGAACGCACACATCACAAAGAAGTTTCTGAGAATGCTTCTATCTAGTGTTTATTTGAAGATATTCCCGTTTCCAACGAAGGCTTCAAAGCGTTCCAAATATCCACTTGCAGATTCTGCAAAAAGAGTGCTTCAAAACTGCTCTATGAAGAGGTATGTTCAACCCTGTGATTTTAAAGCAAACATCACAAAGTAGTTCCTGAGAATTCTTCTGTCTGGTTTTTATATAATGATATTTCCTTTTCCACCATAGGCCTCAAAGCTCGCCATTTGTCCACTTGAAGATTCTACAAAAAGAGGGCTTCAAACCTGCTCTATGAAAAGAAAGGCTCAACTCTGTTAGTTGAATGCACACATCACAAAGAAGTTCCTGAGAATGCTTCTGTCTAGTGTTTATGTGAAGATAATCCCGTTGCCAATGAAGGCCTCAAAGCAGTGCAAATATCCACTTGCAGATTCTACAAAAAGAGTGTTTCAAAAGTACTCTATGATAAGGTATGTCCAACCTTGTGATTTGAATGCACACATCATAAGAAGTTTCTGAGAATGCCTCTGTCTAGTTTTTAATGGGAAGATATTTCCTTTTCCACCATAGGCCTCAAAGCGCTCCAAATGTCCACTTGCAGATTCTAGAAAAAGAGTGTTTCAAACCTGCTCTATCAAAAGAAAAGTTCAACTCTGTGAGTTGAATGCACACAGTTCAAAAAAGTTTTTGAGAAAGCTTCTGTCTAGTGATTATGTGAAGATATTCCCGTTTCCAACAAAGGCCTCAAAGCGGTCCAAATGTTCACTTGCAGATTCTACAAAAAGAGTGTTTCAAAACTGCTCTATCAAAAGAAAGGTACAACTCTGTGAGTAGAATGCACACATCACAAAGTAGTTTCTGAGAATGCTTCTCTCTAGTTTATATGTGAGATATTTACTTTTCCACGATAGGCCTCAATGCTCTCCAAATGTCCACTTGCAGATTCTACAAAAAGAGTGTTTCAAACATGCTCTATGAAAAGAAAGTTTCAACTCTTGGGGTTGAATGCACACATCACAAAGAAGTTTCTGAGAATGCTTCTGCCTGTTTTTGTGTGAACATATTCCCGTTTCCAACTAAGGCCTCAAAGCGTTTCAAATATCCACTTGCATATTCTACAAAAAGAGTGTTTCAAAACTGCTCTATGAAAAGGTATCTTCAAATCTGTGAGTTGAATGCAAACATCGTAAAGAATTTTCTGAGAATTCTTCTCTCTTATTTTTATATGAAGATAATTCCTTTTCCACCATAGGCCTCAAAGCTCTCCAAATGTCAACTTGCAGATTCTACAAAAAGAGTGTTTCAAAGCTGCTCTATGAAAAGAAAGGTTCAACTCTTTGAGTTTAATGCACGCCTGAAAAAGAAGTTTTTGAGAATGCTTCTGTCTAGTGTTTATGTGAAGACATTCCCGTTTCCAACGAAGGCCTCATAGCGGTCCAAATATCCGCTTGCAGATTCTATAAAAAGAGTGTCTAAAAACTGCTCCAAGGAAAGGTATCTTCAACTCTGTGAGTTGAATGCAAACATCACAAAGACGTTTCTGAGAACGCTTCTGTCTAGTTTTTGTGTGAAGATATTTCCTTTTCCACCATAGGACTCAAAGCTCTCCAAATATCCACTTGCAGATACTAAGAAAAGAATGTTTCAAACCTGCTCTATGAAAAGAGAGGTTCAACTCTGTGAGTTGAATGCACACACCACAAAGAAGTTTCTGAGAACGCTTCTCTCTAGTTTTTATGTGAAGATACTTCCTTTTCCACCATAGGCCTCAAAGCTCTCCAAATGTGCACTTCAGATTCTACAAAATGAATGTTTCAAACCTGCTCTATCAAAAGAAAGGTTCAACTCTGTGAGTTGAATGCACACATCACAAATAAGTTTATGAGAATGCTTCCGTCTAGTTTTTATGTGAAGATATATCCTTTTTCACCATAGGCCTCAAAGAGCTCCAAATATCCACTTGCAGATCCTGCAAAAAGAGTGTTTCAACCCTGCTCTATGAAAAGAAAGGTTCAACTCTGTGAGTTGAATGCATACATCAAAAGTAGTTTCTGAGAATGCTTCTGTCTAGTTTTTATGTGAAGATATTCCTGTTTCCAACGAAGGCCTCAAAGCAGTCCAAATATCCACTTGCAGATTATAAGAGAAGAGTGTTTCAAAATTGCTCTATGAAAAGGGAGGTTTAACTCTGTGAGTTGAATGCAAACATCACAGAGAAGTTTCTGAGAATGCTTCTGTCTAGTTTTTATTTATAGATATTTCCTTTTCCACCATAGGCCTCAAAGCTCTCCAACAGTCAACTTGCAGATTCTACAAAAAAAGTGTTTCAAACCTGCTCTATCAAAAGAAAGGTTCAATTCTGTGAGTGGAATGCACACATCACAAAGAAGTTTCTGAGAACGATTCTGTCTAGTGTTTATGTGAAGATATCTCCTTTTCCAATGAAGGCCTCAAAGTAGTTCAAATATCCACTTGCAGATTCTACAAAAAGAGTGTTTCAAACCTGCTCTATCAAAAGAAAGCTTCAACTCTGTGAGTTGAATGCACACATCACAAAGAAGTTTCTGAAATGCTTCTATCTAGTGTTTATTTGAAGATATTCCCGTTTCCAACGAAGGCTTCAAAGCATTCCAAATATCCACTTGCAGATTCTGCAAAAAGAGTGCTTCAAAACTGCTCTATGAAGAGGTATGTTCAACCCTGTGATTTGAAAGCAAACATCACAAAGTAGTTCCTGAGAATTATTCTGTCTGGTTTTTATATAATGATATTTCCTTTTCCATCGTAGGCCTCAAAGCTTGCCATATGTCCACTTGAAGATTCTGCAAAAAGACGGTTTCAAACCTGCTCTATGAAAAGAAAGGTTCAACTCTGTGAGTTGAATGCACACATCACAAAGGAGTTGCTGAGAATGCTTCTGTCTAGTGTTTATGTGAAGATAATCCCCTTGCCAAGGAAGGCCTCAAAGCAGTGCAAATATCCACTCTCAGATTCTACTAAAAGAGTGTTTCAAAAGTGCTCTATGATAAGGTATGTTCAACTCTGTGAATTGAATGCACACATCATAAGAACTTTCTGAGAATGCTTCTGTCTGGTTTTTATGGGAAGATATTTCCTTTTCCACCATAGGCCTCAAAGCACTCCAAATGTCCACTTGCAGATTCTGGAAAAAGAGTGTTTCAAACCTGCTCCATCAAAAGAAAGGTACAACTCCGTGAGTTGAATGCACACAGTACAAAAAAGTTTTTGAGAAAGCTTCTATCTAGTGATTATGTGAAGA
The DNA here is from genome assembly GCF_000001405.40 of Homo sapiens. Lineage (NCBI taxonomy): Eukaryota > Metazoa > Chordata > Mammalia > Primates > Hominidae > Homo > Homo sapiens. The sequence goes on along the minus strand of NC_000009.12, from coordinate 64,970,302 downwards.
TATTTCCATTTCCAATGAAGGCCTCAAAGCGGTCCAAATATTCACTTGCAGATTCTACAAAAAGAGTGTTTCAACACTGCTCTATCAAAAGGTATGTTCAACTGTATGAGTTGAATGCAAACATCACAATGTAGTTCCTTAGAATTCTTCTGTCTGGTTTTTATTTAAAGATATTTCCTTTTCCACCATAGGCCTCATAGCTCTAAAAATGTCCGGTGCCGATTCTACAAAAAGAGTGTTTCAAACATGCTCTATCAAAAGAAAGTTTCAACTCTTTGAGTTGAATGCACACATCACAAAGATGTTTCTGAGAATGCTTCTGCCCGTTTTTGTGTGAACATAATCCCGTTTCCAACGAAGGCCTCAAAGCGTTCCAAATATCCACTTGCAGAATCTAGGAAAAGAGTGTTTCAAAACTGTTCTATGAAAAGGTACGTTCAACTCTGAGTTGAATGCAAACATCACAAAGAAGTTTCTGAGAATTCTTCTCTCTAATTTTTATATGAAGATATAACCTTTTACACCATAGGCCTCAAAGCTCTCCAGATATCCACTTGCAGATTCTACTAAAAGAGTATTTCAAAGCTACTCTATCAAAAGAAAGGTTCAACTCTTTGAGTTTAATGCACGCATGACAAAGAAGTTTTTGAGAATGCTTCTGTCTAGTGTTTATGAGAAGATATTTCCATTTCTAACGAAGGCCTCATAGCGGTCCAAATATCCACTTGCAGATTCTACAAAAAGAGTGTCTCAAAACTGCTCCATGGAAAGGTATCTTCAACTTTGTGAGTTGAATGCAAACATCACAAAGACGTTTCTGAGAATGCTTCTGTCTAGTTTTTGTGTGAAGATATTTCCTTTTCCACCATAGGCCTCAAAGCTCTCCAAATGTCCATTTGCAGATTCTACAAAAAGAGTATTTCAAACCTGCTATATCAAAAGAAACCTTCAACTCTTTGTGTTGAATGAACACATCACAAAGTTGTTTCTGAGAATGCTTCTGTCTAGTTTTTATGAGAAGATAATTCCTTTTCCACCATAGGCCTCAAAGCTCTCCAAATGTCCACTTGCAGATTCTACAAAAAGAGTGTTTCAAACCTGCTCTATTAAAAGAAAGGTTCAAATCTTTATGTTGAATACACACATCACAAAGAAGTTTCTGAGAATGCATCTGTCTAGTTTTTATGTGAAGATATTCCCGTTTCCAATGAAGGTCTCAAAGCGGTCCAAATATCCACTTGCAGATTCTACTAAAAGAGTGCTTCAAAACTGCTCTATGACAAAGTATGTTCAACTCGGTGAGTTGAATGCACGCATGACAAAGAAGTTTTTGAGAATGCTTCTGTCTAGTGTTTATGAGAAGATATTTCCATTTCTAACGAAGGCCTCATAGCGGTCCAAATATCCACTTGCAGATTCTACAAAAAGAGTGTCTCAAAACTGCTCCATGGAAAGGTATCTTCAACTTTGTGAGTTGAATGCAAACACCACAAAGACGTTTCTGAGTCTGCTTCTGTCTAGTTTTTGTGTGAAGATATTTCCTTTTCCACCATAGGCCTCAAAGCTCTCCAAATGTCCAGTTGCAGATTCTACAAAAAGAGTGTTTCATACCTGCTCGATGAAATAAGGTTAACTCTGTGAGTTGAATGCACTCAGTACAAAGAAGTTTTTGAGAAAGCATCTGTCTAGTGATTATGTGAAGATAATGCCGTTTCCAACGAAGACCTCAAAGCGGTCCAAATATCCGCTTGCAGCTTCTACTACAAGAGTGTTTCAAAACTGCTCTATGATAAAGTATGTTCAACTCTGTGAGTTGAATGCAAACCTCACAAACTAGTTTCTGAGAATGCTTCTCTCTAGTTTTTATGTGAAGATATTCCCGTTTCCAACGAAGTCCTGAAAGCTATCCAAATATCCACTTGCAGCTTCTACATAAAGAGTGTTTCAAAACTGCTCCATGAAAAGTTATGTTCAACTCTGTGTGTTGAATGCAAACATCACAATGTAGTTTCTGAGAATGCTTCTGTCTACTTTTTATGTGATGATATTTCCTTTTGAACCGTAGGCTTCAAAGCTCTCAAAATGTCGAATTGCAGATCCTACAAAAAGAGTGTTTCAAACCTGCTCTATCAAAAGAATGGTTAAACTCTGTGAGTTGAAAGCACACATTACAAAGAAGAGTCTGAGAATCCTTCTGTCTACTGTTTATGTGAAGATATTCCCGTTTCCAACGAAAGCCTCAAAGCGGTCCAAATATCCACTTGCAGATTCTACAAAAAGAGTGTTTCAAAACTGCTCTAGGACAAGGTATGTTCAACTCTGTGTGTTGAATGCAACCACCCTAAAGAATTTTCTGAGAATACTTCTGTCTAGTTTTTATGTGAAGATATTCCCGTTTCCAATGAAGGCCTCAAAGCATTCCAAATATCCACTTGCAGATTCCACGAAGAGTGTTCCAAAACTGCTTTATTAAAAGGTATGTTCAACTCTTTGAGTTGAATGCAAACATCACAAAGATGTTTCTGAGCATTCTTCTGTCTAGTTTTTATATGATGATATTTCCTTTTCCACGACAAGCCTCAAAGCTCTCCAAATATGCACGTGCAGATTCTGCTAAAAGAGTGTTTCAAAGCTACTCTATGATAAGGTACGTTGAAATCTGTGAGTTGAAAACAAACATCACAAAGAAGTTTCTGAGAATGCTTCTATTTTTTATGTGAAGATATTCCCGTTTCCAACGAAGGCCTCAAAGCGGTAAAAATATCCACATGCAGATTCTACTAAAAGAGTGTTTCAAAACTGCTCTATCAAAATGTATGTTCGAATCTGTGAGTTGAATGCACGATCACAAAGAATTTTATGAGAATTCTTCTGCCTGCTTTTTATATAAAGATACTTCTTTTTCCACCATAGGCCTCAAAGCTCTCCAAAAGTTCACTTCAGATCCTCCAAAAAGATTGTTTCAAACCTGCTCTATCAAAAGAAAGGTTCAACTCTGTGAATTGAATACACACATCACAGAGAAGTTTCTGGGAATGCTTCTGTCTAGTGTTTATGTAAAGACATTCCCGTTTTCAACGAAGGCCTCAAAGCTGTCCTAATATCCATTTGCAGTTTCTTCAAAAAGATTGGTTCAAAACTGCTCTATCAAAGAAAGTTCAACTCTGTGAGTTGAATACAAATATCACAAAGAAGTTTCTGAGAATGCTTCTGTGTAGTTTTTACGTGAAGATATTTCCTTTTCCACCATAGGCCTCAAAACTCTCCAAATGTCCACTTGCAGACTCCACAAAAAGAGTGTTTCAAACCTGCTCTTTCAAAATAAAGGTTCAACTCCCTTACTTGAATGTCACAGCACAAAAAAGTTTCTGAGAAAGCTTCTGTCTAGTGATTATGTGAAGATACTCCCGTTTCCAACGAAGGCCGCAAAGCATTCCATCTATCCACTTGCAGATTTTACAAAAAGAGTGTTTCAAAACTGCTCTATCAAAAGAAATGTTCAACTCTCTGAGGTGAATGCACACATCACGAAGAAGTTTCTGAGAATGCTTCTGTGTAGTTTTTATGTGAAGATATTTCCTTTTCCACCATAGGCCTCAAAGTGCTCCAAATGCCCACGTGCAGATTCTAAAAAAAGAGTGTTTCAAATCTGTTCTATCAAAAGCAAGGTCCAAATCTGTGAGTTTAATGCACACATCACAAAGAAGTTTGTGAGAATGCTTCTGTCTAGTTTTTATGTGAAGTTATTCCCGGTTTCCAACGAAGACCTCACAGAGTTCCAAATATCAACTTGCACATTCTACAAAAAGAGAGTTTCTAAATTGCGCTATGAAGAGGTATTTTCAACTCTGTGAGTTGAATGCATACATCACAAAGAAGTTTCTGAGAAAGCTACAGTCTAGTCTTTATGTGATGATATTACCTTTTCCACGATAGGAATCAAAGTGCTGCAAATGTCCACTTGCAGATTCTACAAAAAGAGTGTTTCAAACCTGCTCTATATAGATAGTTTCAACTCTGTGAGTTGAACGCACACATTACAAAGAAGTTTCTGAGAATGCTTCTGTCTAGTTTTTATGTGAAGATATTTCCGTTTCCCACGTAAGCCTCAAAGCATTCCAAATATCCACTTGCAGATTCTACGAAAAGAGTGTTTCAAAACTGCTCTATGAAAAGATATGTTCAACTCTGTGAATTGAATGCAAACATCACAAAGATGTTTTGGAGAGTTCTTCTGTCTAGTTTTTATATGAAGATATTTCCTTTTCCACCACAGGCCTCAAATCTCTCCAAATGTCCACTTGCAGAATCTACAAAAAGAGTGTTTCAAACCTGCTCTGTCAAAAGAAAAGATCAACTCTGTGAGTTGAATGCACACATCAATAAGAAATTTCTGAGAATGCTTCTGTCTAGTGTTTATGTGAAGATATTCCTGTTTCCAACGAAGACCTCAAAGCGGTCCAAATATCCACTTGCAGATTCCACTAAAAGAGAGTTTCAAAACTACTCCATGATAAGGTACGTTCAAATTTGCGAGTTGAATGCACACATCCGAAAGAAGTTTCTGAGAATGCTTCTGTCTAGTGTTTATGTCAAGATATTACAGTTTCCAAAGAAGGTCTCAAAGCCGTCCAAATATCCACATGCAGATTCTTCAAAAAGAGTGTTTCAAAACTGCTCTATCAAAAGAAAGGTTCAACTCACCGAGTTGAATGCACACAGTATGAAGAAGTTTCTGAGAATGCTTCTGTCTAGTGTTTATGTGAAGATATACCCCTTTCCAAAGAAGGCCTTAAAGTGGTCCAAATATCCACTTGCAGATTCTACAAAAGAGTGTTTCAAAACTGCTCTATAATAAAGCATGTTCAACTCTGTGAATTGAATGCATCCATCAAAAACAAGATTCTGAGAATGATTCTGTCTATTTTTTATGTGAAGATATTTCCTTTTCCACCATAGGCCTCAAAGCGCACCAAATGTCCACTTTTATATTCCACAAAAACAGTGTTTAACACCTTCTCCATCAAAAGAAAGTTTCAACTCTGTGAGTTGAATGCACACATCACAAAGAAGTTTCTGAAATGCTTCTGTCTAGTTTTTATGTGAAGATATTCCCGTTTCTAACGAAGGCCTCAAAGCGGTCCAAATATCCACTTGCAGAATCTACGAAAAGTGTGTTTAAAAAATGCTCTATGAAAAGGAAGGTACACCACTGTGAGTTGAATGCACACATCTCAAAGACGTTTCTGAGAATGCTTCTGTCTAGTTTTTATGTGATGACATTTCCTTTCCCACTGTAGGCCTCAAATTTCTTCAAACGTCCACTTCCAGATTCTACAAAATGAGTGTTTCAAACGTGCTTTATCTAAAGGAAGGTTGAACTCTGTGAGTTGAATGCACACATCACAAATTAGTTTCTGAGAATGCTTCTGTCTAGTGTTTAAGTGAAAATACTCTCGTTTCCAACGAAGGCCTCAAAGCGGTCCAAATATCCACATGCAGATTCCATGAAAAAAGTGTTTCAAACCTGCTCTATCAAAAGAAAGGTTCTACTCTCTGAGCTGAATGCACACAGCACAAAGAAGTTTCTGAGAAAGCTTCTGTCTAGTGATTATGTGAAGATATTCCCGTTTCCAATGAAGGCCTCAAAGTGGTCCAAATATTCACTTGCAGATTCCACAAAAAGAGTGTTTCAAACCTGCTCTATCAAAAGCAAGGTTCAATTCTGTGAGTTGAAAGCACACATCACCAAGAAGTTTCTGAGAATGCTTCTCTGTAGCTTTTATGTGAAGATATTTCCTTTTTGACCATAGGCCTCAAAGCTCTTCAAATATCCAATTGCAGATTTTACAAAAAGAGTTTGTCAAAACTGCTCCATCAAAAGCAACGTTCAACTCTGTGAGTTGAATGCACACATCACAAAGAACTTTCTGAGAATGCTTCTGTCTAGTGTTTATGTGAAGATATTCCCGTTTCCAATGTTGGTCTCAAAACACTCCAAATATCCTCTTGCAAATTCTAGTAAAAGAGTCTTTCAAAACTGTTCTATGATAAGGTATGTTCAACTCTGTGAGTTGAATGCAAAGATCACGAACAAGTCTCTGAGAATGCTTCTGTCTAGTTTTTATTTGATGATATTTCCTTTTCCACGGTAGGCCACAAAGCTTTCCAAATATCCACTTGCAAATTCTACAAAAAGAGTGTCTCAAACCTGGTCTATCAAAAGAAAGGTTCAACTCTGTGAGTTGAATGCACACATCACAAAGAAGTTCCTGAGAATGCTTCTGTCTAGTTTTTATGTGAAGATATTCCCGTTTCCAATGAAGGCCTCAAAGGGGTCCAAATATCCACTTGCTGATTCTACTCAAAGAGTGTTTCAAAACTGCTCTATGATAACGTGTGTTCAACTCTGTAAGGCAAACGCAAACATCACAAAGAAGTTTCTGAGAATCCTTCTATTTTTTATTGGAAGATATTTCCTTTTCCACCATAGGCCTCAAATCTCTCCAAATGTCCACTTGCAGGTTCTACAAAAAGAGTGTTTCAAACCTGCTCTATCAAAAGAAAAGTTCAACTCTGTGAGTTGAATGCACACATCACAAAGAAGTTTCTCAGAATGCTTCTGTCTAGTGTTTATGTGAAGATACTCCCATTTTCAAAGAAGGCCTCAATGCAGTCCAAATATCCACTTGCAGATTCCACTAAAAGAGGGTTTCAGAACTACTCTATGATAAGGTATGTTCAACTCTGTGACTTGAATGCACACATCACAAAGAAGTTTCTGAGAATGCTTCTGTCTAATGTTTATGTGAAGTTATACCCGTTTCCAATGAAGTCCTCAAAGCAGTCCAAATATCCACTTGCAGATACTATGAAAAGAGTGTTTCAAAACTGGTCTATGAAAATGAAAGTTCAACTCTGTGAGTTTAATGCAAACTTCATAAAGAAGTTTCTGAGTATGCTTCTGTCTAGTTTTGATGTGAAGATATTTCCTTTCCCACCATAGTCCTCAAAGCTCTCCAAATGTCCACTTGCAGATTCTACAAAATGAGTGTTTCAAACGTGCTCTATCTAATAAACGTTCAACTCTGTGAGTTGAATGCACACATCACAAAGAAGTTTCTGAGAATGCTTCTGTCGAGTGTTTATGTGAAGATGTTCCCATTTCCAACGAAGGCCTCAAAGCGGTACAAATATCCACTTCCATATTCTACAAAAAGAGTGTTTCAAAACTGCTCAATCATGAGATAAACTCATCCCTGTGAGATGAATTCACACGTCACGAAGTAGTTTCTCAGAATGCTTCTGTGTAATTTTCATGTGAGGATATTTGCTTTTCCACAGTAGGCCTCAAAGGGCTCCAAATATCCACCTGCAGATTCTGCAAAAAGAGAGATTCAAAACTGCTCAATCAAAAGATACTTTCGACTCTGTGAGTTGAATGCACACATCACAAAGAAGTGTGTCTGAATGCTTCTGTGTAGTTTTTATTTCAAGATATTTCCTTTTCCACTGCAGGGCTGAAAGGGCTCCAAATATCCACTTGCAGATTCTACAAAAAGAGAGATTCAAAACTGCTCAATGAGAAGATAAGATCAACTCTGTGAGTTGAATGCACACCTCACAAAGAAGTTTCTCAGAATGATTCTGTGTAGTTTTTATGTGAAGATATTTCCTTTTCCACAATAGTCCTCAAAGCTCTCCAAACATCCACTTACAGATCCTGAAAAAAGAGAGATTCAAAACTGCTCCATCGAAAGATAGGTTCAACTCTGTGAGTTGAATGCACACATCACAAAGAAGTTTCTCAGAATGCTTCTGTTTAGTTTTTATGTGAACATATTTGATTTTCCACAGTAGGCCTCACGACGCTCCAAACATCCACTTGCAGATTGTGCAAAAAGAGAGATTCAAAACTGTTCAATCAAAAGATAGGTTCAACTCTGTGAGTTGAATGCATACATCATGAAGAAGTTTCTGAGAATGCTTCTGTATAGTTTTTATTTGAAGTTATTTCCTTTTCCACAGAAGGCCTCGATGGTCTCCAAATATCCACCTGCAGATTCTGCATAAAGAGAGATTCAAAACTGCTCAAACAAAAGATAAGTTCACCTCTGTGAGTTGAATGCACACATCACAAAGCAGTTTCTCTGAATGCTTCTATGTAGTTTTTATTTGAAGATATTTCCTTTTCCACCATAGGGCACAAAGGGCTCCTAATATCCACTTGCAGATTCTACAAAAAGAGAGATTCAAAACTGCTCAATCAAAAGATAGGTTCAACTCTCTGAGTTGAATGCACACATCACAAAGAAGTTTCTCAGAATCTTTCTGTATAGTTTTTATGTGAACATATTTGATTTTCCACAGCAGGCCTCAAAAGGCTCCAAATATCCACCTGCAGATTCTTCAAAAAGAGGTATTCAAAACTGCTCAATCAAAAGATAGGTTCAACTCTGTGAGTTGAATGCATACATCAGAAAGAAGTTTCTCTGGATGGTTCTGTGTAGTTCTATTTGAAGATAATTCCTTTTCCATGATAGGGCACAAAGGGCTCTAAATATCCACTTGCAGAATCTACAAAAACAGAGATTCAAAACTGCTCATTGAGAAGATAAGTTCAACTCAGTGAGTTGACTGTACACATCACGAAGAAGTTTCTTAGAATGCTTCTGTGTAGTTTTTATTGAAGATATTTCCTTTTCCACCATAGGGCGCAAAGGGCTCCAAATATCCACTTGTAGATTATAGAAAAAGAGAGACTCTAAACTGCTCAATCAAAAGATAGGTTCAACTTTGTGAGTTTAATGCCCACATCACAAAGAAGTTTCTCAGAATGCTTCTGAGTAGTTTTTATGTGAAGATGTTTCCTTTTCCACAATAGGCGGCAAAGTTCTCCAAATATCCACTTGCAGATTCTACAAAAACGGTGTTTCAAAACTGCGCAATGAAAAGAAAGGTTGAACTCAGTGAGATGAATGCACACATCACAAAGAAGTTTCTCAGAATGCTTCTGTGTAGTTCTTATTTGAAGATATTTAGTTTTCCACTGTAGGCCTCAAAGCGCTCCAAATATCCACTTGAAGATCCTACAAAAAGAGTATTTCAAAACTGCTCAATCATAAGCTAGGTTCAACCCTGTGAGATGAATGCACACATCACAAAGCAGTTTCTCTGAGTGATTCTGTGTAGTTTTTATTTGAAGATATTTCCTTTTCCACCATAGGGCGCAAAGGGCTCCAAATATCCACTTGGAGATTCTACCAAAAGATAAATTCAAAACTGCTCAATGAGAAGATAAGTTCAACTCTGTGAGTTGAATGCACACCTCACAAAGTAGTTTCTCACAATGCTTCTGCATAGTTTTTATGTGAAGATATTTGCTTTTCCACTGTAGGCCTCAAAGGGCTCGAAATATCCACCTTCAGATTGTGCATAAAGAGAGATTCAAAACTGCTCAATCAAAAGATAGGTTCAACTCTGTGAGTTGAATGCACATATCACAAAGAAGTTTCTCTGAATGCTTCTGTGTAGTTTTTATTTCAAGATATTTCCTTTTCCACCATAGGGTGCAAAGATCTTCAAATATCCACTTGCAGATTCTACAAAAAGAGAGATTGGAAACTCCTCAAAGAGAAGATAATTTCAACTCTGTGAGTTGAATGCACACCTCACAAAGTAGTTTCTCAGAATGCTTCTGTGTAGTTTTTATGTGAAGATATTTCCTTTTCCACAATAGGCCTCAAAGCTTTCCAAACATACACTTGTAGTTTCTGCAGAAAGAGAGATTCAAAACTGCTCAATCAAAACATAGTTTCAACTCTGTGAGTTGAATGCAAACATCACAATGGTGTTTCTCAGAATGCTTCTGAGTAGTTTTTATGTGAAGATATTTCCTTTTCCACAGTAGGCCTCAAAGGGCTCCAAATATCCAATTGCAGATTTCACGAAGAGAGTGTTTCAAAACTGCTCAATCAAAAGAAAGTTTCAACTCTGTGAGATGAATGCACACATCACAAAGGAGTTTCTCAGATTGCTTCCTTCTAGATTTTATGTGAAGATATTTCCTTTTCTATCATAGGCCGCAAAGTGCTCCAAATGTCCACTTGCCGATTCTACAAAAAGGGTGTTCCCAAACTACGCAATCAAAAGAAAGGTTCAACTCTGTTAGATGAACGTACACATCATAAAAAAGATTCTCAGAATTCTTCTGTTTTTTTTGTGAACATATTTCCTTTTCCAACTTAAGCCTCAAGGTGCTTGAAATGTCCCCTTGCAGATTCTCCAAAAAGAGTATTTGAAAACTGGTTCTCCTAAAGAAAGTTGGAACTCCAGGAGATGAGTGCAGACATCACAGAGAACTTTCTCAGAATGCTTCTATCTACTTTTTATGTGAAGATATTTCCTTCTCCACCACAGGCCTCAAAGCGCTGCCAAATGTCCACTTGCAGGTTCTACAAAAAGAGAGTTTCCAATCTGCTCAATCAAAAGAAAGGTTTAACTCTGTGAGATTAATGCACGCATCACAAAGAAGTTTCTCAGATTGCTTCTGTCTAGATTTTATGTGAAGATATTTCCTTTTCTACCATTGGCCGCAAAGAGTTCCAAATGTCCACTTGCAGATTCTACAAAAAAAGAGTGTTTCCAAACTACTCAATCAAAAGAAATGTTCAACTCTGTGAGATGAACACACTCATCACAAAGAAGTTTCTCAGAATTCTTCTGTCTAATTTTTATGTGAAGATATTTCCTGTTCCATCATAGGCCTCAAGACGCTCTAAATGTCGGCTTGCAGATTCTACAAAAAGAGAGTTTCAAAACTGCTCAATCAAAAGAAAGGGTTATCTCTGTGAGATGAATGCATATATCACAAACAAGTTTCTCATATTGCTTCTGTGTAGATTTTATGTGAAGATATTTACTTTTCTACCATAGACGGCAAAGCTCTCCAAATGCCCACCTGCAGACTCTACAAGAAAGAGTGGTACCAAACTGCTCAATCAAAAGAACGGTTCCACTCTGTGAGAAGAACGCACACATCACAAAGAAGTTTGTCAGAATTCTTCTTTCTAGTTTTTATGTGAAGATATTTCCTTTTCCACCATAGGCCTCAAAGCGTTCCAAATGTCCACTTGCAGATTCTACAAAAAGAGAGTTTCAAAACTGCTGAATCAAAAGAAAGTTTAAACTCTGTGAGATGAATGCACCCATCACTAAGAAGTTTCTCCGATTGCTTCTCTCTAGATTTTATGTGAAGGTGTTACTTTTTCTACCATAGGTCGCAAAGCGCTTCAAATGTCCATTTGCAGATTCTACAAAAAAGAGTGTTTCCAAACTGCTCAATCAAAAGAAAGGTTCAAGTCTGTGAGATGAACGCACACATTCCCAAGAAGTTTGTCAGAATTCTTCTGTCTAGTTTTTATGTGAAGATATTACCTTTTCCACCACAGGCCTCAAAGCGCTCCAAATGTCCACTTGCAGATTCTATGAAAAGAGAGTTTCAAAACCGCTCAATCAAAAGAAAGGTTTAACTCTGTGAGATGAATGCACACATCACAAAGAAGTTTCTCAGATTGTTTCTCTCTAGGTTTTATGTGAAGATATTTCTGTTTCAACCATAGGCCGCAAAGCATTGCAAATGTCCACTTGCAGATTCTACAAAAAGAGTGTTTCCAAACTGCTCAATCAAAAGAAAATTTCAGCTTTGTGAGATGAACGCACACATCGCAAAGAAGATTATCAGAATTCTTCTGTCTAGTTTTTATGTGAAGATATTTCCTTTTCCACCATAGGCCTCTAAGCGCTCCAAATGTCCACTTCGAGATTCTACAAAAAGAGTGTTTCCAAACTGCTCAATCAAAAAAAAGGTTTAACTCTGTGAGATAAATGCACACATCACAAAGAAGTTTCTCAGATGGCTTCTGTCTAGATTTTATGTGAGGATATTTCCTTTTCTACCATATGCCACAAAGTTCTCCAAATGTCCACTTGCATATTCTACAGAAAGAGTGTTTCCAAACGGTTCAATCAAAAGATAGGTTCAAATCTGTGAGATGAATGCACACGTCCCAAAGTAGTTTCTCAGAATTCTTCTGTCTAGTTTTTATGTGCAGATATTTCCTTTTCCACTGTTGGCCTCAAAGAGCTCCAAATATCCACTTGCGGATTCTACAAAAAGAGAGCTTCAAGACTGCTCAATCAAAAGAAAAGTTTAACTCCATGAGATGAATGCACACATCACAAAGAAGTTTCTCAGATTGCTTCAGTCTAGACTTTATGTGAAGATATTTCCTTTTCTACTACAGGCCACAAAGCGCTCCGAATGTGCACTTGCAGATTCTACAAAAGAGTGTTTCCAACCTGCTGTATCAAAATAAAGTTTCAACTGTGGGAGATGAAAGCACGCATCACAAAGAAGTTTTTCAGAATTCTTCTGTCTAGTTTTTATGTGAAGAGATTTCCTTTTCTACCACAGGCCTAAAAGGGCTCCAAATGTCCACTTGCAGATACTACAAAAAGAGAGTTTCAAAACTGCTCAATAAAAAGAAAGGTTTAACTCTGTGAGATGAATGAACACATCACAAAGAAGTTTGTCAGATTGCTTCTGTCTAGATTTTATGTGAAGATATTTCCTTTTCTACCATAGGCCGCAAAGCGCTAAAATTGTCCACATGTAGATTCTGCAAAAAGAGTGTTTCCAAACAGCCCAATGAAAAGAAACTTTCAACTCTGTGTGATGAACGCACGCATCACAAAGTGATTTCACAGTATTCTTCTGTCTAGTTTTTATGTGAAGATATTTCCTTTTCCACCACAGTTCTCAAAGAGCTTCAAATGTCGACTTGCAGATTGTTCAAAAAGTGTTTCCAAACTGCTCGATCAAAAAAAGTTTAACTCTGTAAGATGAACGCACACGTCACATAGATGTTTCTCAGTTTTCTTCTGTCTAGTTTTTATGTGAATGTATTTCATTTTCCACAGTAGGCCTCAAGGGGCTTGAAATGTCCACTTGCAGATTCCACAAAAAGAGTAATAAATAACTGGCCCATCAAAAGAAAGATTCAAATCTGGGAGATGAACGCACATATCACAAAGTAGTTTCTCATATTGATTCTATCTAGTTTTTATGTGAATATATTTCCTTTTCCACCGTAGGTCTCAAACCGCTCCAAACGTTCACTTGCAGAATCTACAAAAAGAGAGTTTCAAAACTGCTCAATCAAAAGAAAGGTTTAACTTTGTGAGATGAGCGCGCACATCACAAAGAAGTTTCCCAGATTGCTTCTGTGTAGATTTTACGTCAAGATATTTCCTTTTCTACCATTGGCTCCAAAGTGCTACAAATGTCCACTTGCAGATTCTACAAAAACAGTGTTTTCAAACGGCTCAATAAAAAGAAAAGTTCAACTCTGTGAGATGAACGCACACATCACAAAGAAGTTTCTCAGAATTCTTCTGTCTAGTTCTTATGTGAAGATATTTCCTTTTCCACCATTGAACTCAAAGCACTGCAAATGTCCACTTGCAGATCCTACAAAAAGAGAGTTTCCAAACTGCTCAATCAAAAGAAAATTTTAACTCTGTGAGATGAATGCACACAACACACAGAAGTTTCTGAGATTGCTTCTGTCTAGATTTTATGTGAAGATATTTCCTGTTCTTCCATAGGCCACAAAGCCCTCCAAATGTCCACTTGCAGGTTCGACAAAAAGAGTGGTTGCAAACTGCTTAATCAAAAGAAAGGTTCAACTCTGTGAGATTAATGCACGCATCACAAAGAAGTTTCTCAGAATTCTTCTGTCTGGTTTTTATGGGAAGATATTTCCTTTTCCACCATTGGACTCAAAGGGCTCCAAAAGTCCACTTGCAGATTTTACAAAAACAGAGTTTCAATACTCCTCAATCAAAAGAAAGTTTTAACTCTCTGGGATGAATGCACATATCACAAAGATGCTTCTCAGATTGCTTCTGTCAAGATTTTATATGAAGATATTTCCTTTTCTACCATAGGGCACAAAGCACTCCAAATGTCCAGTTGCAGATTCTACAAAAAGAGAGTTTCAAAACTGCTAAATCAAAAGAAACTTTTAATTCTGTGGGATGAATGCACACATCACAAAGAAGTTTCTCAGATTGCTTCTGTCTAGACTTTATGTGAAGATATTTCCTTTTCTACCATTGGCCGCAAAGCTCTCCAAATGTCCACTTGCAGATTCTACAAAAAGAGTGTTTCCAAACTGCTCAATCTAAGGAAAGTTTCAACTCTGTGAGATGAACGCAGACATCTCAAAGAAGTTTCTCAGAATTCTTCTGTCTAGTTTTTATATGAAGATATTAACTTTTCCACCACATGCATCAAATCGCTCCAAATGTCCACTTGCAGATTCTACAAAAAGAGAGTTTCAAATCTGCTCTATCAAAAGAAAGCTTTACCTCTTTGAGATGAATGCACACATCACAAAGAAGTTTCACAGATTGCTTCTGTCTACAATTTATGTGAAGATATTTCCTGTTGTAACATAGGCCTCAGAGCGCTCCAAATGTCCACTTGCAGATTCTACCAAAAGAGTGTTTCCAAACTGCTCATTCAAAGAAATGTTCAACTTTCTAGATGAATGCGCACATCATAAAGAACTTTCTCAGAATTCTTCTTTCTAGTTTTTATGGAAGATATTTCCTTTCGTACCGTAGACCCGAAGGCACTCAAAATGTCCACTTGCAGATTCTACAAAAAGAGTATTTCAAAACTGGTCCTTCAAAGGAATGTTCAAATCTGGGGGTTGAATGCACACATCACAAAGTAGTTTCTCAGAATGCTTCTATGTACTTTTTATGTGAAGATATTTCATTTTTCACCATAGGCCTGAACGCCCTTCAAATGTCCATTTAGAGATTATACAAAAAGGGAGTTTTAAAACTGCTCTATCAAAAGAAAGGTTTCAATCCGTTAGATGAATGCACACATCACAAAGATGTTTCTAAAAATGCTTCTATTTATTTTTTATGTGAAGATATTTCCTTTTCCACCGTAGGCCTCAAAGCGCTCCAAATGTCCACTTGCAGATTCCACAAAAAGAGAGTTTCAAGACTGCTCAATCAAAAGAAACGTTTAACTCTGTGAGATGAATGCACACATCATAAAGAAGGTTTTCAGATTACTTCTGTCTACATCTTATGTGAAGATATTTCCTTTTCCACCATAGGCTGCAAACAGCTCCAAAGGTCCACTTGCAGATTCTTCAAAAAGAGTGTTTCCAAACTGCTCCATCAAAAGAAATGTTCAACTTCGTGAGCTGAATGCACACATCCAAAGAAGTTTGTCATAATTCTTCTGTCTAGTTTGTATTTGAAGATAATTCCTTTTCCACAATAGGCCTCAAAGCCTTCAAAATGTCCACTTGCAGATTCTACAAAAAGAGAGTTTCCAAAGTGCTCAGTCAAAAGAAAGGTTTACTCTGTGAGATGAATGCACACACCACAAAGAAGTTTGTCAGATTGCTTTTATCTAGATTTTATGTGAAGATATTTTCTTTTCTACCATAGGCCACAAAGCGCTCCAAATGTCCAGTTGCAAATTCTACAAAAAGAGTCTTTCCAAACTGCTCAATCAAAAGTAAAGTTCAACCCTGTCATATGAACACACACATCACAAAGTAGTTTCTCAGAATTCTGCTGTCTACTTTTTATGTGAAGATATTTCCTTTTCCATCATAGGCCTCATGGCGCTCCAAATGTCCACTTGCAGATTTTACAAAAAGGGAGTTTCAAGACAGCTCCATCAAAAGAAAGTTTTAACTCTGTGAGATGCATGCACACATCACAAAGAAGTTTTTCAGATTGCTTCTGTCTAGATTTTATTTTAATATATATCCTTTTCTAACGTAGGCGACAAAGTGCTCCAAATGTCCACTTGCAGATTCTACAAAAAGAGTGATTCCAAACTGCTTAATCAAAAGAAAGTTTCAACTCTGTGAGATGAATGCACACATCACAAAGAAGTTTCTCAGAATTATTCTGTGTAGTTTTTATCTGAAGATGTTTCCTTTTACACCATAGGCCTCAAAGCGCTCCAAATGTACACTGGCAGATTCTACAAAAAGAGAGTTTCAAAACTGCTTAATCAAAATAAATGTTTAACTCTGTGAGATGAATGCACACATCATAAAGAAGTTTGTCAGACTGCTTTTATCTAGATTTTCTGTGAAGATATTTCCTTTTCTACCAGAGGTCGCAAAGCGCTCCAAATGACCGCTTGCAGATTCTACAAAAAGAGTGCTTCCAAACTGCTCAATCTAAAGAAAGGTTCAACTCTGTGAGATGTAAGCACACATCACAAAGAAGTTTCTCAGAATTTTTCTGTCTAGTTTCTATGTGAAAATATTTACTTTTCCACCATAGGCCTCAAAGCGCTCCAAATGTCCACTTGCAGATTTTACAATAAGAGAGTTTCAAGACAGCTCAATCAAAAGAAAGTTTTAACTCTGTGAGATGAATGCACACATCACAAAGAAGTTTCTCAGATTCATATTATCTAGATTTTATGGTAATATATTTCCTTTTCTAACATAGGCTGCAAAGCGCTCCAAATGTCCACTTGCAGATTCCACAAAAAGAGTGTTTCCAAACTGCTCAATCAAAAGAAAGGTTCAACTCTGTGAGATAAACGCATGCATCACAAAGAAGCTTCTCCGAATTCTTCTGTGTAGTTTTGATGTCAAAATATTTCCTTTTCCTCCACAGGCCTCAAAGCGCTCCAAATGTTAACTTGCAGATTCTACAAAAAGAGAGATTCAAAACTGCTCAATCAAAACAAAGGCTTAACTCTGTGAGATCAGTGCACACATCACAAAGAAGTTTCTAAGAGTGCTTCTGTCTAGTTTCTATGTGAAGATATTTCCTTTTCCACCATAAGCCTCAAAGCGCTCCAAATGTCCACTTCCACATTCAACAAAAAGAGAGTTTCAAAACTGCTCAATCAAAAGTAAGAGTTAACCCTGTGAGATGAATGCACACATCCCAAGGAAGTTTCTCACATTGCTTCTGTCTAGATTTTATGTGAGGATATTTCCTTTTCTAACTTAGGCTGCAAAGCGCTTCAAATGCCCACTTACAGAATCTACAAAAAGAGTGCTTCCATAATTCTTAATCAAAAGAAAGGTTCAACTCTGTGAGATGAACGCACACATCACAAAGAAGTTTCTCAGAATTCTTGTCTCTAGTTTTTATGTGAAGATATTTCCTTTTCCACCATAGGCCTAAAAGCACTCCAAATGTTCACTTGCAGATTCTACAAAAAAAGAGTTTCAAAACTGCTCAATCAAAAGAATGCTTTAACTCTGTGAGATGAATGCACACATCACAAAGAGGTTTCTCACATTGGTTCTGTCTAGATTTTATGTGAAGATATTTCCTTTTATAACAGAGGCAACAAAGCACTCCAATAGTCCACTTGCAGATTCTACAAAAAGAGTGTCTGCAAACTGCTCAATCAAAAGGAAGTTTTAACTCTGTGAGAAGAACGTGCACATCACAAAGAAGTTTCTCAAAATTCTTCTGTCTAGTTTTTATGTGAAGATATTTCCTTTCCCACTGTAGGCCTCAAAGCACTCAAAATGTCCACTTGCAGATTCTACAAAAAGAGAGCTTCAAAACTACTCAACCAAAAGAAAGGTTTAACTCTCTGAGATGAATGCACACATCACAAAGAAGTTTCTGAGATTGCTTCTGTCTAGATTTTATGTGAAGATATTTCCTTTTCTACCATAGGCAACAAAGCACTCCAATAGTCCACTTGCAGATTCTACAAAAAGAATGTTTCTAAACTGCTCAATCAAAAGGAAGGTTCAAATTTGTGAGATAAACTGATACATCACAAAGGAGATTCTCAGAATTCTTCTGTCAAGTTTTTATGTGAAGATATTTCCTTTTCCACCATAGGCCTCAAAATGATCCAAATGTCCACTTGCAAATTCTACAAAAACAGAGTTTCAAAACTGCTCAGTCAAAAGAAAGTTTGAACTCTGTGAGATGAATGCACACATGCCAAAGAAGTTTCTCAGATTCCTTCTGTCTAGATTTTTTTGAAGATATTACCTTTTCTACCATAGTCCTCATAGCGCTGCAAATGTCCACTTGCAGAATCTCCAAAAAGAGTGTTTCCAAACTGCTGAATCAAAATAAACTTTCAACTATTTGAGTTGAAGGCACACATCACAAAGAAGATTCTGAGAATACTTCTGTCTAGTTTTTATGTGAAGATATTTCCTTTTCCACTATATGCCCAAAAGCGCTACAAATGTCCACTAGCAGATTCTACAAAAAGAGTGTTTCAGAACTTCTCAATCAAAAGAATGGTTTAACTCTGTGAGTTGAATGTACACATCACAAAGAAGTTTCTGAGGATGCTGCTGTCTAGATTTTATGTGAAGATATTCCCGTTTCCAAGGAGGGCCTCAAGGGGTACCTAATATCCACTTGCAGATTCTACTAAAGGAGTGTTTCAAAACGACTCTATGATAAGGTATGTTCCACTCTGTGAGTTGAAGGCAAACATCAAAAAGAAGTTTCTGAGAATGCTTCTCTCTAGTTTAGATGGGAAGATATTTCCTTTTCCACTATAGGCCTCAAAGTGTTCCAAGTGTCCACTTGCAGATTCTACAAAAAGAGTGTTTCAAAACTGCTCTATCAAAAGAAAGTTTCAACTCTGTGAAGTGAATGCACACATTACAAACAAGTTTCTGAGAATGATTCTGTCTAGTTTTTAGGTGAAGATATTCCCGTTTCCAACGAAGGCCTCAAAGCAGTCCAAATATCCACTAGCATATTCTACAACAAGAGTGTTTCAAAACTGCCCCATGAAAATGAATATTCAACTCTGTGAGTAGAATGCAAACATCACAAAGAAGTTTCTGAGAATGCTTCTGTCTAGTTTCTATGTGAAGATATTTCCTTTTCCACCATAAGCCTCAAAGCGCTCCAAATGTCCACTTCCACATTCAACAAAAAGAGAGTTTCAAAACTGCTCTATCAAAAGAAAGGTTCAACTCTGTGAGTTGAATGCAAACATCACAAAGAAGTTTCTGAGAATGCTTCTGTCTAGATTTTATGTGAAGATATTTCCTTTTCTAACTTAGGCTGCAAAGCGCTTCAAATGTCCACTTACAGAATCTACAAAAAGAGTTTTTCCGTAATTCTCAATCAAAAGAAAGGTTCAACTCTGTGAGATGAACGCACACATCACAAAGAAGTTTCTCAGAACTCTTCTCTTTAGTTTTTATGTGAAGATATTTCCTTTTCCACCATAGGCCTCAAAGCACTCCAAATGTCCACTTGCAGATTCTACAAAAAAAGAGGTTCAAAACTGCTCGATCAAAAGAAAGGTTTAACTCTGTGAGATGAATACACACATCACAAAGAGGTTTCTCACATTGGTTCTGTCTAGATTTTATGTGAAGATATTTCCTTTTATAACATAGGTCGCAAAGCGCTCCTAATGCCCAATTGCAGATTCTACAAAAAGAGTGTCTGTAAACTGCTCAATCAAAAGGAAGTTTCAACTCTGTGAGAAGAACGCACACATCACAAAGAAGTTTCTCAGAATTCTTCTGTCTAGTTTTCATGTGAAGATATTTCCTTTCCCACCATAGGCCTCAAAGCGCTCCAAATGTCCACTTGCAGATTCTACAAAAAGAGTGTTTCAAACCTGCTCTATCAAAAGAAAGGTTCAACTCAGTGAGTTGAATGCAAACATCACAAAGAAGTTTCTGAAAATGGTTCTGTCTAGTTTTTATGTGAAGATACTTCCTTTTCCAACATAGGTCTCAAAGGGATCCGAATGTCCAATGCAGATTCTGCAAAAACAGTGTTTCAAACCTGCTCTATCAAAAGAAAGGTTCAACTCTGTGAGTTGGATGCATACATCACCATCACAAAGAAGTTTCTGAGAATGCTTCTGTCTAGTTTTTATGTGAAGATATTTCCTTTTCCACCATAGGCCTCAAAGCGCTCAGAATGTTCACTTGCAGATACTACAAAAAGAGTGTTTGAAACCTGTTCTATCAAAAGAAAGGTTCAACTCTGTGAGTTGAATGTACATAGCCAAAGAAGTTTCGGAGAAAACTTCTGTCTAATGTTTATGTGAAGATATTCCCGTTTCCAACGAATGCCTCAACGCATTCCAAATATCCACTTACGGATTCTACAAAAAGAGTGTTTCAAAACTGTTCCATAAAAAGAAAGTTTCAACTCTATGAGTTGAATGTACACATCACAAGAAGTTTCTGAGGATGCTGCTGTCAGTTTTTATGTGAAGATATTCCCATTTCCAACGAAGGCTTCAAAGCGATCCAAATATCCACTTGCAGATCCTACTAAAAGAGTGTTTCAAAACTACTCTATCATAAGGTATGTTCAACTCCATGAGTTGAAGGCAAACATCACAAAGAAGTTTCTGAGAATGCTTCTCTCTAGTTTTTGTGGGAAGATATTTGTTTTTCCACCATAGGCCTCAAAGCGCTCCAAATGTCCACTTGCAGATTCTATAAAAAAAGTGTTTCAAATCTGCCCTGTCAAAAGAAAGGATCAACTCTGTGAGTTGAATGCGCACAGAAAAAAGAAGTTTCAGAGAAACTTCTATCTAGTGATTATGTGAAGATATTCCCATTTCCAACGAAGGCCTCAAAGCGGTCCAAATATCCACTTGCAGATTCTACTAAAAGAGTGTTTCAAAACTGCTCTATTATAAAGTATGTTCAAGTCTCTGAGTTGAATGCAAACAGCACACAGAAGTTTCTGAGAATGCTTCTGTCTAGTTTTTATGGGAAGATATTTGTTTTTCCACCATAGCCTTCAAATCTCTCCAAATGTCCACTTGCAGATTCTGCAAAAAGAGTGTTTCAAACCTGCTCTATCAAAAGAAAAGTTTAACTCTGTGAGTTGAATGCACACATCACAAAGATGTTTCTAAGAATGCTTCTGTCTAATTTTTATGTGAAGATATTTCCTTTTCCACCACAGGCCCAAAAGTCCTCCAAATGTCCACTTGCAGATTCCACAAAAAGAGAGTTTCTAAACTGCTCTATCAAAAGAAACGTTTAACTCTGTGAGATGAATGCACACATCACAAAGAAGTATCTCAGACTGCTTCTGTCTAGATATTATGTAAAGATGTTTCCTTTTCTACCATAGGACACAAAGCACTCCAAATGTCCCCTTGCAGATTCTGGAAAAAGAGTGTTTCCTAACTGCTCAATCAAAAGAAAGTTTCAACTCTGTGAGATGAATACACACGTATCACAAAGAAGTTTCTCAGAATTCTTCTGTCTAGTTTTTATGTGAAGATATTTCCTTTTCCACTATAGGCCTCAAAGCACTTCAAATATCCACTTGCAGTTTCTACAAAAAGAGAGTTTCAAAACAGCTCATTCAAAAGAAAGGTTTAACTCTCTGAGATGAATGCAGACATAACAAAGATGTTTCTCAGACTGATTCTGCCTAGATTTTATGTGAAGGTATTTCCTTTTCTACCATAGGCCGCAAAGCTCTTCAAATGTCCAATTGCAGCTTCTAAAAAAAGGGTGTTTCCAAACTGCTCAGTCAAAAGAAATGTTCAATTCTGTGAAATGAATGCAGGCATCACAAAGAAGTTTCTCAGATAGCTGCTGTCTAGATTTTATGTGAAGAAACTTCCTTTTCTACCACAGGCAGTGAAGCCCTCCAAATGTCCACTTGAAGATTCTTCAAAAAGAGAGTTTCAAAACTGCTCAATCAAAAGAAATGTTTAACTCTGAGAGATGAACACACACATCACAAAGAAGTTTCTCAGAATGTTTTTGTCCAGTTATTATGTAAAGATATTTCGTTAACCACCATATGCCTCAAAACACTTCAAATGTCCACTTGCAGATTTTACAAAAGAGAGTTTCAAAACTGCTCTATGAAAAGAAAGATTCAACTCTGTGAGATGAATGCACACATCACAAAGAAGTTTGTCAGGTTGCTTCTGTCTAGATTTTATGTGAAGATATTTCCTTGTCTACCATAGCTCACAAAGCGTTCCAAATGTCCACTTGCAGATTCTACAAAAAGAGTGTTCCCAAACCGCTCAATCAAAAGTAAGGTTCAATTCTGTGAGATGAACGCACACATCACAAAGGAGTTTCTCAGAATTCTTCCATCTAGTTTTTATGTGAAGATATTTCCTTTTCCACCACAGGCCTCAAAGCGCTCCAAATGTCCACTTGCAGTTTGTACAAAAAGGGAGACTCAAAATTGCTCCATTAAAAGGAAGGTTTTACTCTGTGAGATGAATGCACACATCACAAAGATGTTTCTCAGATTGCTTCTGTCTAGATATTATGTAAAGATATTTCCTTTTCTACCATAGGCTGCAAAGCACTCCAAATGTCCACTTGAAGATTCTACAAAAAGAGTGTTTCCAAACTGCTCAATTAGAAGAAAGGTTCAACTCTGTGAGATGAACACACACATCACAAAGAAGTTTCTCAGAATTCTTCTGTCTGGTTTTTATGTGAAGATATTTCATTTTCCACCATAGGCCTCAAGGCACTCGAAATGTCCACTTGCAGATTCTACAAAAAGAGTATTTCAAAACTTGTCCACCAAAGAAAGTTTCAACTCAGGGACATGAATGCAAGCATCACAAAGAAGTTTCTGAGAATACTTCTATCTCATTTTTTTTTTGTGAAGATATTTCCTTTTCCAACATAGGCGTCAAATTCCTCCAAATGTCCACTTGCAGATTCTACAAGAAGAGAGTTTCAAAATTCCTCAATCAGTAGAAAGGTTTAACTCTGTGAGATGAATGCACACATCACAAAGAAGTTTCTCAGATTTCTTCTGTCTAGATTTTATGTGAAGTTATTTCCTTTTCTACCATAGGCCACGAAGCGCTCCATATGTCCACTTGCAGATTGTACAAAAAGCTTGTTTTGCAAACTGCTCAATCAAAAGAAAGGTTCAACTCTGTGAGATGAAAGCACGCATCACAAGGAGTTTCTCAGAAATCTTCTGTCTAGTTTTTATGTGAAGATATTTCATTTTCCACCATAGGCCTCAAAGCGCTGCAAATGTCCACTTACAGATTCTACAAAAAGAGAGTTTCAAAACTGCTCAATCAAAAGAAAGGGTTAAACATGTGAGATGAACGCAAACATCAGAAAGAAGTTTCTCAGATTGCTTCTGTCTAGATTTTATGTGAAGATATTTCCTTTTCCACCATAGGCCTCAAAGCGCTCCAATGTCCACTTGCAGATTCTCCAAAAAGAGTGTTTCTAAACTGCTCAATCAAAAGAAAGGTTCAACCCTGTGAAATAAATGGACACATCACAAAGAAGTTTCTCAGAATTCTTCTGTCTGGTTTTTATGTGAAGATATTTCCTTTTCCACCACAGGCCTCAAAGGGCTCCAAATGTCCACTTGCAGATTCTACAAAAGAGAGTCTCAAAAATGCTCAATCAAAAGAAAGTTTTAACACTGTGAGATGAATGCACACATCACAAGAAGTTTCTCAGATTGCTTTTGTCTAGATTTTATGTGAAGATATTTCCTTTTCTGCCATAGGCCGCAAAGCGCTCCAAATGTCCAGTTGCAGATTCTACAAAAATCATGTTTCCAAACTGCTCAATCAAAAGAAAGTTTCAACTCTGTGAGATGAACCCACGTATCACAAAGACGTTTCTCAGAATTTTTCTGTCTAGTTTTTATATGAAGATATTTCATTTTCCACCATAGGTCTCAAGGCACTCGAAATCTCCACTTGCAGATTCTACAAAAAGCGTATGTCAAAACTGATCCATGAATAGAAATGTTCAACTCTGGGAGATAAACGTACACATCACAAAGAAGTTTCTCAGATTGCTTCTGTCTAGATTTTATGTGAAGACATTTCATTTTCTACCAAAGGCCACAAAGTGCTCCAAATGTCCACTTGCAGATTCTACAAAAAGGGTGTTTCCAACCTGGTCAACCAAAAGAAAAGTTCAATTCTCTGAGATGAACGCACGCATCACAAAAAAGTTTCTCAGAATTTTTCTGTCTCGTTTTTATGTGAAGATATTTCCTTTTCCACCATAGGCTGTAAAGCGCTCAAAATATCCACTTGCAGATTCTACAAAAATAGAGTTTCCAAACCGCCCCATCAAAAGAAATCTCTCACTCTGTGAGTTGAATGCACACATCAAAAAGACGTTTCTCAGATTTCTTCTATTAGATTTTATGTGAAGATATTTACTTTTCTACCATAGGCCACAACGCGCTCCAAATGTCAACTTGCAGATTCTACAAAAAGTGTGTTTCCAAACTGCTCTATCAAAATAAAGGTTCAACTCTGCGAGATGAACGCACACATCACAAAGGAGTTTCTCAGAATTCTTCTGTCTAGTTTTTATATGCAGATATTTTCTTTTCCACCATAGGCCTCAAGTGCTCTAGATGTCCACATGCAGATTCTTCAAAAAGAGAGTTTCAAAACGACTCAATCAAAAGAAAGCTTTACCTCTATGAGATGAATGTAAACATCACAAAGTAGTTTCTCAGATTGCTTCTGTCTACATTTTATGTGAAGATATTTTCTTTTCTACCATCGGCCACAAACCGCTCCAAATGTCCACTTGCAGATTCTACTAAAAGAGAGTTTCCAAACTGCTTAATCAAAACAAAGTTCAACTCTGTGAGATGAACGCACACATCACAAAGAAGTTTCTCAGAATTCTTCTGTCTGGTTTTTATATGAAGATATTTCCTTTTCCTCCATAGACTTCAAAGCATTCCAAATGTCCACTTGCAGATTATACAAAACGAGAGTTTCAAAACTGCTCAGTCAAAAGAAAGGTTTAACTCTGTGAGATGAATGCACACATCACAAAATAGTTTCTCAGATTGCTTCTGTCCAGATTTCATATGAAGTTATTTCCTTTCCTACCATAATCTGCAAAGCGTTCCAAATGTCCCCTTGTGGATGATACAAAAAGAGTGTTTCCAAACTGCTCAATCAAAAGAAAGGTTTAACTCTGTGAGATGAACGCACACATCTCGAAGAAGTTTGTCAGAATTCTTCTGTCTAGTCTTAATGTGAAGATATTTCCTTTTCCACCATACGCCTCAAAGCGCTCCAAATGTCCACTTGCAGATTCTACAAAAAGAGAGTTTCAAAACTGCTCAATTGAAAGAATGGTTTAACTCAGTGAGATGCATGCACACATCACAAAGAAGTTTCTCAGATTTCTTCTGTCTAGATTTTATGTGAAGATATTTCCTTTTCTAAAATAGGCCGCAAAGCACTCCAAATGTCCACTTGCAGATTCTACAAAAAGAGTGATTCCAAACTGCTCAATCAAAAGAAAGGCTCAATTCTGTGAGATGAATGCACACATCACAAAGAAGTTTGTCTGAATTCTTCTGTCTAGTTTTTACGTGAAGATATTTCCTTTTCCACCGTAGGCCACAAAGTGATCCAAATGTCCACTTGCACATTCTACAAAAAGAGAGTTTCAAAACTGCTCTATCAAAAGAAAGATTCCACTCTGTGAGATGAACGCAAACATCACAAAGAAGTCTGTCAGAATTCTTCTGTCTAGTTTTTATGTGAAGATATTTCCTTTTCTAGCATAGCCCACAAAGCTCTCCAAATATAAACTTGCAGTTTCTACAAAAATTGTGTTTCCAAACTGCTCAATCATAAATAAGGTTTAACTCTGTGAGATGAACGCACACATCACAAAGAAGTTTCTCAAAATTCTTCTATCTAGTTTTAATGTGAAGATATTTCCTTTTCCAGCATAGGTTGCAAAGCACTCCAAATGTCCACTTAGAGATTCTATAAAAAGAGAGTGTTTCTGTCTACTTCTTATGTGAAGATATTTCCTTTTGCACCATAGGCCTCAAAGTGATCCAAATGTCCACTTGCAGATCCTTCAAAAAGATTTTCCAAACTAGTCAATCAAAAGAAAGTTTCAACTCTGTGAGATGAATGCACATATAACAAAGACATTTCTAAGAATCCTTCTGTCTAGTTTTTATGTAAAGATATATACTTTTATACCATAGGTATCAACGCACTCCAAATGTCCACTTGTAGATAGTACAAAAAGGATGTTTCAAATCTGCTCAATCAACAGTAAGGTTCAACTCTGTCAGATGAATGCACACATCACAAAGTATTTTCTCAGAATGATTCTTTGCAGTTCTTAAGTGAAGATATTTCCTTTTCCACCAGAGGCCTCAGAGCCCTCCAAATGTCCACTTGCAGATAGTGCAAAAAGAGTGTTTCCAAACTGTTCAATCAAAAGAAAGGTTCAAATCTTTGAGATGAATATACACATCATGAAGAAGTTTCTCAGAATGTTTCTGTCCGTGTTTTATGAGAAGATATTTCCTTTTCCACCATAGGCCTCAAAGCGCACCAAGTGTCCACTTGTAGATTCTACAAAAAGAGTGTTTCAAAACTGCTCATTGAAAATAAATGTTCAACTCTGTGAGATGAATGCACACATCACAAAGAGGTTTCTCAGAATGTTCTGTCTAGTTCTTAAGTGAAGATATTTCCTTTTCCACTATAGGCCTCAAAGTGCTCCAAATGTCCACTTGCAGATTGTACAAAAACAGTGTTTCAAAACTGCTCAATGGAAAGAAAGGTTCAATTCTGTGAGATGAATGCAAACGACACAAAGAAGTTTGTCAACATGCTTCTGTCTAGTTTTTATGTGAAGATATTTCCTTTACCACCATATGCCACAAAGTGCTCCAAAGGTCCCTTTGCAGATTCTACAAAGAGAGTGTTTCAAACTGCTCAATCAAAAGAAAGTTCAACTCTGTGAGATGCATGCACACATCCCAAAGAAATTTCCCAGAATACTTCTGTGTAGTTTTTCTGTGAAGATATTTCCTTTTCCACCGTAGGCCTCAAAGAATTCCAAATGTTCACTTGCAGATTCTACCAAAAGAGTGTTTCAAAATAGATTAATGAAAAGAAATGTTCAACTCTGTGACATGAAAGCACACATTCCAAAGAAGTTTGTGACAATGCTTCTGTCAAGTTTTTATGTGAAGATATTTCTTTTTCTGCCACAGGCCTCAAAGCGCTCCTAATGTCCACTTGCAGATTCTACAAAAGAGTGTTTCAAAGCTGCTCAATCAAAAGAAAGTTTCAACTCTGTAAGATGAATGCACACATCACAAAGAAGTTTCTGAGAATGCTGCTGTCTTGTTGTTATGTGAAGATATTTCCTTTTCCACAATTGGCTGCAAAGCTCTCCAAATGTCCACTTGCAGATTCTACAAAAAGAGTGTTCCAAAACTGCTCAATCAAAAGGAAGGTTCAACTCTGTGAGATGAATGCACACATCACAAAGAAGAAGTTTCTCAGAATGTTCTGTCTAGTTCTTAAGTGAAGATATTTCCTTTTCCACCATAGGCCTCAAAGCGCTCCAAATGTCCACTTGCAGATTGCACAAAAACAGTGTTTCAAAACTGCTCAATGGAAAGAAACGTTCAATTCTGTGAGATGAATGCAAACAACACAAATAAGTTTGTCAGCATGCTTCTGTATAGTTTTTATGTGAAGATATTTCCTTTTCTACCATAGGCCTCAAGGCGCTCCAAAGGTCCACATTCAGATCCTACAAAAATAATGTTTCAAAGGTGCTAAATCAAAAGAAATGTTCAACTCTGTCAGATGACTGCACACATCACAAAGAAGTTTCTCAGAATGCTTCTGTCTAGTTCTTATGTGAAGATATTTTCTTTTCCACTTAAGGCCTAAAAGTGCTCCAAATATCAAGTTGCACATTCTACAAAAAGTGGGCTTCAAAACTTCTCAATCAAAAGTAAGTTTCAATTCCTTGAGATGAATGCACACATCACAAAGAAGTTTGTCAGAATTCTTCTGTCTAGTATTTAAGTGAAGATACTTCCTTTTCCACCATATGCCACGAAGCGCTCCAAATATCCACTTGCAGATTCTACAAAAAGAGTGTTTCAAAACTGCTCAATCAAAAGAAATTTCAACTCTGTGAGATGAATGCCCACATCACAAAGAAATTTCTCAGAATATTTCTGTCTAGCTTCTCTATGAAGATATTTCCTTTTCCACCATAGGCCTTGAAGTGTTCCAAATGTCCACTTGCAGATTCTACAAAAAGAGTGTTTCAAAGCTGCTCAATCAAAAGAAATGTTCAACTCTGTGAGATTCATGCATTCATCACAAACAACTTTCTCAGAATGCTTCTGTCTAGTTATTATGTGAAGATATTTCATTTTTCACCTTAGGCCTCAAATCACTCCAAATGTCTGCTTGCAGATTCTACAGAAAGAGTGTTTCAAAACTGCTCAATGAAAAAAAGGTTCAACTCTCTCTGATGAATACATACATCACAAAGAATTTTCTCAGGATGATTATATCTAGTTTTTATGGAAAGATATTTCCTTTTCCACCATAGGCCACAAAGCTCTCCAAATGTCCACTTGCAGATTCTACAAAAAGAGTGATTCAAACCTGCTCAATACAAAGAAATGTTCAACTCTGTGAGATGAATGCACACATCACAAAGAAGTTGCTCAGAAAGCTTCTGTCTAGTTTTTATGTGAAGATATTTCCTTTTCACCACAGGCCTCAAAGCACTCCAAATGTCCACTTGCAGATCAACAAGAAGAGAGTTTCCAAACTACTCAATCAAAGGAAAGGTTCAGCTCTGTGAGATGAATGCACACATCACAAAGAAAGTTGTCAGAATGTTTCTGTCTAGTTTTTATGTGAAGATATTTCCTTTTCCACCATAGGCCTCAAAGCACTCCAAATGTCCACTTGCAGATAGTACAAAAAGGGTGTTTCAAAAATTCTCAATCAAAAATAAGGTGCAACTCCGTGATATGAATGCACATATCACAAAGTAGTTTGACAGAATGCTTCTGTCTTTTTTGTGTGTGAAGATATTTCCTTTTCAACCATAGACCTCAAAGAGCTCCAAATGTTCACTTGCAGAATCTACAAAAAGAGTGTTTCCAAACTTCTGAATCAAAAGAAAGGTTCAACTCTGTGAGATGAATGCACAGATCACAAACAAGTTTCTCAGAATGCTTCTGTCTAGTTTTTATGTAAAGATATTTCCTTTTCCACCATAGGCCTCAAAGCTCTCCAAATATCCACTTGCCGATTCTACAAAAAGAGTGTTTCAAAACTGCTCAATTAAAAGGAAGGTTCAATTCTGTGACATGAATACATCAATCGCAAAGAAATTTGTCAGAATGTTTCTGTATAGTTTTTATGTGAAGATATTTCCTTTTCCACCATAGGTCTCACAGCGCTCCAAATATCCACTTGCAGATTCTAGAAAAGAGTGTTTCAAAGCAGCTTAATCAAAAGAAATGTTCAACTCTATGAGATGAATGCACACATCACAAAGTAGTTTCACAGAATGCTTCTGTCTAGTTATTAAGTGAAGATATTTCATTATTGACCATCACCCTCAAAGTACTCCAAATATCCACTTACAGATTCTACAAAAAGAGTGTTTCAAAGCTGCTTAATCAAAAGAAATGTTCAACTATGTGAGATGAATGCACACATCAGAAAGAATTTTCTAAGAAAGATTCTGTCTAGTTTTTATGGGAAGTTACTTCCTTTTCCACCATAGGCTTCAAAGCCCTCCAAATGTCCATTGCAGATTCTACAAAAACAGTGTTTCAAAACTGTTCAATCAAAAGAAATGTTCAACTCTGTGAGATGAATGCACACATCACAAAGAAGTTTCACAGAATGCTTCTGTCTAGTTTTTATGTGAAGTTATTTCCTTTTCCACCGTAGGACACAAAGAGCTCAAAATGTTCACTTGCACAGTCTAAAAAAGAGTTTTTCAAAGCTGCTCAATCAAAGGTATGGTTCAACTCTGTAAGATAAATGCACACAACACAAAGAAGTTTCTCAGAATGCTTCCGCCTAGTTGTTAAGTGAAGATATTTCCTTCTCCACCATATGCCTCAAAGTGCACCAAATGTCCACTTGCAGATTCTACAAAAAGAGTGTTTCAAAACTGCTCAGTCAAAAGAAAGGTTCAACTCTGTGAGTTGTATGCACACAACACAAAGAAGCTTGTGAGAATGTTTCTGTATAGTTTTTATGTAAAGATAATTCCTTTTCCACCATAGGCCTCAAATCGCTCCAAATGTCCACTTGCAGATTCTACAAAAAGAGTGTTTCAAAGCTGCTCAATCTAAGGAGAGGTTCAACTGTGTGTGATGAATGCACACATCACAAAGAAGTTTCTCAGAATGCTTTTGTCTAGTTATAATGAGAAGATATTTTTTTCCACCATAGTCCTCAAAGACCTCCAAATGTCCACTTGCTGCTCCTATAAAAAGAGGGTTTCAAAACTGCTCAATTGAAAGTTATGTTCAACTCTGTGAGATGAATACATACATCATGAAGAAATTTCTCAGAATTCTTCTGTCTAGTTTTTATGTGAAGATATTTCGTTTTCCACCACAGGCTGCAAAGCACTCCAAATGTCCAATTGCAGATTCTACAAAACGATTGTTTCAAAACTGTTCAATCAAAAGAAAGTTACAACTCTGTGAGATGAATTCACACATCACAAAGGAGTTTGTCAGAATGCTTCTGTCTAGTTTTTATGTGAGGACATTTCCTTTTCCACCATAGGCTGCAAAGAGCTCCAAATGTCCACTTGCAGAGTCTACAAAAAGAGTTTTTCAAAGCTGCTCAAAAAAAAGAATGATTCAACTCTGTGAAATGAATGCACCCATCACAAAGAAGTTTCTCAGAATTATTCTGTCTAGTACTTAAGTGAAGATAGTTTGTTTTCCCCCATAGGCCTCAAAGCACTCCAATTGTCCACTAGCAGATTCTACAAAAAGAGAGTTTCCAAGTTGCTCAATCAAAAGAAAGATTCAACTCTGTCAGACGAATGGACACATCACAAAGAAGTTTCTCAGAATGTTTCTGAACAGTTTTTATGTGAAGAAATTTCCATTTCCACCATAGTCCGCAAAGCGCTCCAAATGTCCACTTGGAGATTCTACAAAAAGAGTGTGTCAAAACTGCTCATTCAAAAGAAAGTTTCAACTCTGTGAGATGAATGCACATATCACAAAGAACTTTCTCAGAATGCTTCTGTCTAATTATAATATGAAAATATTTTGTTTTCCGCCTTAGGCCTCAAAGCTCTCCAAATGTCCACTTGCAGACCCTTTTCCACCATAGGCCTCAAAGCGCTTCAAATATCCACTTGCAGATTCTGCAAAAAGAATATTTGAAAGCAGCTAAATCAAAAGAAATGTTCAACACTGTGAGATGAATGCACACATCACAAAGGAGCTTCTCAAAATGCCTCTGTCTAGTTTTTATGTGAAGATATTTCCTTTTCCACCATAGGCTGCCAAGCGTTAAAAATATCCACTTGCAGATTCTACAAAAAGAGTGTTTCCAAACTGCTCAATCGAAAGTATGTTTGAACTCTGTGAGATGAATGCACACATCACAAAGAAGTTCGTCGGAATGATTCCGTCTAGTTTTTATGTGAAGATATTTCCTTTTCCACCTTAGGCCACAAAGCGCACTAAATATCCACTTGCAGATTCTACAAAAAGAGTGTTTCAAAACTGCTTAATGAAAAGAAAGGTTCAACTCTGTGAGATGAATGCACACATCACAAAGAAGTTTCAGAGAATGTTTCTGTGTAGTTTTTATGTGAAGATATTTCCTTTTCCACCATAGGCCCCAAAGAGCTCCAAATGTCCACTTGCAGATTCTACAAAAAGAGTGTTTCAAAACTGCTGAATCAAAGATAAGGTTCAACTCTGTGAGATGAATGCACATATCACACAGAAGTTTCTCAGAATGCTTCTGTCTACTTTTTATGTGAAAATATTTCCTTTTCCACCAGAAGACTCAAAGCGCTCAAAATAACCACTTGCAGATTATACATAAGGAGTGTTTCAAAACTGCTCAATGAAAAGAAAGGTTCAACTCTGTGAGATGAATGCACACACCCCAAAGAAGTTTCTCAGAATGCTTCTGTCTAGTTTTTATGTGAAGGTATTTCCTTTCCCACCATAAGCCTCAAAGAGCTTCAAATATCCACTTGCAGATTCTGCAAAAAGAGTATTTGAAAGCAGCTAAATCAAAAGAAATGTTCAGCACTGTGAGATGAATGCACACATCACAAAGGAGCTTCTCAAAATGCCTCTGTCTAGTTTTTATGTGAAGATATTTCCTTTTCCACCATAGGCTGCCAAGCGTTAAAAATATCCACTTGCAGATTCTACAAAAAGAGTGTTTCAAAACTTCTCAATCAAAAGAAAGGTTCAACTCTGTGAGATGAATGCACACATCCCAAAGAAGTTTCTCAGAATGCTTCTGTGTAGTTTTTAGGTGAAGATATTTCCCTTTCCACCATAGGCCCCAAAGCGCTCCAAATATCCACTTGCAGATACTACAAAAAGTGTTTTTCAAAACTGCTGAATCCAAAGAAATGTTCAACTTTGTGAGATGAATGCATACATCAGAAAGAAGTTACTCAGACTGCTTCTGTGTTGTTTTTAGGTGAAGATATTTCCGTTTCCACCATAGGTCTTGAAGCGCTCCAAATATCCACTTTCTCATTCCACAAAAAGTGTGCTTCAAATCTGCTCAATCAAAAGAAAGTTTCAATTCTGTGAGATGAATGCACACATCACAAAGTAGTTTCTCAGAATGCTTCTGTCCAGTTTTTATGTGAAGATATTTCCTTCTCCACCATAGGCCTTAAGGCGCTCCAAATATCCACTTGCAGATTTTACAAAAAGAGTGTTTCAAACTGCTCAATCAAAAGAAAGGTTCAACTCTGCGTGTTGAATGCACAAATCACAAAGAAGTTTCTCAGAATGCTTCTGTCTAGTTTTTGTGTGAAGATATTTCCTTCACCATAGACCTTAAAGCGCTCCAATTATCCACTTGCAGATTGTACAAAAAGAGTGTTTCAGACTGCTCAATCAAAAGAAAGGTTCAACTCTGTGAGCTGAATGCACAAATCACAAAGAAGTTTCTCAGAATACTTCCGTCCAGTTTTTATGTGAAGATGTTTCCTTTTACCACCATTGGCCACAAAGCACTCCAAATATCCACTTGCAAATTCTACAAAAAGAGTGTTTCAAAACTGCTCAATCAAAAGAAAGGTTCATCTCTGAGACATGAATGCACACATCACAAGGGAGTTTCTCAGAAGGCTTCTGTCTAGTTTTTATGTGAAGATATCTCCGTTTCCACTATAGGCCGCAAAATGCTCCAAATATCCACTTGCAGATTCTACAAAAAGAGATTTTCCAAACTCCTCAATCAAAAGAAAGTTTAAACTCTGTGAGTTGAATGCACACATCACAAAGAAGTTTCTCAGAATGCTTCTGTCTAGTTTTTAATTGAAGATACTTCCTTTTCCACCATTGGGCTCAAAGCACTCCAAGTATCCACTTGCAGATTCTACAAAAAGAGTGTTTCAAAACTGCTCAATCAAAACAAAGTTTCAACTCTGTGAGATGAATGCACACATCACAAAGAAGTTTCTCAGAGTGCTTCTGTCTAGTATTTATGTGAAGATATTTCCTTTTCTACAATAGGCCTCAAACCGCTCCAAATATCCACTTGCAAATACTACAAAAAGATTGTTTCAAAACTGCTCAATCAAAAGAAATCTTCAACTATGTGAGTTGAATGCACACATCACAAAGAACTTTCTCAGAATGCTTCTGTGTAGTTTTTATTTGAAGATATTTCCTTTTCCACCACAGGCCCCAAACCGATCCAAATATCCACATGCAGATCCTTCAAAAGAAGTGTTTCAAAACTGTTCGATCAAAAGAAAGGTTCAATTCTGTGAGATGAATGCACACATCACAAAGAAGTTTCTCAGAAGGCATTTGTGTAGTTTTTATGTGAAGATGTTTCCTTTTCCTCCATAGGCCTCAAATCGCTCCCAGTGTCCACTTGCAGATTCTACAAAAAGAGTGTTTCAAAGCTGCTCAATCAAAAGAAATGTTCAGCTCTGTGAGATGAATGCACACATCACAAAGAAGTTTCTCAGAATGCTTCTGTCTAGTTTTTAAGGGAAGATATTTCCCTTTCCTCTAGAATTCCCAAAGCCCTCCAACTTTGCAGATACTACAAAAAGAGTGTTTCAAAACTGCTCAATCAAAAGAATATTTCAACTCTGTGAGTTGAATGCACACATCACAAAGAAGTTTCTCAGAATGCTTCTGTCTAGTTTTTATGTGAAGATATTTCCTTTTCCACCATAGGCCCCAAAGCACTCAAAATATCCACTTGCAGATCCTACAAAAAGAGTGTTTCAAAACTGCTCCATCAAGAGAAACATTCAACTCTGTGAGATGAATGCATAGATGACAGAGGAGTTTCTCAGAATGCTTCTGTCTGGTTTTGATGTGAAGATATTTACTTTTCCACCATAGGCTGTAAATCGCTCCAAATATCCACTTGCAGACACTACAAAAAGAGTATTTCAAAAGTGCTAAATCAAAAGAAAAGTTCAACTCTGTGAGGTGAATGCACACATCACAAAGAAGTTTCTCAGAATGCTTCTTTCTTGTCTTTATGTGAAGATATTTCCTTTTCCATTCAGAACCTCGTAGCAGTGTTCTGTAATCCTGTGTGAGGGACAAACACTCAGAATCCAGCCACTGTGTACTGGAGTCCTATCTGAGGGCACACATTTAAAATCCAGATGTAGTCTCCTTGCTTTAGTGAATACACTTATCTCCTTTTCCTGCTATACATTTAGGCAAATTATTTTTCTGTATCTTAAATAAATGGTAAATACCTGAAATTTCTTACTTTTTCCAGGCAGAGTGTCTTCACTATTTAGCTGTAGAAGTATAACTATTTTTGTCTGTGTCACAATTTTGTACTCAGGAACCCTGGCCATGTCACTAGCCAAACGGACATAACTTATGGAATACATGGACAGCATCCGGTTGATATGCTCTAGAGAAAAATAGCAGCTACCATAGACTTCAGGAAAGACACATCGAGCCAATGACAAAAATGTGGGTTTCCTACCTTCAGGGAGTCTAAGAATGCAGTAGAAAGTGATGTGGAGCAAACATCTTTCAAATGGAAGGAAGGGATAGGGAAAGGAAGACTGTTAGAGGCTCTTTTGAATGTTAGAGGCAACATAAAACATATTTGGATGTGTATTCTAAATAAAATGCAAATGTCAAGAAGGATGTCAGCTGTGAGTGGGACTCAGAGAAAGAGAAACGTTTTGGACTACAGAGGCCTGCAGTACAAGTGGATCTACAATTTTGTTTAGGGAATCCAATGCCTCAGGTATCTATGTGAGGCAGAATTTTCCTATGGAGCCAGCGGCAAGGCTCCAGAGGAGAAATACAGTACAAGCCACTTTATTTTGGAGTAAAAGCCTGTTGTACAAAAATTACCCGCCTCCTCCTTTTTTGAGAAACAATTTCACATTGGGATACTAATAAGAAGGAATGCTCAATCATGAATAAGGGTGACCCCGTTGTGATCTGAGCATTATAGGATCATAGTAACTACAACCAGTCTTCCATCATTCCATGGAAATTGCATGTATGCCACGTTGCCTTCTCAGTTTCCAAGGGACCAATTAATGAACAGGCTACTCACATTTTCAGCATCCTACTCCTGACACACTCCCACCCTTCTTTCTATTTATCTGTGATTCATAGAGATTTGCCTATGACTGGATTCCTGAGGAGAAAAAAGTCTGGATTACAGATGGCATTCCTTGTTATGGAAGGCCCTTCCTTCTGAAAGTCTATTTCTATCATGTTCTTTCCCTGTGCTGTCAAAGGGTCACCCCTTTGTACAAAGGAGAAGAGAAATCCATCAAGTAAATAAAATTTCATTTACCTTTGTAAAAAATATTTCTACCAATTCACATGGAGGACCTTATTGTTTGGTCCAATAATCAGAGATTTGAAAGAACCTGATATTGTTGGCCAGCAGATTAGAAAAGAGTTATTAGAGAGAGATGGCTCAAGTGATAATAACTGTATGCCTTGTGAATGCTCACCTAAACCAAAGATCACTGAAGATAATGTATTTTACCATAATGTTTTAATCTCAGGTAAATGCCAATCAGGAGACAAACACTTCTTTATCTCCTGATTGGTATTGATCTGAATTAAGCTGTCTGCCATTTGGAGAAATTTAAATGCTATTTTAAACACACAGTCTTGTTACTTGAGTTATTTATGATCTTAAGCGGCTCCCCTCCTTTTGTGGGTTAGATTGTGTCTTCAAAAAGAAAATATATATATTAGAGTTCTAGCCCCTGATGTCTGTGAGTATGACTTAATTTGAAATCAAATTATTTGCAGATGCTGTATAATTATGATATGCTAGATGAGCTCATAATGCATTAGAGTGGGCCATAATTCAATATGGTTGATATCCTCATAAGAAGGGAAGAGGAAACAGAGACGCAGGGAGGAGATGGCCATGTGAGGATGGAGGTAGAGAATAAAGTGAGGTATCCTCCAGCCAAGCAATGACAATGAAGCTCAGTGATCACCCGGTGCTAGAAGAAGCAAGAAAGGATTTTTTCCCAGGTCCTTCCGAGAAAAATGCAGCACTGCTCACTCCTTCATTTAAGATTTCTAGCTTCCTGAACCATAAAAGAATAACTTTATCTCATTTTAAGCGACCTAATGTGAACCACTTTGTCACAGCAGATATAGGAAATTACGCCTCCTTAAAGAATGCAGAATCCTGGCCCGTGCTTGCCTCATACCTATTGAATGAGAATCTAAGGGCTCTAGACTCTGCATTTTGAAACTAATACATAATACGCAAAGAGAACTCACTAAGTACTCTACATGCACATCATCCTCACAAGCCATGAAGTAGTTTACTATTATAATTCTCATTTTACATATGGGAAACTGGAGCATTAAAAGATTGAGTAATTTGCCTACAGTCACTCACATAACCAGAAAGTGGAAGAGCTGGGATTCAATCCCAGTTCCAGACATCCTGATATCCTGGGTTCAGACACCACACACTTAGCAACTATTACACACTTAGCATTATTATTATTATTATTATTTTAATCACCATCTCCACCTTCTTAAGCACTCAAAAGTTGAAATCCAGTGGTGTGTTGCTGTTTCCATTCATAGCAAGTTATAGCCAAAATCATAAATTACACTTCCTCCAAAACAGTATACTGACTTCTCATCTCTTTTTAAAATCCCTTCCGTCCTTCTTTTCTTTCTTCTCTTCTCTTTTCTTTTCTCTTTTCTTTCTCTTGCTCTGTCACCCAGGCTGGAGTGCAGTGGCATCATCTCGGCTCACTGTGACCTCCACCTCCCGGGTTCAAGCGATTCTCCTGTCTCAGCCTCCCAAGTAGCTAGGATTACAGGCGCCCAACACCATGCCCATTTAATTTTTGTATTTTTAGTAGAGATGGGGTTTCTTCATGTTGGTCAGGCTGGTCTCAAACTCCCAACCTCAGGTGATCCGCCCGCCTCGGCCTCCCAAAGTGCTGGCATTACAGGCATGAGCCACAATGCCCAGCCCGTGCTTTCTTTTTAATAACTCCTTGCTGTCTAGTTTTTTCATGTCCACTGTGTAAGTACTAGTCTTAATGGGTATTTCTTTTCTTACTATTCTGCACCAATGTTTCCCTGATTGACAATAGTTTTCCTGAAATGTATTCTTGGAATGGATTTCTATGATACGCTTAGAAAATTCTGCATACCTTATACTTCAGAATGTGTATGTAAAAGACTCCAGTAAATGATCCAGGGAAGAAAAATATTTGTGTGTTTTGCGAGTTGTATTCATATGTGTATAAAATTCCCACAGCACTTTGGGTAACAATGCTCTGCACACTTTTCCTGTGCTCCTTTTATCCATTCCCACACTTCCAGCATTTCCTTTGACGTTTGATTTTCTTTATTTTTTTTTACTCCAATATTTTCCTGTAGGTTTCAAACCTATATTTTAAAATGTCAACTGATTCTCCCCCCCGTCTTCACCACCTGCATCTCAAATTTGACATAGCCATAAACACATTTTATATTTTGGCAAATAAATCTATTTCTTTTAAAGCATTGCCCGTCTCAGCTAATGATGATAATATCAAGCCAGTCGCCAAGAAAATTTAGAGTATATATACCTTGACTCTTCCTTCTAAATGAATTATTAAGTTCAGCTATTTCTACCTTGAATTACCTTTCTATTCTGCCATTTCTCTTCTGTGTTGCTGCTGATGTTTTAATGTAGTCATTCATCACATCATGCCTGTACTGCTGGAATAATCTTGACTATTCTTTCTGACTTTTTCTTCTAACTGCATCTCAAAAATTTCTATCTAGAATGAAAATAAGTATGTATATATACTATATATACATATATACATACACATTATATGTATGTATACAGTATAAGTATAGACATGCTATATACTATATATATATGCTATATATTTATATACACACACACCCACTATGCTTTCAAAAATTGTTTACTTATGTCCCATCATTGAAGGGTAAAATACAAAATCACTGATATTGAGAGACATTCTCCTCAATCATTTAACATTTTCCTTCACAAAACTGTGCTGTAGCCACACCCAGAACAGGTTATGTTCCTTCAAAGGCACACACACTTTTCTATTACTCTCCTTTTACTCCTTCTATTCCATCTGCTTAGACCATTTTTTACTTGTTTTCTGTCTATCTTCATTCATTTTTCAGGATCCAATTAAAATATTCACACAAAGGCTGAGATCTTTATATCTTCTCTTATTTAAATTCCTGGAGCACCAGATAACTTCCTCTATTATAACTCTTACTGTATACAACCATAACTCTCATTTGAAAACAATGAATACATAATTATAAAATCAGATATATCATAAAATGATTGGTATCAATATGTGAAAAAAAAATCTTCAATGTTGAAAGTACAAGATTACAAGCCATCTGAAAGTAACTAAACATCAATCAGAGAAAAATGCTCATCATTTTTTGATGAAACCAAAAGTAAGAGAATTTGGTATTAATCTACTACATCATTGGTAAATTACATATTAATTATTGTGAGAAAGAAATAATTGATGGAATTTAAAGAAAATCAGTTTTCCTTTATTTTTATTTTTCTACCTAAAAGTATTATATCTAATTAAAATAATGATTTTACAATTATCCCATCAAGTATGTCATCACACTAAAATCCATTGTATTTAATTTCTCGACTGAGAAATTGTATTCAATTGTATTCAATTTCTCTACTGAAAAATTAATATGAAAGCAATCACATAACATTCAGAAATTAATAAATATTTAAAGAAATTAAACAGCATTAGATTTTCTTGTTGTAAAATTTTTTTCTTCTCTCAGTATGGCTTATGTCTCATTGCTTCTATTGAACATAGCACAATTCAAGTATTAATACAGCGCCTTTATAAAAGTTGTGAATCTCAGAAATGAACAAGCTTACCTCCCTAGTTATTTATTAAAAGTTACAAGTCACTTTTTTTTTAACTTCCTAATAATCTTAGAGGGGTATATTTTGTGTTTTTTTTGCTATATCTTTTATAAAGAATATCTCTAATAATTTGAAAGTTAGAACCAATTTTCTGAAGGATTGAGCCTCGCTCCTTGAACTTGTGTGTTTGTGGGTGGCACACTATGTCTTTTGCAGACCCAGTACCTACCCCTTGGTCTAGAACATATTTTCCTCCACCTGCCTTTTAAGTTTTTATTTCAGCAGGGGTGGGTGGTTTGTGGTTGAACGAAAATAGAACGGGCTACAAAAGCCCTTCCTGTTTGATATTGAATCTGCTATTTGAGTCACCCTTACATTATGAACTGACTGTTAATTAACACATTTGATAAGAGAATATCCTGATCTGCTTTGCATGTGAGGCTCTCCCAGTAATAAACAAAGAAGCATAATCAAACAATATTTTAATTTCTCTATGCCCTGTTAGAAATTCAGATACAATTCAAGTCATCTTGGAAATTTTAAGTTGCATTCCGATGTCGTCTCTGTTCTGGCCATTGTGCAATGGGCCTTCAAATGTTGTAGTAGAGGCCAACTGACATTCCATTGTTATTCATTTATACACAGTTATATATATGGTGTGTGTATGCAAATATATATATGAATATTCATATATGTGTACATGTGTACATACACACATATGGAGGTAATACAAGTTTGCATTGTTTTTAAAAATTTTTTAACCAAATTAACAATGACTCTATTGCATATCTTTATTGGTTATATCACATTTATATAAATAAATTTATATCAGTGAGAATTTTCAAGTAAGTGAAATTTGAATTGGATTCAGGGTTTTATTTTTTTGAAATTTCCGATTAAAATTACTTGATTTTTTAAATTTTATCTTAAAGTATTCAAGTCCCATTTGTAAAAAAAAAAAATAGAGGATAAAAATGAAGTGTGTCTTTATGAGTCACAAATTTTTATTTTACCTTAATAATTGTTAAAATAATATTTTTTCCATGAGGCATTTTATAATGCCCTCTTTATTTATTCTTTTGGTGAAGTACTTTATTTTATTATTATTATTATTATTATTATACTTTAAGTTTTAGGGTACATGTGCACAATGTGCAGGTTAGTTACATATGTATACATGTGCCATGCTGGTGCACTGCACCCACTAATTCGTCATCTAGCATTAGGAATATCTCCCAGTGCTATCCCTCCCCCCTCCCCCCACCCCACAACCGTCCACTGAGTGTGATGTTCCCCTTCCTGTGTCCATGTGTTCTCATTGTTCAATTCCCACCTGTGAGTGAGAATATGCAGTGTTTGGTTTTTTGTTCTTGCGATAGTTTACTGAGAATGATGATTTCCAATTTCATCCATGTTCCTACAAAGGACATGAACTCATCATTTCTTATGGCTGCATAGTATTCCATGGTGTATATGTGCCACATTTTCTTAACCCAGTCTATCATTGTTGGACATTTGGGTTGGTTCCATGTCTTTGCTATTGTGAATAATGCCACAATAAACATACATGTGCATGTGTCTTTATAGCAGCATGATTTATAGTCCTTTGGGTATATAGCCAGTAATGGGATGGCTGGGTCAAATGGTATTTCTAGTTCTAGATCCCTGAGGAATCGCCACACTGACTTCCACAATGGTTGAACTAGTTTACAGTCCCACCAACAGTGTAAAAGTGTTCCTATTTCTCCACATCCTCTCCAGCACCTGTTGTTTCCTGACTTTTTAATGATTGCCATTCTAACTGGTGTGAGATGGTATCTCATTGTGGTTTTGATTTGCATTTCTCTGATGGCCAGTGATGGTGACCATTGTTTCATGTGTTTTTTGGCTGCATAAATGTCTTCTTTTGAGAAGTGTCTGTTCATGTCCTTTGCCCACTTTTTGATGGCGTTGTTTGTTTTTTTCTTGTAAATTTGTTTGAGTTCATTGTAGATTCTGGATATTAGCCTTTTGTCAGATGAGTAGGTTGCGAAAATTTTCTCCCATTATATTGGTTGCCTGTTCGCTCTGATGGTAGTTTCTTTTGCTGTGCAGAAGCTCTTGAGTTTAATTAGATCCCATTTGTCAATTTTGGCTTTGCTTACCATTGCTTTTGGTGTTTTAGACATGAAGTCCTTGCCCATGCCTATGTCCTGAATGGTAATGCCTAGGTTTTCTTCTAGGGTTTTTATGGTTTTAGGTCGAACGTTTAAGTCTTTAATCCATCTTGAATTGATTTTTGTATAAGGTGTAAGGAAGGGATCCAGTTTCAGCTTTCTACATATGGCTTGCCAGTTTTCCCAGCACCATTTATTAAATAGGGAATCCTTTCCCTATTGCTTGTTTTTCTCAGGTTTGTCAAAGATCAGATAGTTGTAGATATGTGGCATTATTTATGAGGGCTCTGTGCTGTTCCATTGATCTATATCTCTGTTTTGGTACCAGTACCATGCTGTTTTGGTTACTGTAGCCTTGTAGTATAGTTTGAAGTCAGGTAGTGTGATGCCTCCAGGTTTGCTCTTTTGGCTTAGGATTGACTTGGAGATGCGGGCTCTTTTTTGGTTCCATATGAACTTTAAAGTAGTTTTTTCCAATTCTGTGAAGAAAGTCATTGGTAGCTTGATGGGGATGGCATTGAATCTATAAATTACCATGGGCAGTATGGCCATTTTCACAATATTGATTCTTCCTACCCATGAGCATGGAATGTTCTTCCATTTGTTTGTATCCTCTTTTATTTCTTTGAGCAGTGGTTTGTAGTTCTCCTTGAAGAGGTCCTTCACATCCCTTGTAAGTTGGATTCCTAGGTATTTTATTCTCTTTGAAGCAATTGTGAATGGGAGTTCACTCATGATTTGGCTCTCTGTTTGTCTGTTGTTGTTGTATAAGAATGCTTGTGATTTTTGTACATTGATTTTGTATCCTCAGACTTTGCTGAAGTTGCTTATCAGCTTAAGGAGATTTTGGACTGAGACAATGTGATTTTCTAGATATACAATCATGTCATCTGCAAACAGGGACAATTTGACTTCCTCTTTTCCTAATTGAATACCCTTTATTTCCTTCTCCTGCCTAATTGCCCTGGCCAGAATTTCCATCACTATGTTGAATAGGAGTGGTGAGAGAGGGCATCCCTGTCTTGTGCCAGTTTTCAAAGGGAATGCTTCCAGTTTTTGTCCATTCAGTATGATATTGGCTGTGGGTTTGTCATAGATAGCTCTTATTATTTTGAAATACGTCCCATCAATACCTAATTTATTGAGAGTTTTTAGCATGACGGGTTGTTGAATTTTGTCAAAGTCCTTTTCTGCATCTATTGAGATAATCATGTGGTTTTTGTCTTTGGTTCTGTTTATATGCTGGATTACATGTATTGATTTGCATATATTGAACCAGCCTTGCATCCCAGGGATGAAACCCACTTGATCATGGTGGATAAGCTTTTTGATGTGCTGCTGGATTCGTTTTGCCAGTATTTTATTGAGGATTTTTGCATTAATGTTCATCAAGGATATTGGCCTAAAATTCTCTTTTTTGGTTGTGTCTCTACCCGTATATTGCCCTCTTTAAAGGCTCAAAATCTCAAATGCAGAAAGAATGACTTTTAAGTATTCTACATATTTAAACCATTTATTTTATACAACAATCCCATAGATGCAAAACTACTACTAATAAACAAGTAACCTAAGCCGAATTAAATAAAAGTATACAAAGAAAAAATTAGCCGTCTCTGGTGGTGGATGCCTGTAATCCCAGCTACTCATGAGGCTGAGTCAGGAGATTTGCTTGAACTCGGGAGGTAGAGGTTGAAGTGAGCCGAGATCCCGCCACTGCACTCCAGCTTGGACCACAGAGAGAGACTGTCTCAAACAAAAAATAAAAAAAAAGAAAAGAAAAGAAAGAAAGAAATTACTTCTTTTACACTTGCTCTTCTGTGTTTAGTTTCGAAATTATCATCTTCATGCAAAGTATTTAGCACAGTGCCTGGCAGATAGAAAAAGTTAGCTATTATTTATTTATTTATTTATTTATTTATTTATTTATTTATTTAAGACGGAGTCTTGCTGTGTCTCCAGGCTACAGTGCAGTGGCGCAACCTTGGCTCATTGCAACCTCTGCCTCCCGAGTTCAAGCGATTCTCTTGTCTCAGCCTCCTGAGTAGCCAGGATTACAGGCACGCACCACCACACCAAGCTAATTTTTTTTAAAATTTTATTTTTTAAGTAGA
Organism: Homo sapiens; assembly: GCF_000001405.40. Taxonomy (NCBI): domain Eukaryota; kingdom Metazoa; phylum Chordata; class Mammalia; order Primates; family Hominidae; genus Homo; species Homo sapiens. Next base: position 64,926,539 of record NC_000009.12, on the reverse strand, counting down.
GATGGGGTTTCACCATTTTGGCCAAAATGGTCTATGTCTCTTGACCTTCTGATCTGCCCGCCTTGGCTTCCCAAGGTGCTGGGATTACAGGCGTGAGCCACTGCACCCAGCTGCTAGCTATTATTTCTAATCCTTTGCCATACTCAGGTATAATCTTCCCAAATCCAGAAGTAATTTTATAACTTCAGCTAGTTGCAGGGATAAATTATTGAAATATTTTCCTAAAGAAAATACACAAATGAAACCTTAAAAATACAAGGACTGGGCTGGGCACGGTGGCTCGCGCCTGTAATTCCAGTACTTTGGGAGGCCGAGCTGGGTGGATCACCTGAGGTCAGGATTTCGAGACAAGCCTAGCCAACATGGCGAAACGTCGTCTCTACTAAAAATACAAAAATTAGCTGTGCATGGTGGTGGGCGCCTGTAATCCCAACTACTCGGGAGGCTGAGGCAGGAAAATCGCTTGAACCTGGAGGCGGAGGTTGAAGTGAGGCTAGATCTCACTGCTGGACTGCAACCTGGGGCAACAGAGCAAAAACTGTCTTAAAAAAAAAAAAAAGGCTGGGCGCGGTGGCTCATGCCCGTGATCCCAGCACTTTGGGAGGCCAAGGCGGGCAGATCACGCGGTCAGGGGATGGAGACCATCCTGGCTAACACAGTGAAACCCCGTCTCTACTGAAGATGCAAAAAATTAGCGGGGCATGGTGGCGGATGCCTGTAGTCCCAGCTACTCAGGAAGCTGAGGCAGGAGAATGGTGTGAACCCGGGAGGCAGAGCTTGCAGTGAGCCGAGATCGCACCATGGCACTCCAGCCTGGGCGACAGAGGGAGACTCTGTCTCAAAAAAAGAAAGAAAAGAAAGAAAGAAAGAAAGAAAGAAAGAAAGAAAGAAAGAAAGAAAGAAAGAAAGAGAGAGAGAGAGAGAGAGAAAGAAAGAAAGAAAGAAAAGAAAGAAAGAAGGAAAGAAAGAAAGGAAAGAAAGAAAGAAAGAAGGAAAGAAAGAAAGGAAGAAAGATGAAGGTATAGTAAATTATGAAAAAGAGAGAATAAGCATCTTCAACAAGAAAAATGGAAATAATAAAAACTATACAATTGCAAAACAATAACTCTTGTTAAAATATTTTACATGTCATATTGTAAATAATACACCCTCAGTGTATGCAGAAATGATTACATTAGTATAGGAAACAGCTGTGATTGTAGATATATAAACTAGAGAAATGCGAATCAGAAATAAGTTTATCAACTAGAAGAGAGAAGACATTTTTATTTGAGTAAGTCTACTGTCTATAATTTAAAAATACACAATGGTATTTCTTTCATTAAATAGCTTTATTTAAATATAAAAATAAAAGCTTATACATAGGCCAGAAGAAATATTGCTGGTTTATAATAAGGTTCATAGGAACTAAAACAGGGTAATTAGATAAGACGGTGTGTAAATAATTATGTTATTTTAGTAAAAATATCCAACACTGTACCTTTCAAATAAAAATATAGTTTTTTAAAGGTCAACAAAAAGTTTTTGTGCTTCAAATTTTAACATTTATCCTCCAAGTGAAATTACTATAAGAAGAAACAACTAACCTATAAATAAATAATCTACTTTTTGGAAAAGTTAACAAACCTCTCTACACACAATATAATTAAGAAAGATAATAAGAAACATATATAATTTCAAGATTTTCAATTTTTTTTTTACTAAGCCAGAGAAGATAAATGAGTTAATCATTCATGTCAGTAAGTAAATACAGGATCAAAAAACATACCTAATGGAAGGAAATTAATAACAGAAAAGTAAAAATTATAATCTAGAAAATGAAAGATATAAATCGATTCATAAATGGATAAGACTTTTAAGACTTTTTTTGAAGAAATCATTTGAAACTAGAATAAGCAAGAGGAATAGATCAAAACAAAAAGGAAAACAGTGAAGGTGATATACACATCCTCTTACTGAAAATTAATTTTAAAGAACTGCTTTGTAAACACTAAAATTCAGAGTCATCAATGTGTCTGGATATGGATTCATTTTTATTTCTTCTGCTCAGCACTTGTTTTATACTTTAAATTAGAGTCCTCAAGTCTTTCCTCTGCAATGGAAATTTTATGGCATCATGTCAAGTATACAAATAGTGAAGGCATTGCCAGTGTTTTCTTGTGTATAAGTATTCTCTACCATTAGAATGGAAACGTCATCAAAGTGGGCCCTTAGTGAGAGTTTGCTGAGTGGATGAATACTGTCCTTAAATATGGCTTCTCCATTCTCTTTGGACTCCTTTTGGAACTCCTATCATACATGTATTGGGGACTTTCTTGACTGGTCTTTCTGACTTTTAAATCCTTTTATCTGGATAAATTCATCATTATCTCCCAATTGACTAATTCTTTGTGTTTATTGCATTTACACTTTTTTTTATATATAATTTTCATTTCTAGAGCTTTTATTTTTTTTTTCCTTTTTTGAGATGGAGTCTTGCTCTGTCACCCAGGCTGAAGTGCAGTGGCATGATCTCGGTTCACTGCAACCTCCTACTCCTGGGTTCAAGTGACTCTCCTCCTGCCTCAGCCTCCTCTCCTGCTTCAGCCTCCTGAGTGGCTGGAATTACAGGCATGCGCACCACACTCGGCTAATTTTTGAATTTTTAGTAGAGACGGGGTTTCATTATGTTGGTCAGCCTGGTCTAGAACTCCTGATATCATGATCTACCCGCCTCAGCCTACCAAAGTGCTGGGATTACAAGTCTGAGCCACCACGCCTGGCTGCTTTTAATTTTTTATATCAATCTTTACTTTGTTCTTTTTTGCCTGCTTTTTTTTTTCCCCCAGAGTCTTACTCTGTTGCCCCGGCCAGAGTGCAATGGCATCATCTCTGCTCACTGCAATCCCCCAGGGTTCTATCAATTATCTTACCTCAGCCTCTGGAGTAGCTGGGATTGCAGGCACCCGCCACCATTCCCAGCTATGGTTTCACCATGTTGGCCAGGTTGGTCTTGAAGTCCTGACCTCAGGTGATCCACCCACCTTGGCCTCCCAAAGTGTTAGGATTACAGGTGTAAGCCACTACGCCTGGCCTTTTGCCTGTTTTTATTTATATTTTTTCTTTTTTTTTTTTTTTTTTTTTTTTTGAGATGGAGTCTAGCTCTGTTGCCCAGGCTGGCGTGCAGTGGCGTGATCTCAGCTCACTGCCAGCTCTGCCTCCCAGGTTCACGCCATTCTCCTGCCCCAGCCTCCCGAGTAGCTGCGACTACAGTTGCCCGCCACCATGCTGGGCTAATTTTTTTGTATTTTTAGTAGAGAGAGGGTTAGCCAGGATGGTCTTCATCTCCTGACCTCGTGATCCACCCAACTCGTCCTCCCAAAGTGCTGGAATTACAGGAGTGAGCCACCACATTCGGTGTCTGTTTTTATTTTTAAGTCTTCTATTCTTTTTGATGAATTTTATTCTTTTTTTTTTTTTTTTTTTTTTTTGGCAGAGGCTCACTCTGTTGCCCAGGTTGGAGTACAGTGATGCCATCTTGGCTCACTACAAAGTCCGCCTCCTGAGGTCAAGCAATTCTTCTGCCTCAGCTTCTTGAGTAGCTGGGAGTACATGCACCCACCACCGTACCCTGCTAATTTTTGAATTTTTAGTAGAGATGGGGTTTCATGGTGTTTGCCAGGCTGGTCTTGAACTCCCGACCTCAGATGATTTACCCATCTCAGCCTCCCAAGGTGCTGGGATTACAGGCGTGAGCCACCATGCCTGGCCCTGGATGTTTTCTTCTTAAAAAGCCAGTTGAGAATTCTAAGTGTACTCACTTAAAAGGAAAATTTAGTTTGCTATAATATTTCTCATATTTGCTGTGGTGAATTCATCTCTAGGAGGTTTCTTTGTATAATTATTTCATTTTCTCTCTAATAGTTAATTCTCCACATGTTTTGTAATATTTTTTCACACTCACCTTGAATGAGAAGTTCTCTACATGTCATAGTCATATAACAAACAGAATTCACCCTCCTTCACCACTAATCACACTTCTGTATATTCAATAAAATGTGCATTTCTTCATGGATACTCTTTGAATCATCTAAATGGAGACTCTTTATAGAAATATTGAATCATTAATTCTTCCATCTACTGTACTCCTTTCCAACATACTGTCTTACTGATTTTTCACTTTTTCCTATTTATATCCATTTTGTTCTACTAACCCGTCTGTCATTGGCCTTCTTCTATAGCCAACCTCAAATTTCAGTTCACATTAGCTGTGAACAGCACTCAAATTGCTGCTGTATTCTTAAAATATAAATTTACTTCATAAAGCAAAAGTGAATTATATGCATGTTACAAAAAATATTCCTAGCAGAGATAAGATGGGATGGTATTTGCTGGGATGTGCAGCATCGTTTTTTCCAAATTAATTTCTCTCAGAATTCTCTCCTCCCTACTGCCAGGCAGAGCTCACCACTCACATGTCATGAATGACATTTTTAGTCATTTTTCATCATATCTGATCATATGACTTGAATTAATGTTTAGATCTGCTAAGGGCAAACACCACCATGGAATTAAATTTGCAAGAGGGAGGAAGGAGGAAGCAGGAGAAGGTGGGTAGAGTCTTCAGACTAGGGTGCAGATCTTACACCTGTAGAGGGAAAGAGGGAAGGAAGGCTGATTGGGGTAGAAAGAGACTGCAGCATGGTTCCAAGAATGCTTTGGCCTAGGTCACTGCAGACTCCTTAAATTAAAGTTACTCATTGGAGACTCTCACAACTCACTGGAAACGTCCTCACATACAATCCCCATGTAGCTCTATGACTGTTGGAAACATGACTGCTGCACAAGTGTAGAAGTGCTTCCAGAGACAGAGGGCTAAAGCCAGGCTGTCGCTGACTTATGCTGTCTGATTCAGGATATCTGCATTGCAAATTTCCTTGGTCATTAAAATCCATTACCCCCACCTCCTAACCCCACCACAGCACACACATATTTGTCCAAACAGGTTCTTCATACCAGCTCTTCCAAAATTCCCATGATCCTCTCTTTTCCAAGGGGAATCTTAGAAAAGGAAGGTTAATGAGACCAACTCTAGCCCATGCTATAGCAGTTGGTCTCAGAACTGCCTTTGAATGCCCAGTTGTGTGAGGGGGAGAGAAAGAGAGAGAGAGAGTATGGGAGTGGGGAGTGTGTGTGAGTGTGAGTGTGTGTGTGTGAGAGAGAGAGAGAGAGAGAGAAATTATCTCTGCTTCTTTTGTAGAAAAGTAGCCCTACCTCCTCCTGCTAATCAGGGTGTATTCATCCTGCCCCAGTGGTGACGTATTTCTTGTCCTTTGGTTACTGGACCTAAGGAATCTAAAGCACCCAACAGATAACCTTCTTTAGAGAGCAGGACTTGCCTGCCTTCCAGATCCCAGAGCTGCAGTGATGAGAAGCACAGGAAAACCTGAGAAGATTATTGGGAGCATTTGTAATTAGGGACATTCCTGTTTCTACCTCTTGTTTTCTGAACCTGTAGATTCTTCCTATGGAAGAAGAACTACTATATAAAGATCTGTGATAGAATATGTATAAAAGATGGTGCCCCCTGCATTCAGAATGTCTCCTTTAGCATAGTGCCTCAGTTGCATCTTTAGAGTGTTTCTCCAGGGCTCCATGAGTCTAGCTGCTTCTTGAAGAGTGTATGTAATACAAATAGTAGATTACATGGTCATGGACCCACTTCTGCCCATCCTTTGCTGTGAACAAGGAACCCTGGTCAGATGCTATACCATGTGGGATTTTATGCCTGTGGATCAGGAATTCTGGAAGCCTCAGAAAAGTGGTCCTGGCTCAGGCTCTGTGAACAGAAGTGCCAAAACCAGCCCTGGAATAAGGATATATCCCTCTGAGGATGAAAAGGTGGTCATTCAAGGTCAAAAGACTTGCCATATAAGAGTCTCATTATTGATTTATGCTGTTGAAAAGTAGGACAGTCAGAGGCAGCAGTAGTTAGATAAACCTTGATACATAGAAGTCCAGGCTGTGGGGCCCATATGTATCGTCCAACTCTGCCAACATGGTCATATGAGTGATTGCATATGTGTGACTGTTGTGCTTGTTGTGGGAAAGCCAATCTCCAAGGCTGGCAGCTTGTTAAGTCATTTTGTTTGATTGGTTATTGAGTGCCTCTTCTGTGGTGAGTGCTTTCTTGTGAGTGTTAACGTGCAATACAAGATTCTTTACACTCCGTGCCTGCTCCTGCATGTCCACTCATATGCCTCTAACCCAGCTTCCTTGTCTCAGATATTTCAGTTCTTTTCTGTCTAAGCCTCTGCCCAGATGATTCACCCACTGACTACGGCAAAGAAATCTGTTTATATTCCTGCCTTAGGTCATGCTTCTTCTATGTAAAGTAGATGGCCAGGGCCACTGCTCCCAGTGCTGCTAATAGGGAATATTTTAATTTCCTTCTGTCTTTCAGAGTCATTCTTGCATTGGGCTGCAATGCAACTACACCTTTAAACAGAGATTGCCCCTTTGTCCCTCCTTCAGATGGCCACAGGGACACAAATGCAGGCACAGGTGTGAGCTGAAGGAAGGTTGCTGGTGCAAACATGGTGGGTGACATGAGGATCTGGGTTACCTGCTATTCAACTTATCCACTTGCTCTCATCTTGCTTGGCCTTTGTCTCATACTTACTATTTCCACCTCATGATGAACTACTTCTTTTCCCTTCTGGTGTCATGACTTGGTGGTTCCAATAGAACTCAGCCTGCAAGAGGTAGCACCAGAAGCATGGTAACTTATCAAGCACAGCATCTCTCCTAGGTCCAACATATAATTCTCTGCTATAGAGGGCATGGCTTTGTTTCAGAATCCCAGGAGCTGGTGTTGTAATTCTTTTACTGAGAATTGCCATGTGTGCCACACTGTGACCACCATTGACACCTGCAAGAATACAGGTCCTGCAAGATCATATGACCCAAGCTGCAGGGCTGTTCACAATGGAGCCTGGACATGCTGTGGAGCCCTGTCCTGCCCTGCACTCTTCAAACCCTGTGGTCTTCCTATCTCCCTGACTTGTCTTGTGGCTTACTTGTGTTATGTTGCTTAGGGTTTCTTGAGTTTTATGAGTTTGTATTTTTATAACTGTATAGATACAGATGGATAGATATAGATATGGTCAAAGAGGAAGAGTAAGAGAGAAAGAAAAATAATTTTACAAAAGACTTTACTGGACATGTAGAAAAAAATATCAAAGTCCACCTCTATTTCCAGCACTTTGGAAGGCCAAGGTGGGTGAATCACAAGGTCAGGAGATTGAGACAATCCTGGCTAACACGGTGAAACCCCATCTCTACTAAAAATATACAAAAAAATTAGCCAGGCGTGGTGGTGGGAGCCTGTAGTCCCAGCTACTCAGGAGCCTGAGGCAGGAGAATGGCGTGAACCCAGGAGGCAGAGCTTGCAGTGAGCCGAGATCTTGCCACTGCACTCCAGCCTGGGTGACAGAGCGAGAATCCATCTCCAAAAAAAAAAAAAAAAAAATCAAACTCCATAGTGAGAAGTCAAACAACACAATAACAAAATGGGCAAGAGATTTGAGTAGATGACAATAACCAAAGATATATGAATGATTGATAAACACTGAAAAATGCATCATTAACCACCTGGGAATGGAACTTAAAAATCAAAATGCAATAACACTGCACAGAAACTATAATGGATCCAAAAAAATGTCAATTCTGAATGTTTGAGAGGACATACAACACCCTGAATTATCATATTTAGGTGGGAGTATAAAGTGGATAATCAGTTTGGATTGCAGTTTGGCAGTTAAACATACACTTACAATTTGACCTAGAATATTCCATTCTTACTTACTCAAGAGAAATGAAAACATGTGCATACAAATGAACATAGCAGCTTTACTTGTAATAATCAAGGAATAGAAACATTTGTAAATGGTTCACCAACAGGCTAAAGGATAAACATATTGTAGTATTTCCATACAATAGAATAAAATAGAAAGAACCACTGATTTTGCAACATAGGTGATCTTAAAATATATTGAGAGAATGAAACAACAGTAGGCATATTATAAAAGTTTATTATTACAAAATTCTAGAAACTGAATTTATAGTGGTAGGTTGCAGATCAATGGCTGCTTGGAGCCAGAGGTTTTGGTAAGGAGTACAAGAGAACTTTTGAGGTGATAGACAGCTTCAATATCTTCATTGGTGATAGCCACATAACTTTATATGTTTGTACTTAATTTGGATGTATTTTATTGTATTGAAAGTAAACCTCAGTTAAGTTGACTTTTAAAATTTATTAGATTCTAAAACATTAATTTGCTTCCATCCATTATATATATTCACAAATCCTACAATAGTATGTTCTGGAAGACCTGTAATAGACACAGTAACTGGCATATTCATAAAGGAAATTTCCTTATGTAGGATAGTTTTTAGGGGAAATGCCTGAAACAAAAAAATCTGCATCTGCTTATCATAATTCGCTGCATAAAAGATCTAAATGTGTAACTGGCAATCAGCTTTAGCTTTGATTGTCTTTCATAGCAGCATGGATCAATTATGTTTACCCAGTTGGCTATTTCTCCATGCTAAACTCATATTGCATACATGCCTCTGAAATTCCAGTCATGTATAGTCTATAATATATACCTATATTACACAATTTGTATACTTTTCCACTTTAAAGGGGGGATTTATACCTGCAAAGGGACTTGACCTACAAGTATCATCCAATTCTGTTCCAAATTTTGGATACTATGGCTCTATCCTGGAAATGATTCAGTAGTTTTGTTTCATTTGACTCTTCCTACAGACATAATGTGTTGAAGTAAACCTGTTTTTTATGTTTGGAAAGTAGCCTTTTGATGGGTGTTTTCTAGCTTTTGGAAAACATGTACTCAAAGCAGAAGTAACTAGTTGTTGAGGGAATAGAACCACAACATTTCTGACCTAGGCAAATTGAAACCTTGTCATCCTTGATGACAAACATGACATGACACATGATTGCCTTTTTCAGGGAGTTCTTATGTAAAATATTTTATCCCCAACTAGTTGGTATCATTCAAATCAAATTTTATAATTTTACTCTGTATTAGGATGCAGTTTTATAATGTCCAAAGCATCTTTATGCATATTTTTTCTCAAATAAATCCTACAGCAACTGTGTGAGATACTCAAAGGTGAGAATATTATCCCCATTTTACAACTGAGCAAGCAGACTTCAAGATTTGTTAACTTTTTAGAGCTGAAGTTTAGTCCACTATTTTATGTTATCAACCTTTGATTTGCTGTGCTATACCCACCAATTTAGAAAAGAATTTACCCAAGATTGTAACATATAATACAATTAATTTATTTTTTTTCTCTCTGCTTGAAAACAGAAACAGTGGTGATTATGGAGTATCTACTGATTATTTTGCTGGGACAAGTTGATGTCACTAAATTTATAAACTGAACTGAACTGATAACCTCAGTTACTTTGCCAAAATTCCTTCTTTTAATATTACATAAACTGTAGAATGCAGAAGAGGTACTTTTAATTTCTAATTATTTAAGTAGAGAAAGACTCAACACTTCCTTTTAGGCTCACACATAAAATTTCTGGTTGATACATCACCAGCGATTGTGTTTCAGCATGTATGTAAATGCAGCTTTCTGAATAGGCAAACTTACAGGAAATATGGAATATCATTGTATTTACATACAGCAGTATCTCAGACATCATTCCAAAAACTAAAGGACAATGAGGAAATATTTCCAAAAGCCATATTACAGTGCTTTGGGGGAGGTAAAAGAGAGAATGCTGCAATATGTTTTCCTGTTTGACTGACTCAAGCTACATTCTAGGAGATATTTTAAAAAGTGAATAAAATCTCTATGTCATAGTCAAAAGATGTAAGGCAAACCACAATTATCCAAGGAAATCTGAAATGAATATTACTAAATACAACCTTCTGGATTTGGTTTTACTTACCTAGTATGTTGACTATGTCTGCTTATGGTTTTCTTACTTATGCCTACCTACACCATCTTTTAATCAAATGTGCCGATAAAATTTCTAAGTGCAGAATTTCCTTTGCTTGACACAAACACTTTGTTCTACTGTGAATCAACTTCTGGGGCTTTCTATTGTATGGATGTCTACAAAGGGATGTGCTGTAACTCAAGTATAAGCAGATGGTTCTTTCATTGTTGTAAATCAAATTGGTATAACCTGTGACTGGGTTCGATGTGGCCCCAGTTTCCTGAGGCCTGTGAAAATTGCTAGGTTGCTCATTTTCATTTTTTCTTATCACCTTAACTGGAGTTGGAGGCCCTTGCAAGTCCAGGACAATGACGTCTTAGGCAACCTCAGTTGTCTAGTGTGACTTAATAAGCCTGATGTATGTAGTAGAACCAATCTTTTCTTTTATATATAATGCCATTTTAAGTGATGTGAACCTTATTCTCTAGGTTACAGGTATTGGATTACTTTCGTTCTTTATTATAATAAGCAAGGTGTTAATTTGTTGTTGTTGTTGTTTTTTGGAGACAGAGGCTCGCTCTATCATCCAGGCTGGAGTGCAGTGGCGTGATCTTGACTCACTACAAGCTCCACCTCCCGGGTTCACGCCATTCTCCTGCCTCAACCTCCTGAGTAGCTGGGATTACAGGCACCTGCCACCATGCCCGGCTAATTTTTTGTATTTTTAGTGGAGACAGGCTTTCACCCTGTTAGCCAGGATGATCTCCTGATCTCATGATCCGCCCGCCTCAGCCTCCCAAAGTGCTGGGATTATAGGCGTGAACCACCATGCCCTGACCGCTAATTTGATTTTTTAACTCCTAAATTCTACTATTTTCCTTACTCGCTTTCTAATGAAAATTGATGGAGAAAATAAACTGAAAATATCACAGTTCTAAACATTCCACTATTTTGGGATTCTAAAATTATTGGCTTTCGGTGTTCACTGATTCATGTCGGATTTTTAGTAGCATAATCAAACCTTTTTTTGGCAATGGTATAGAGTGCAAAATGCAAAGCCATTTGCCATGGTGTAGATGCTCACAGTATGCCCCTGCGTCTAAAGAGGTACTATTCTTCAACATAAATCAGACATATAGAAAATACTTACAGCACAGAAAATATGAACTATGGCATAGAAATACATTAAATTAGCTAAATGACATCCCTAATAAAAATCTGAATCTGGCCAGGCACGGTGGCTCACGACTGTAATCCCAGTACTTTGGGAGGCCAAGGCAGGCGGATCACCTGAGGTTAGTTTGAGACCAGCCAGGCCAACATGGTCTACTATAAAAATTACAGAAATTAGCTGGGCATGGTGGCAGGCGCCTGTAATCCCAGCTACTTGGGAGGCTGAGGCAGGAGAATCACTTGAACCCGGGAGGCGGAAGTTGCAATGAACTGAAATTGTGCCATTGCACTTCAGCCTGTGCGAGAAGAGCAAAACTCCATCAAAAAAAAAAAAAAAAGAATCTATTCTAAAACTGGAAATTTTATGTTTAAGTAGATTCACTTAATTTTTTCCTATAATCTCCTGGGACAAATAAATGTTTTCAACAGTTGCGCTTAACAAACTGAAGAACTGGAAGGAGAAACATTATTAATAATTACTTCCAGAGTGGGGCATGGCTCACATCTGTAATCCCAGCACTTTGGGAGGCCGAGGTGGGCTCATCACGAGGTTAAGAGATCGAGACCATCCTTGCTAACACGGTGAAAAGCCGCCTCTACTAAAAATACAAAAAATTAGCCGGGCATGGTGGCGGGCGCCTGTGGTCCCAGCTACTTGGGAGGCTGAGGCAAGAGAATCGCTTGAGGAAGCCCGGCCAACATGGCTAAACCCCATCTCTACTAAAACTACAAAAATTAGCTGGGCATGTTGGGGCATGTCTGTAATCCTAGCTACTCCCAGAGGCTGAGACAAGAGAATCCCTTCATCCTGGGAGGCGGAAGTTACAGCAAGCTGAGATCACACCACTCCACTCCAGCCTGCTCTACAGAACAAGACTCCGTCTCTAAAAAAAAAAAAAAAAAAAAAAAAAAAAACTTCCTACAATGTATGACTAGATTACAAAGTTTTCTATTCTTTTCTTTTAAAAATAAATATCTTAGCTGCCTGTTTTCATTCTGGCCATCAAAATTGCCTAAAGTCTTTGTGGGCAATATCATCAACCCCTGAGGGAAATTCAAGATATTCCCAACACAGAAATATTCTTAGCTGAAAAGAGTATGGGATGACAATTTTCAACCTGGCACATATAAAAAGAAGAAAAATGTTGGGTAAATGAACAGCAAAAGAAAGATGACATTCATATGTCCTATGCAATTCTGAATACTTATTTTATGTAGGTGAATATTTTAATGAAAGACATTTATTGATCCAAAATATTTTTTAACTTAACGAACTTTGGCAAAACAATGCCCTTCAGTCAGTGACTATATTATCAAGTTTCATCTACCTCTGATCAAGGAAACAAAAATAATAGTAATTCCATACTCAGTATGTGTGAGAAAATAAGAGCTGTGTTTAATTCTAAATATTTTGAGTTATGCCACATAACAGTATACATTTATTTTGAGTTCGTATGTAGAATTAGACTACTTTTTAATTTTGGGAACATGGAGAACAATATTATAGGATTATATTAGTAAGGCTATGGTAAATACTAACATTAAGCTCTCCTTATGTGCCACACACAGTTCCTTCACCAAAATGGGCAGAATTTTAGCTGAAGACTAATAGTGAAGCCTAGACATTCATGCAGAAATTAAACAACTCGACCATTATTAGAATATAGTAAACATATACATGTTCAATACCAGCCTCTTCTTTTCTCACTTTATGTTTTTTGAATGTCATTAGATTTACATATCCTGCTAACATAACATAAAAACAAACCTTAAGTTTCAAGAAATTAACAATTCTAGTTACATACTATTTACATGTTTTTCTTATTAACTATTAGTTATTTCAAAATTTACCTTTTATGTTTGGAGATAAAAAATATCTAATAGAAAGGTAGTTTTTTGAGAAGAATTCATTTTTATTATTTTTATTTTTATTTCTTTATCTTTTTTTTGAGACAACTTCTTATTCTGTCACCCAGGTTGGAGTGCAGTGGCGTGATGTTGGCTCACTGCAACCTCTGCCTCCCAGGTTCAGGTGATTCTCCTGCTTCAGCCTCCTGAGCAGGTGGGATTAGAGTAGCTTGCCACCATGCCTGGCTAATTTTTGTATTTTTAGTAAACATGGAGTTTTACCATGTTGGCTAGGCTGGTCTTGAACTCGTGACCTCAAGTGATCCGTCCTCCTCAGCCTCCTAAAGTACTGGGATTACAGGCATGAGCTACTGCACCTGGCTCTTTTTTAATTATTTTGAAAGGCTACTTTAGTTTTCCTAGTAATCCATGTGAATGTATTCTCTATGAACTATAGTGTGTGTGTTTACTTTTTATATATAGAATACTACTGAGGAACAAGCTGTTTCTGTAAATCAAATGGGACTGAAACTCTACGTTGGTTGTGTTCTACATGTTACAGAGACCTGGACAGAGACAGTATGATCATCTCATGAACATCACATAATCTCCTGTCACAGTCCCAAGACAAAACATTTCCTTAAAATCAAGACTTGCTTTAATAACCATCACATTTATTACAATAATACCTTCCCACTATAATCAATATGGATATAAACAGCCTTTGTTCTATTTTTCTCATACTTGGAAGACTTTTGCTTTCATTCTGTGAAAATCTTGTATTTCTCCTCAATTATTCTAATTAGAAAACTAGTGCTGGGGGAGAAAAAATAAAACAGCACAGAAAGGAAAGGGGCTCCTGCAATGCACTGTTTAGACAGATAAGGTAGCCAGGCCAGGCGATGGTCAGGTAGGGACTGCCTTCTTCTCTCTGGTGGTGATAATTGAGAATTGCTGCGAGGTGTGGAAGTGGAGCTGATTGAGCCAGAGCACAGTCCAGCTTTGTTCCATGTTCTCTACATAAAATAATCCATAATCTTCAGCATTAAGACCTCATGATCTCATGTTTTGAGAAGGAGAGTTGAGAAACACCTACTAGTCTTATGATAGGTTGAGTACTTTAAAGAGTTTTGGGCCAGGTGCGGTGGCTCACGCCTGTAATCCCAGCACTTTGGGAGGCTGAGGCACATGGATCACGAGGTCAGGAGATCAAGTCCATCCTGGCCAACACAGTGAAACCCTGTCTCCACTAAAAATACAAAAAATTAGCCGAGCATGGTGGCATGCACCTGTAGTCCCAGCTACTCGGGAGGCTGAGGCAAGAAAATCGCTTGATCTGGGGAGGTGGAAATTGCATGAGCTGAGATTGCACCACTGCACTCCAGCCTGGGTGACAGAGTTAGACTCCATCTCAAAAAAAAAAAAAAAAGAATTTTGAAGCTTCTTAATTCCATTTATTTAAGACATTATTCTCATTGGGATTAGGGGGGAATCCCTGAATTTTGGTAAAAACAAATCCAAGTCACAAAATCAGAAAAAAAAAATAGGATGATGCGTTTCATTCTTCATATGAATATGCATTTTACACATATATAACTAAGACCAATTTTGGATTTATTTCCAGGCTTGGGGATAACTTATGGAAACTTTTAACATTAAAGTTAAATTTGCAATTCAGAATTAATCCATACATTATTTCACTGTTTTCTTGTTGATATTAAATGCTGCTGACTCAGTAAAGTTTATTATTTGAATATAACAAGAATGTGTGAGTTGTAAATTCAATGCTAAAGTCTGGAACATTTCTACAAAATTCAGTTTAGCAAATATTTGTTAAGACTTCAGTCAAAGCCTTTTACAACTGCACTGCTCTAGGTTTTGAGGACTCAAAATAATATCTGCTCACAAACCAGACATGCAGACAAATAAGGTTCTATGTATTAAGGTCAATAATAGAATTTTGCTGAAGACAAAATATTATCGCAGACACAAAAAAATTAGCCAGGCATGGTGGCAGGTGCCTGTAATCCAAGCTACTCAGGAGGCTAAGGAAGGAGAACAGCTTGAACCCAGGAGGCGGAGGTTGCAGTGAGCCAAGGTCACATCACTGCACTCATCTTGGGCAACAGAGTGAGACTTCATCTCAAAAAAAAAAAAATCTTGATTCATTTATCCCCTGTGCTTCATAGCATTCAGAGTCTTCCATATTTTCTGGGAGTTTCTTGGTTAGTTGGGCTTGGCCTCTCCTCACTTACTGTTGGTGCCTGCCCTCTTCTCTGTGCTCCAGAGCAGATCATGTTTTCTCTACTCAGTTCCCTCTAGTGAGGAGACTCATCCCACTTTCACCCCCACCTTAGCACCAAGCACCATTAATTCAAGACCACCATGTGGAGGAGATAAGGGAGAATTACTTCCCATGAAGAGCAGCAAAATGCATAAACATGCATATATATACACATATATGCATGTATATGCACATATACACACAGATACATATATATGCATATATACATACACACATATATACACGTATACACATATATACACACACACATATATACATACATATATTGCCACCACTATCCTGAATCTCCTCATTTATTCCCATCAGAAGGAATTTCTCCACCCCACCCTACCATTTTCTTGGAACTTCTAGTCTCTCTCACATTATTAATTCTACACCTGGGGCTGCCTTGCCCCCTCTTGCTAACTGCCTGGTGGTAACTTGGCACTCCTCTTAGTTACTGCTTAACATTACAGCTCACCCTTTTTTACGTCATATTTATGAAGCATTAAATATTCTAAAAGTGGTCGGGCGCAGTGATTCATGCCTGTAACCTCAGCACTTTGGGAGACCAAAGCGGGCAGATCACGAAGTCAGGAGTTCAAAACCTCCTGACCAACATGGTGAAACCCTGTCTCTACTACAAATACAAAAATTAGCTGGGCATGATGGCACATGTCTGTAATCCCAGCTGCTCAAGAGGCTGAGGCAAGATAATCACTTGAACCTGGGAGGCAAAGGTCACAACGAACCGAGATTTGTCACTCCAGCCTGGGTGACAGAGCAAGACTCTCAAAAAAAAAAAAAAAAAAAAAAAGCTACTTTGTCTAGGGTACCCTATTATACCAAGGAATTTAGTGCCTCATGAAAAAAGACTCTCAAAGATGTTTTTCTAAACAACAGAACCTTCTACCTTAGAAATCATTTATGATATTATCCAACATCATTATTTTTTATTTTATATATATTTTTCACTACAATAAAAATCTTTCAAATATATCAAAATACAATTTTATTAAAACGGAAAAGTTGTTTATTAGATAATCTTTTAATTTTAACATATTAATTTATCTGTCGGTGTTCTATGTCATTCACTCAGGAAGAGAATTCAATGAATAATGTGGTACCTTCACATATCAGTAGAACTTTTTCACAAAAATGGGCAATTTTTCATTTTTCGGAGTGAACACTGAGCCACCACCTGAGGAAAAATAAATGATCATTTTTAACAATTAAAGTTACTATTTTTTTAATCATCTGGTATTTTAAGATGTTTTTAGACTTATAGATCAAGATAAGAAGTTAGCATGCATTTATCCTTCTTTCAATTTGTATCCATCCCTAACTTATTTCTTCCTATTGTGCAATAACTCATTATTAAGCTGAGCTTCCATTTTACTCATTCATGTTTATTTATGGGTCAAGCAAGTGAACTGCATACAAATTCACAAATTTTCTTTTTTTTTTTTTTTTGAGATGGAGTCTTGCTCTGTCGCCCATGCTGGAGTCAGTGGTGCAGTCTTGGCTCACTGCAAGCTCTGCCTCCAGGGTTCATGCCATTCTCCTGTCTCAGCCTCCTGATTAGATGGGACTACAGGCACCCGCCACCACACCTGGCTAATTTTTTGTGTTTTTAGTAGAGACGGGGTTTCACCATGTTAGACAGGATGGTCTCGATCTCCTGACCTCGTGATCTGTCCACCTCAGCCTCCAAAAGTCCTGGGATACAGGCTTGAGCAACCGCACCCAGCTACAAATTTTCTTTGTAACTTACCTTATTATTAAATTGTTCTTCCTAATTCTTATTTTTTTATTTTTTATTTTTTATTTATTTATTTATTTATTTATTTATTTTTTGAGATGGAGTCTTGCTCTGTTGCCCAGGCTAGAGTGCAGTGGTGCAATCTCAGCTCACAGCAACCTCCTCCACCTCCCAGGTTAAAGCCACTCTCCCACCTCAGCCTCCAGAGTAGCTGGGATTACAGGCATGCACCACCACACCCGGCTAATTTTGTATTTTTGGTAGAGACAGGGTTTCTCCATGTTGGTCAGGCTGGTCTCAAACTCCCAACCTCAGGTGGTCTGCCTGCCTTGGCCTCCCAAAGTGTTGGAATTACAGGTGTGAGCCACTGCACCCAGCCTGGTCTTTTAAAATTTGACCTAAACAGTTCATCCTGTCATGTTCTTCATGAGCGAGGAAGGTCCACTATTTTTCCCTTGTTATTTTAATAAAAACAACTATTTACCTTGAATATACTGAATATACACAAAATACATATTCATTTACACACCATGGCTTTTTAAAAGGGTTGTCCTTAGATGTGGCCTCCAGGGATAGTTAAGCTGTAAATGGAAGGCTTCATATGTAAAGACATTTTCCTTTTGACCTTGTCTCTTATACTGAGTGTGTGTGTGTGTCTGCTTTCAGTGGTAGAACTTAAGGGGAATCTCTATGATTGTTTTTCTTTCTCTCCATTTATCCCTCACTTTCTTCCTTTTTTTTTTTTTTTTTTTTGAAACAAAGTCTTCCTTTGTCAGTGCAGTGGAGTGATCTCGACTCACTATGACCTCTCCCTCCTGGGTTCAAGTGATTCTCATGCTCAGCCTCCCAGGTAGCTGGGATTACAAGCACCCACCACCACGCCCAGCTAATTTTTGTATTTTTAATGGAGACGCAGTTTCGCCATGTTGCCCAGGCTGGTCTCAAACTCCTGATCTCAGGCAATCCGCCCACGTCGGCCTCCCAAAATGCTGAGATTACAGGCATCAGCCACCACGCCCAGCCCCATTAATCCCTCATTTTAATATTTTTTTTAATTTTTTTTTTCTTTTTTTGAGACGGAGTCTTGCTCTGTCGCCCAGGCTGGAGTGCAGTGGCGGGATCTTGGCTCACTGCAACTTCCGCCTCTCAGGTTCAAGCAATTCTCCTGCCTCAGCCTCCCAAGTAGCTGGGACTACAGGTGCCCACCACCACGCCCGGCTAATTTTTTGTATGTTTAGTAGAGATGGAGTTTCACCATGTTAGCCAGGATGGTCTCAATCTCCTGACCTCATGATCCACCTGCCTCAGCCTCCCAAAGTGCTGGGATTACAGGCATGAGCCGCCTTGCCTGGACTATCCCTCACTTTATAACGTTAATCAAGTTCTTTTATAATTTTATGTTAAAGATTTTTGAATTTTGTTAATCCATTTTATTTTCCTTCATAAAATGATCAAAGCTAGAAATAACATTACAAAGTATATCATAATCATTAATAGAAAGAGATCTATAATCAGCTTAAATTTCTTTTCTCTCTTTTCTAGTTATGTGATCTTAGGCAAGTTACATAAATTACCTGTGTTCAGTTTATTTACTTGTGAAATGGGGAAAATAATGGTGCCTGTCTCTGGGTAAGATTGTAGTGAGGGTGAATAACAGATTTATCAAGCATAAAGCAGTGCCTGGGACACAGGAATTGCCCTCTCTGCATGCCCCTGCATATGTGTGCATACAGGCATGAATCATTTGATGATGGAATAAATTTGGAGAAATATGTCTTTATGCAGTTTTATTATTGTGCAAATATCTCAGAGTGTACTTACACAAACATAGATGGGATAGCCTACTACTCTGCTAGAGTATATGGTAGAGTATATGTAGCCTGTTGCTCCTAGGCTACAAATCTATACAGCATGTTATTGTACTAAATACTGCGGCAACTGTAACACAGTGGTAGGTATTTTGCATCTTATCATAGAAAAGGTGCAGTTAAAAAAAAAAAAGGTACACTTGTAGAGGGCACTTACCATGAATGGAGCTTGCACAGCTGGAAGTTGCTCTGGGTAAGTGAGTGAGTGGTGACTGAATATGAAGGCCTAGGACATTACGGGCACTGTTGTAGACTTTAGCGGTACTGGATGTACACTTAAGCTATGCCAAATTTATTTTTAAATTGTTTTCTTTTATCAGTAATAAATTAGCTTTAGCTTACTGTAATGTTTTTATTTAATATACTTTTTTTTAACCTTTTGGCTCCTTTGTCACAACTCTTAGCTTAAAAGGTAAACATATTGTACAACTTTAAAAAAATATTATTTTCTTTATATCTAAGTCTATAAGCTTTTTGCAATTTTTAATTTTTGTGTTACTTTTTAACTCTTTTATAAAAACAAACACAAACACGCACATTAGTTTAGGCCTATAGAGGGTCAGGATCATCGGATCATCAACATCATTGTCTTCCACCTTCACATTCTGTCTCAACGGAAGTTCCTTGGGGCAATAACACACATGAAGCTGTCATCTCCTATGATAACAATCCCTCCTTCTGGATACCTCCTGAAGGACCTGCCTGAAATTGCTTTACTGTTCAGTTTTCTTTTTCTTTTTTAATAAGTAGTACCCTCTCAAAACATGATAAAAAGGGCCAGGCATGGTGGCTCATACTTGTAATGCAAGCAATTTGGGAGGCTGAGGTGGGAGGATCACTTGACGGCAGCAGTTCAAGAGCAGCCTGGCCAACATGGTGAAACCCTGTTTCTACTAAAAATACAAAAATTAGGCAGGTGCAGTGGTGGGCACCTGTAGTCCCAGTTACTTGGGAGGCTGAGGCAGAAAAATCACTTGAAACTGGGAGGTGGAGGTTGCAGTGAGCCGATATCACACCATTGCAACTCCAGCCTGGGCAACAGAGGGAGACTCCATCTCAAAAAAAAAAAAAAAAAAAAAAAAAAAAAAAAAAAAGATAAAAAGAATTGAGTAGTAAATATATAAACCAGTAATATTGTCACTTATTATCATTATCAGGTATTATGTTCTGTAAGTAATTATATGTGCTAGAGGCCTGGCAGCACGATAGGTCTGTTTTCACCAGCATCAGCACAGACATGTGAGTAATGAATTGTGCAATGATATTACATTGACAATGACATCACTAGGAAACAGGAATTTTTCAGCTCCATTACAATCCTACAGGACCAATATGTGGTCCACCATTTACTGAAATGTATTTACATGGTGCATGACTGTAAAATTACTAGTCTTCAAAAATCAGTTGTATCTTCAACATTTCCTACCTCTGCAAAATGCATCACCATTCTCCCAGTTACCCAGGCTTAAAACCTCAGAATTCTATCAAATTATTTCATTTCCTTACATCTCATGTTTAATTAGTCACTGATTCCCATCAATTTTCCCCTATCATGTTTAATAGTACCAACACATTATTTCTCTTAGAAAAACATGTTTCTAGTTTAGGTTCTTAATGTAGCCTATTTTTAAAATATCTCAAAGTTTGCCATACAGTCTTTATTTCTTATTTCTTAAAATATTTTCTACATTTTGATACAACTAACCTTTCTAAAGCATAAATATCTCACTTTGTCACTTGTCTGCCCCAAAAAAAACATAAAAATATCTTCTTGGTCTAGAAAGTAAAATTATAATGCTTGGCACAATGTAGACAGAAATAGAAATTCCCATTTATCCTTTTTCTCCTTTGCCCCCACACTTTTCTTCCATGTTCACATCAGTACCTAATGTCCCAGACATATGGAATTCATTGTTTCATGAATAGAGCCAACACATTCTAACTACCATGCATTTAGTCAAACCATCTGGCCACCTGGAATTTCCTACCATCCCCCATAAAATTTAAATTAAAAAATTCCACTGTTCTGTCCTCTCTGAAGATGTCCCTGAACCCTTATTGAAACTCATTGACATATCCTTTGGTTCCCGCAGCCTTTATTGTATATGTCATAATTTAGCACATACATTACTCTGCCATACATTTTAGTAAGTTAATGACCTGTCTCTTTTCACTGATAAAACAGTGTCAGGATTTTTTCATTTTTGTATTCCCTACTGGTCCACAGAGTGGTATGAACATATAATTTGCTAAGTTAATTTTAAATTGACTTAAACTTACTGGTAACTTCACCAATTAACTGTTCTTTTCCAGTATTACCCTTAGAAATGTCCTTGCCTTGATATATTTTATGTTCTAAAAAATTAATTTCATTTTAAGAATCACATCCTCCAAAACAAAAGAAACAAAAGCTCCCATACAATTCTAATGCTAGTTATAGGTAACATTAAAAAATGGCATACCAACTGTAAAAAACAAAAACAAAACAAACAAAAACAAACAAACAAACAAAACAATTCCCATGAAAGCCAGAGGCAAACAATGCAAATTTTAATGTCAATATTGTCATTTTTTCCTAGGTTAGGGGACAATATAACCACATTTATAAACTTGTTCTTTTTGTCTCTCCTCATGTTGACCTCACACATAGCATATTATGCCATTAAAACAACAAAAAAAGGAGAAAATGCTATATTGAAATCCAGTATTTTCTTACAACAATTCCTTACTGTGAATTGTGAATGAAAATTAAATTCTTTAATCACTAGGAAAGACTCTGAGTGTGCGAGTGTTTCTTTCAGCTGATATAAACATTGATAAGATCAAAGCTTGCTCTACATTATCTGTCTTACCAGGTCTTGACTGAATCTCAGAACAAAATCCTGTAGTTTCTCTTTATTTCAGATAAACCTTTGATCTTTTAAAAATATAGGCACAGCTGGGCACAGTGGCTCAGGCCTGTAATCTCAGCAGTTTGGGAGGCCGAGGTGGGCAGATAACGAGGTCTAGATATCGAGACCATCCTGGCCAACATGGTGAAACTCTGTCTCTACTAAAAATACAAAAATTAGCTGGGCGTGGTGGTGCACACTTGTAGTTCCAGCTACTCAGGAGGCTGAGGCAGGAGAATCGCTTGAACCTAGGAGGCTGAGGTTGCAGTGAGATGAGAACGTGCCATTGCACTCCAGCCTGGGCGACCAAGTGAAATTCCATCTCAAAAATAAAAAGATAAATAGGCACATCTGGCTAAGGAAATGGCAAAAAGGCAAAAAGATGCACAAAAAAAGTTAGCCACTACTTGCATTGAAAATGGGTTTAAGTTTAAGGTTTTGGCAAGTGTTTGAGAAAAATATGAATTAAGCTCATTTTCTGTGAAGACAAGTCTCTAGGCGTTTAGTTTTGGTTAAGTTAAATACTTAAATCTATTTAAAATTTTAAAGACCTTAGTAATGTAAACAAATGGTGTTGAGTTTGGACTTCTCTACAATATCTATGTGGAATCTTAGGAAAGGAAGAATGAAAGGATACAATACATTTTAAATGGTAGTTCAGCCTAAATCCTAAGCATAAGCATAATACACTGCTGCATTTTTTTTTTGACAGAGCCTAACTCTGTCCCCCAGACTGAAGTGCAGTGGTGCCATCTTGACTCACTGCAACCCCAGTCTCCTAGATTCAAGCTATTCTCCTGCCTCAGCCTCCCATGTATCTGGAATCACAGGCAGACACCAGCCACGCCCAGCTTGTTTTTTGTTTTTATGTTTTTTCTTTTTTTAGAGACAGAGTCTTGCTCTGTCACCCAGGCTGGAATACAATGGCACAACCTCGGCTCACTGCAACCTCCGCTTCCCATGTTCAAGTGATTCTCCTGCCTCAGCCTCCTGAGTAGTTGGGATTACAGGCACACGCCACCATGCCCGGCTATCCGCCTCCCAGGTTCAAGCAATTCTTCTGCCTCAGCCTCTTGAGTAGCTGGGATTACAGGCATGTGCCACCATGCCTGGCTAATTTTTGTATTTTTAGTAGAGACAGGGTTTCACCATGTTGGTCAGGCTGGTCTCGAACTCCTGACCTTCTGATCCACCCGCCTCAGCCTCCCAAAGTGCTGGAATAACAGGCGTGAGCCACCATGCCCAGCCCATTTTTTGTATTTTTAATAGAGGTGAGGTTTCACCATGTTGACCGGGCTGATCTCGAACTCCTGACCTCAAGTGATCTGCCTGCCTCCACCTGCCAAAATGCTGGGATTACAGACAAGAGCCACTATGCCTAGCCAATATGTTACTTTTAAAAAATAAGTTATTCGTTTTAGTTTTCTTCTGTTGCTAACGATCATTTCTATTTTGTAGAGAAAAGGAAGAGGGATCAGACTGTTACTGTGTCTATGTAGAAAGGGAAGACATAATAAATTCCATTTTGACCTGTACCTTGAACAATTGCTTTGTGTCCTGAGATTCTGTTAATCTGTAACTTTGCCCCAATCACTTTGCCCCAACCTCTTTGCCCCAACCTTGAGCTCACAAAAACATGTATGGAATCAAGGTTTAAGGGATCTAGGGCTGTGCCTTGTTAACAAAAGTTTTACAAGCAGTATGCTTGGTAAAAGTCTGCCATTCTCTAGTCTCGATAAACCAAGGGCACAATGCACTGCGGAAAATGGCAGGGACTTCTGCCCTGGAAAGCCGGGTATTGTCCAAGGTTTCTCCCCATGTGATAGTCTGAAATATGCCTCATGGGATGAGAAAGACCTGATCACCCCCCAGCCCAACACCCATAAACGGTCTGTGCTGAGGTGGATTAGTAAAAGAGGAAAGCCTCTTGCAGTTGAGATAGAGGAAGGCCACTGTCTCCTGCCTGCTCCTGGGAGCGGACTGTCTCGGTATAAAACCTGATTTTATATTTGTTCAATTCTGAGATAGGAGAAAAACCACCCTATGGTGGGAGGCAAGACACGTTGGCAGCAATGCTGCTTTATTGTTCTTTACTCCACTGAGATGTTTGTGCAGAGAGAAACATAAATCTGGCCTACGTGCACATCCAGGCATAGTACCTCCCCTTGAACTTAATTATGACACAGATTCTTCTGCTCACATGTTTTTTTGCTGACCTTCTCCCTATTATCACCCTGCTCTCCTACCGCATTCCTCTTGCTGAGATAATGAAAATAATAATCAATAAAAACTGAGGGAACTCAGAGGCCGGTGCCGGTGCAGGTGCTTGGTATGCTGAGCGCCGGTCCCCTGGGCCCACATTTCTTTCTCTATACTTTGACTCTGTGTCTTATTTCTTTTCTCAGTCTCTCATCCCACCTGACTAGAAGTACCCACAGGTGTGGAGGGGCTGGCCATCCCTTCATATTTTCACTTAATTTACTCTGAATCCATGCCACTTTTGCATTTGAGGCTAATGTTTGTATTGAAGGAAAGGATAGCAAGTCAATTTACAATTGGATTTTTTCAATGTATAGAGTTACATGTTTACTAAAAGGAGTAGCCCTTAATTCTTTTTAAAAAGCCCATAGCAAGCAAGATGATTAACAATTTTTATATGAACAAATGTCTTACAATATTTTAAACATCTAGAGAACTCTGATACCGTCTTCACTTACTGACAATGGCATATTATCAATTCACTTTTCCAAAGAGATAGAAGTTACTTCTTTTGACTTAGATCTGACTTCTTAAACTGTCAAATGAAGTATCTGAGTATAACTCACCACCTACAACTTGGTATTTAGCCTCCTCTCTTCATTTGCTTTGTATTATATGTACTGTAGCCCTTACTTTAATATTTCTATATCTTACACATCTTTCTCTCTTAAAAATGTGCTTTCATTTAGATGAGAAATACAATTTTAAGGGAGAAGTTGACTCATGCCTAGTTCTGTATTTTTTTTTAATTGGTGGTCTATCCTGAGGAAATTAATGTCGCCCTACTGGGTATGATGCTGTCCCTCTGGAGAGATTCCTGCAAGTTATGACCACTGGGGATTTTATAGGTGTCCACATTAAGCCTTTCACTGAGAGTAGAGATTAACTTGCAGTTGCCTCTCTGACACAAGTATATCTAAGAAATCAACATAATCTTTCAAAACCCTTCCAGCTAATACTAGTTTGTAGCCACTATTAGTATAGTGGTTCTAAGTTTGTTCCAGGGTCTCAAAGCCTTAAATAATTTCATGATTATACTCAGTTATAACTCAGTAGCTGAGTTATACTCAGCTACTTCATTTGACAGTTTAAGAAGTCAGATCTAAGTCAAAAGAAGTAACTTCTATCTCTTTGGAAAAGTGAATTGATAATATGCCATTGTCAATAAGTGAAGATGGTAGCAGTGTTCTCTAGATGTTTAAATGTCTAGATGCAAATGTCAACATATAATGCTTACAAGGACATAACTGGGTGTTTCACACTATTATTTTAGTTTTAACCCACTTGATCCATCAATTTATCTGTCATAGAACAAATGAAAGGCCCCTTTAGAGAAGTCTCAGAATAAAAAATAGGCCTAGTTATGTTCGTTGGGAGAGAAGTAAACAAAGCATGGGTTTACATTTTCTGTCTATAAGAAATTGTCATTGTAGCTGTTGTTTGTTTCAAAATCTATGTACAGTTCTGACCCACCAACTGACAATGGCTGCCTGACTCTAACACTCTGGTGTGTTATTGTAAATTCCCTGAGTCTTCTTTATAGCAAGAGAAAAAATCAGGACATTCTGAAAGTAATACACTGTGGATATGTACGTGGCCAGAGTATAATTTTCTCTGCTTAATAATAAAACTTAATAATGAGCTTAATAATAAAACTCACATACAAATACAAAATAAACCTGTGTCAAAATTTATTTCACTTATTCCTGAAGAAATCAGTAGGTGGGAAAGCTGGTTCCAAGAACGAGTTAAAAAAAATTACAGATTTTCTTTCCCCAAAAACAAGAAATGTTAGAATAAGACAACTATGTTAGAAGCAAAACTGGGCCGGGAGCGCTGGCTCACACCTGTAATCCCAGCACTTTGGGAGGCTGAGGCGGGCGGATCACGAGGTCAGAAAATCGAGACCATCCTGACTAACATGGTGAAATCCGGTCTCTACTAAAAATACAAAACCAAAATTAGCCGGGCGTGGTGGCCTGTAGTCCCAGCTACTCAGGATGCTGAGGTAGGAGAATGGCGTGAACCCAGGAGGCAGAGCTTGCAGTGATCCCAGATTGCGCCACTGCACTCCAGCCTGGGCGACAGAGTGAAACTCCATCTCAAAAAAAAAAAAAAAAAAAAAAAAAAAGAAGCAAAATTGATTAATAACAACAAATAGTACTGGGTAAACTGGATATCCACAGGCAAAATATAAAGTTTGGGCCCTTAACTTACATAATATACAAAAATAAGCTAAAATAGATCAAAGACTTAAAAGTAACAACTACAACCCTTAAACTCTTAGAAAAAAAAACATAGGAGAAAATATTCTTTATGTTAGATTTAACAATGATTTCTTAGATATGATATCAAAGGTACAGGGAATGAAAAAAATAACAAAAAAATTAGTTTCATCAAAAGTAAAAGTTCTGTGCATTAAAAGTCACCGTTGACCAGGTGTGATGGCTCACGCCTGTAATCCCAACACTTTGGGAGGCGGAGGCAGGTGGATCACAAGGTCAGGAATTTGAGACCAGCCTGGCCAATATGGTGAATCCCCATTTCCACTAAAAATACAAAAATTAGCTGGGCATGGTGGTGTGCACCTGTAATCCCAGCTACTTGGGAGGCTGAGGCAAAAGAATCACTTGAACCTGGGAGGTGGAGGTTGCAGTGAGCTGAGATTGTGCCACTGCACTCCAGCCTGGGCGACAGAGGGAGACTCCATCTCAAAAAAAAAAAAGCCACCCTCAAGACAGTGGAACAACAGCTCAACGAATGGGAGAAGATGTCTGCAAATCACATATGTGATATGACATCAGTATATGTGGATATAATATGTATAATAGAATAAAGAACTCCAGCAACTCAACAATAATAAATGGTTCAATTTGTTAAATAGGCAAAGGACTTGAATAGATAATTATCTAAAGAAGATATACGAATGGCCAACAAGCACATGAAAAGAGGCTCAATATCACTAGCATTAGAAAAACACAAATGAAAATAATGATGAGATATAATTTCACACCTATTAGGATGATTACAAAAAAGAAACTCCAGAAAATAACAAGGGTTAGTGAGGATTCAGAGTCAATGGGAACCCTTGTGCATTGCTGGTGGGAATGTAAAATGGTGTAGCTTCTGTGGACAACAGTTAGGTGGCTCCTCAAAGGTTAAACATAGAACTACTATATGATCCAGCAATTCTATGCCTATATACATGCCCAAAGTAATTGCGAATAGAGACTCCAACAGATATTAACCACCAATGTTCACAGTACCATGATTTACAGTAACCAAAAGCAGGAAGCAACTCAAAGGTTCATCAATAAATGAATGAATAAACAAAATACAACATATTCACATAATGGAAACTTATTCAGCCTTATTAAGGAATGAAATTCTAATATACACTACAGAACTTCAATGACTACAACATATGTAAACTTTGAAAACATTATGCTTAGTGAAATAAGCCAGATGCAAAAGGATAAATATTGCTTGAAGTACTTAGAATAAGCAAATCACAGAGACAGAATAATCATTACCAGGGACTAGTGTGGGTGAGAAGTTATTGTTTAATGGGTACAGAGCTTCTATATGGGATGATTAAAGAGTTCTGGAAATGGACAGTGGTAAAGGTTGTGCAATTTGGTGAATGTAATGCCCTCTGAACTGTTCATTTAAAATTCATTAAAGTGACAAATTTTACAGTATGTGTATTTTACCATAATTTAAAAAAGAAAAATAAAGAAAAAATATGTATTCCCAATTGCACTGTATTTTTGGTTATTAAGCAAAAAATTTAAACTTTATTAAACTTATTAGAAAAAGGGAATTGGAAATGTGATATAATGCAGTAATTCACAAAAATGCATACAGTAAATGCACTCAAGAGCAGTTTTTCTGATGCTTGATGAACTCCTATCAGTTGTGAATTAAAACTGATTAATATCCTTCATGGAAACAGATCCATAAGGTCTGGCATTGTCTTTTTCTACTAGAGAGAAACCTAGAAGTTATCACATAATTGCATAGCGTCTAGGATCAAATCAACTAATACATAGCCAAATCAAAAGAAAATGAAGTAATCTTTGGGTTGGCCTTTTAGATGATAGCTTTTAATAATGTAATATTACACTAAATATACATGTGTTATGTCAGAGTTTTAGATACTTTTCCTTAGCAGTCCCCTATCACAAATATGTCCTCTGTTAGTGCTAATCCATAACTAACTCAGTTCCTTATTTTCATGTCAATAATCTTCAAGTGTTATTCTCTTTTTTATTTATTTATTTTTTTTTTTGAGACAGAGTCTGGCTCGGTCTCCCAGGCTGGAGTACAGTGGTATGATCTCGGCTCACTGCAGGCTCTGCCTCTGGGTTCACGCCATTCTGCTGCCTCAGCCTCTGGAGTAGCTGGGACTACAGGCGCCCGCCACCATGCCTGGGTAACTTTTTGTATTTTTAGTAGAGACGGGGTTTCACCATGTTAGCCAGGATGGTCTCGATCTCCTGACCGCGTGATCCGCCCGCCTCAGCCTCCCAAAATGCTGGGATTACAGGCGTGAGCCACCGGCTCGGCCTCCAAGTGTTATTCTTAATCAAAAAAAGAAAAAGTTTATCTGACTATAGTTGACCCTGATTATTTATGTAGCTTCAGAAAGAGGAGTTAAACACATAGGTGAAGTCTTCCCTCCACCAGGTTTTAAAATGTAAGATTCATGGCCTTCTGAAAACACTCCCTTACCAATGTGAGGCTGGAACCATAGAACAGGTGGAGGAGTTAGTAGGTATTGGCTCAACATTTAAAGTACAATCTTGTTCCTTAATAGGTATTTTCATACCTTATAAACACATGTATGGCCTTGGATGTCCAATTAAATCCCAAGAGAAAAGGACAGATTCTTGATGAAACTATGCAAATAATAAGAAAGCAAGTAAAAAGGGCTCCTCAGCAGAACCTCCGACCAGCTTGCACACTGACAGGAGTGCACAATGAGGTGGTGCCTCGGGAAGTTTGCAGCAGGGAGGAGCCTGGCCTCTTCTGTTCCAGGGCGGAGGCTGGGATTCAATCTATGAGGCAGGAAGCTGGGAAGCAGGACTCACTTTACTGACAGTCTCTGTTTCCCCTTTTTTCCCTTTCGCCCAATAAATTCCATTTTTCTCACCCTTCAAAGCATCTGTGAGCCTAATATTTCATGGCTGTGTGACAAGAACGCAGCTTTTAGCTGAACTAAGGAGAAAGTCCTACAATAATAATATGTTGACCTACAAGCATGGAGAGTCAGTACAAATATATTGTTCTGAATTCTCAGAGAAAAATAGAAATTAGACAGTGTTTGAATGATGTATTTCACTTACCAGGTGTAGTATATAAAATTGAGGATCAGAGCTAGAAAAAGAAACTGTAATTAATACTCCTTCTACTGGATGTTGAGTCAGTTTTTTGCTTTGATAAAATTATCTACCAATGAGGCAAAAAGATAAATCCTTAAAACAATGTGATTTAAAAGTAAGTTATTATGCTCAGTACTTTATAGGAGAACATTCAAGTAAGTGTCAGAGGAAAACAAAAACCACCTAGAGATGCAACTAAATGGCTGTTTAATTTATATAGTAAACAATAATATAAAAATGGAGAAGAATAAAATTCTGCATTAAGTTCAATACTATCTCATAAAGACTTGACCAATGTTTCACCTGGGGGCATATACCTCTCCAATTTCCTATTACAATCTCTAATCTATGAGTTAAATGTCTACAGTTCCTAAACCATTCACCTCTTTTTTTTTTTTTTTTTTTTTTTTGAGACAGAGTATCCCTGTGTCACCAGGCTGGAGTGCAGTGGTGCCATCTTGGCTCACTGCAACCTCTGCCTCCTGGGTTCAAGTGATTCTCCTGCCTCAACCTCCTGAATAGATGAGACTACAGGCATGCACCACGATGCCCAGCTAGTTTTTGTATTTTTAGTAGAGATGGGGTTTCACTATGTTGGCCATGATGGTCTCGATCTCTTGACCTCCTGATCTGCCCACCTCAGCCTCCCAAAGTGCTGGAATTACAGGCGTGGGCCACCGCACCCCGACACCATTCATCTTAATATGTAAGATTATGTAAAATGAACTGAGAAGGCTGAGCCCTTTAGAATTGACCTCATGCAACTCACGCAGATGTGTAGAACTAATGAAGAAATATGGGGCACACCAAAGAAGCCCAATTTATTTTAGTCTCACTCATGTTATAAGGCAACAATTGTCACAGTTTTTCTAGAGGTCACCTAGGAAATCTAAAAAATACTTATTTTTCCCTAAAAATCAGAAAACATTTACTTTTTGGAATTTAAGATATAATTTCAGATGGGCAAAAATTAAGTGTTATCAGAGGAGATTTGGTCACTGTGATAAAGATAGGAATACAGGTGCAGAGAAGAAAATGGGGGCAATAATCCCAATAACAATATAATATTCTAAAATAAGCATAGAAAAAGATATCATAATTGTTAGAAAATGTATCCCTTTCATAATTAATTATGATGTACAAATGTTTTTTTCTTATTTTTCTTTTTAGCTACATTGAAGTAAGATTGATAAATAAAAATTGTACATATTTAAGTTATATAATATGATGTGATGTGTGTATACATTGTGAAGTAATAGCCACTGTCAAATAACATTTTCATCAACTTACAAAGTTACACTTTCTCTGTGTGTGTCTATGTGTGCTTGTATGGAAATACGTAAGACCTACCCTGTTAGCAAAATTCAAGTATACAATGCATTCTTATCAGCTGTAGCTACTATGCTATATATGTTAGGTATCCAGAATTTATTCATCTTTTAACTAAAAGCATCTCCCCCTTTTTCCTACCTTCTAATCCCTAGCATCTAATGAGTTTAAATTTTTTAGATTTCACAGATAAGTGAGATTATGCAGTATATTTGTCTTTCTGTGTCTCACTTATTTTACTTAGCAATATGTTCTCTCAGTCCATCAATGCTATCACAAATTTTAGGATTTCCTTCTTTTCTAAGGATGAATAATATTCCATTGTATGTATATGCCACATTTTCTTTATCCACTAATCTGTAATAAAGGCTATTATTCAAAATACACAAGAAACCCTTCAAATTTCACAAGAAAGCAAACAATTCAGTTAAAAATGGGGAAACAATATAAATGGATAAGTCACCAAAGGAAATATAAAAATGGCAAATAAGTATTTGAAAATATATTCAACAGCATATGACTTTAGGGGGATAAAGCAATTCTATATATTGAAATTTCCTTTAACAAAGAAAGCAAATAGAAAACTTTCTCAGAAAAACAAAATTTAAGTGATTGTCAGCTGACCTGTCTTGCAAGAAATACTAAAGGAAGTTCTTCAAGGGGAGAGAAAATGATGCAAGTGAGAAATTCAGATACACAATAAAGAAGAAATAAATGAAAAAGAATAAATTAAAGTTAAAAACTTTTTTTATTCTTATTGATCCATAACTGTTTAGTAACAAAAAATGGGTAATTATAGAATGTGGAGAGATGAAATGAACAATAGCAATGTCATAAGGTACAGGAGGTACAATCTGGTAGTATTTTTATGGGATACCTACACTACATGTGAAGTAACAATTTTATTTGAAGACAGACATAAAATGTATATAATCAATTCTACTTAATTTAAAGATAGACTTAAAATGCATATAATCAATTCTAAGATAACCACCACAAGTTTTTAAAAGAAGTGATGAGATCACATCTCATGAGGTGATGAGATACACCAAGAGCTGAGATAAAAATACAATCATAGAAGATGCTCAATTAAAATAAGAGGAGGCAGGCCAGGCACGGTGGCTCATGCCAGTAATCCCAGCACTTTGGGATGCCAAGGTGGGTGGACCACCTGAGGCCAGCCTGACCAACATGATGAAACACGTCTCTATTAAAAATATGAAAGTTAGCCTGGTGTTGTGGCACACATCTGTAATCCCAGCTACTCTGGGCTGAGGTGGGAGGATCACTTTAACCTGGGATGTGGAGGTTGCAGTGTGCCAAGACCACCACTGCACTCCAGCCTGGGTGACAGAGTGAGGGTCTATCTCAAAATAAAATAAAATGAAATAAAAATAAATGAATATAATTAATGTTTATATTCTACTTCAACAAAAGTAGAATACACATTCTTCTCCAGTTTGTACAAGACACACTGCATTATGGGCCATAAATGTCTTAAAATTTTTCAAAGAATAAAGTTCATACAAAGTACACACTCAGACCACAATAAAAATTAAAGTAGAAATAAATAGCAGGAAGAGCTGAAAAATTTTTCAAATATTTGAAGACTTAAAAAACATCTAAATGCATCCCAAAAGAAGACTAAAGAGTAACTAAAATATTTAGAATTAAAAGGAAATGGAATCACAACTTATTAAAATATATGAGATACAGTAGAACTAGTACCTAAATTTATAGCATTAAATGCATATTATTATGAAAAAGGAAATAAAAACAATAACCTAAGCTTCTGCCTTAAGAAACTAGAAAAAGAAAATCCAAAGTAAGTAACAAGGGAAAAAATATATAAAGTATAGCAGATATCAGTAAAATAGAAAACAGGAAATCAATAGAGAAAATCAATGAAACAGAAAGCTGTTTCTTTGAAAAGATCCATAAACTTGCTAACATTTAGACAAACTAATAAAGAAAAAAAGAGAGAATGCACAACTTACAAATATTGGAAGTGAAAGAGGGATATGGGTTATGACTCCTGATTTTGTGGACATTAAAAGGATAATATATTTACTATATTAAAACTCTATACTCACAAGTTGAATAACCTATATAAAATGGACAAATACCTTGAAAGACACAATATGCCAATACTCACAAAAGAAAAAATAAATAACATGAGTACTCTTACATCTATAAAAGGAATTGAATAAATAGTTAATAACTCGCCCCCCCACCAATGGTTCCAGGCCCGAATGTCTTTAGTGGTGAGTTCTATCAAGCATTTAAAGGAGAAATTATACCAATTTTCCACAGACTTTTCAAGAAAATGGAATTAGAGAGAACACTTCCTAATTCATTCTATGAGGTAAATATTACCCTCTTACCAAATCCAATAGGCATAACATGAAATAAAATCAATATATCAATATCTCTCATGAACAAAGATTCAATAATCCTTCACAAAATACTAGACAATTGAATCTAACTATGTATTTATTCTAGGTAAGACTGTATGCAAGACTGATTCAATATTAGAAAATTATCTGCAGAATTTCCTAAATCAACAGGTTAAGGAAGAAAAATCATGTGACTGTATCAACCGATGTAGAAAAAGCTTATGGCAAAATCTATCACCCATCTATAATTTGAGAAACTCTCAGAAAACTAGGAATTGAGGTGAATTTTCTTAACTTGAAAAAGAACATCTACAAAAACCCTGGAACTATCATACTTAATGATGAGAAATGGGATGCTTTTTCCCAAAAACCAGGAGCAAGAAGAATTTTGTTTTTTGTTTTTTTTCTTTCACTGCTTGCAAAATGAAACCAACACTTTGGAAGACAGATGGGCAATTTCTTATGCCCATAGTTGCTATACTACATGTAAAAAAAAGTCTTAAATATAATATAGCAATTGTGGTTTTTTGTTTGTTTTGAGATGGAATCTTGCTCTGTCACCCAGGCTGGAGTGCAGTGGTGCAATAGAAGGATACTGCAACCTCCACCTCCTGGGTTCAAACAATTCTCCTGCCTCAGCCTCCAGAGTAGCTGGGAATACAGGCACCTACCACCATGCTCGGCTATTTTTTTTTTTTTTTTTTTTTTAATTTTACTAGAGTCAGTATAACCTGCTGATTTGGGAAATTTTACCATGTGGCCCAGGCTGGTGTCCAACTCCTGAGCTCAGGCAATGCGATCGCATCGGCCTCCCAAAGTGCTAGGATTACAGGCGTGAGCCATCGTGCCTGGCTGCAAATGTGTTTTTAGGTGTTTATCCACCTTATTTGAAAACTATGTCCACACCAAAACTGGTACATGAATATATATATATAGCAGTTTGTTTATAATTCCCGAAACTGGAAGAAACCAAGAGGTCTCATAATTGATGAATGGAAAAAAAAAACAACAAAAAACACTGTGATACATCATATAAAGGAATATTACTTCCTAAAAAAGTAAATGATCTGGCAAAAGATTCAGTGAGGAGGTTTAATAGGTGAAGCACATGGGCATTATTTGGACCAGTCAAAGTATTCTGTATGATACCACAACTGTGGAAACATGAGAGTATGCATTTGCGTTTGTTTTTTTTTGTTTTGTTTTTTGAGATGGAGTCTGCTCTGTCGCCCAGGCTGGAGTGCAGTGGCACGATCTCGGCTCACTGCAAGCTAGGCAACCCGGGTTCACGCCATTCTCCCGCCTCAGCCTCCCGAGTAGCTGGGACTACAGGCGCCTGCCACCACGCCCGGCTAATTTTGTTTTTGTATTTTTAGTAGAGACGGGGTTTCACCATGTAGCCAGGATGATCTCCATCTCCTGACCTCGTGATCTGCCCGCCTCGGCCTCCCAAAGTGCTGGGATTAGAGGCGTGAGCCACTGCACGCGGCCTGCATTTGTTAAAAAACAAAGAATCTCACAGCACAAAGAGTGTCACTTAATATATGCAAATTTTAAAACAACAACAACAACAACAAAGTAGGTGTTCTGGGGATCCTGGGATGGAATGCAGAAAGTGATAAAAAATCTAAAGTACTACAAATGTATAAAGCCACTTCACTCTAGGGAGTGGGAAAAACGTGCTGACATAAGCATCTTAGAAAATGGATGGGCCTTCTGTGGTGGCTCACACCTGTAATCCCAGCACTTTAGGAGGTCAAGGTGGGCGGATCACCTGAGGCTGGGAGTTTGAGACTAGCCTGGCAAAAATGGTGAAACCCCGTCTCTACTAAAAAGACAAAAATTAGCTGGGCATGATGGCAGGTGCCTGTAATCCCAGCTATGCAGGAGGCTGAGGCAGGAGAATTGCTTGAACCTGGGAGGTAGAGGTTGCAGTGAGCCGAGATCATGCCACTGCACTCCAGCCTCAGCCTGGGCAAGAAGAGCAAAACTCCATCTCAAAAAAAAAAAAAAAAAAAAAAAAAAGAAAGAAACAAAATGCATGAAGACTGAAAGGAAGAGAAACTGCAAACAACTCATGTGATCTGGTTGGTATAGCTGTTTCCTACAGGAAATGGGATAATGATTCTGATATTGATAGAGAATAAATGTATATTGGAACTAGACAGTTAAGCAAATGGATGACAAATGACAGGAGTCTAGTTTCTCACTATTAAAGTGGTAGGTTACATGTAAGCAAAGGGAGAAGGCCAGAATGATCATGTGATAAAAGAATTGAGTCGTAGACATCAGTATGAACTAACACTTACACACATTACATTTAGAAATATTTATAGTTATGTCTATACACAGCTTTGTATACACACATTTATTTATTTGCTCTGTAAGCTAAGACAGTCTAGAACCAATGATATCCCAGCAGAAATGAGCACATCTAACACTCAAGTCTTCAATTCTTGGGTTTTTGTTCATGACCCGGGATCCAGGAGTTGGGCCCTGGGGCTGGGCATTGTGTAGCCTCCGGGGTGGTGCTGAGCATCCATTCCCACTCTCCTGCAGCTGAGGACCCATCCCTTGACTTGGGCCCCCTGGAGGCAAGAACATGGTCACCCACTTTAATCACATGGTCCCTATCACATAATCAGAGGGTGCTGTGGGTTTTAACTCTTCAAGCTTGATGTGTAAAGAATTCGACATAAATATGATATAGTGACTAGAAGTATTTTATTTATTTATTTTGAGAGAGAGAGTCTCTGTTGCCCAGGCTTGGAGTGCAGCGGCACAAACAATCAAACAATAACCAAAATCCAGAAGACTGAAAAAGTCAAATGCTGTCAAGGATGTGGAGCAACAGGACCTCTCATTCCTTGTTTGTGGCACAATCAGTTTACTGTACCCACGAACTCCAGGGTGCAAGTGATCCTCCCACAATCTATCTCCCAAGTAGCTGGGGCCACAGACATGCACCACCATGCCTGGCTGATTGGTTTTATTTTTACAGAGATGAACGTTCTCTGTGTTGTCTAAGCTGGTCTCAAACTCCCGGGATCAAGCGATCCTCCTATCTCGGTCTCCCAAAGTGCTGTAAGTACAGGCATGAGGTCCTGCACCCAGCCTGGAAGTCTTTATAGATAAGTTCAATTTAACTGTTTCTCCATCTGCTCTACTCAGCCAAGTTTCCCTCTCAGTCCAAGGGAGAGAACTGCAGCTCAGTCCCATCCAGGATGGCTGCAGATTACCCAGCGCCACCGCCATACTCCAGATGCTGCTCAACGAGGAAGGGATCCTGAGGCCTGGCAGCTGGCGCTCTCAGCAACCTTGAAGCCCTCTAAACGGGACGGGCCATCCGTGCCTGTCAGAACTGTAGCCACTACCTGCACTTGGCACACAGGCAAATACGGCCAAGCAACCCCAAACTCCCCTCTTCCCCTCTGGGCCCAGGCAGCGCTGAACCTGCCACTCAGCTCCATCCTGGCGACTGCACAGTCCCCAGAGCCTGCAAACCAGCACTCAGGGCGCGAGCCAAGGAAGAGCAGGGCCTAGAGTGGGAGGGCGTGTGCCACTCAGTGACCCTCAGACCATCGGGCCCAGCCCTGCAGCTTCTACCATGGGCTCAGCTGCAGCTGGCATTTGAAGGTGGCAACAGCAGTGGCAACCCCAGAACATGTCCGCCCCACCAGCAGGCGAACCCCAGGGTCGGACAACGCCACTGCACCTAAGTCAGGCAGTGGGACCTCAGTTGCAGGAGGGTGGGAACCTGCCGCAAAGCCTCATGGCCGCAGCTGTACAGGGCCCAGTGGTGGCGAGCCTGCACTGCCAGTGCGAGCTGAGGAAGAGCAGAGCCCCGGGTGGAAGGGCGATGTACTCGGCAATGCTCAGTGGTCTGGGCCCAGCTCTGTAGCCTCTACCATGGGCTCAGCTGCAGCTGCCACCTGGCAGCAGAGGCTGCAACCCCGACCCTGCCAGCGCCACCAGCAGCATGGATACTTGGGCCAGAAGCCTCCAGGGCGCCTAAGTCAGTGGTTGGGTCCCTGGCTGCAGGAGGGCGGGAACCGACGCTCAGCGCCACCACAGAGGCTGCACGATGCCCAGCACCAGGGCCCAGCTCCTGGATCTCAGGTTGAGGAGGGGCCAGGGGCGGCTCTGTCAAGCAGGCCGTGTGGCAGGGAGCCCCCCACGTTCCGCTCCAGGGAGCCCCGCCAGCCCGACAGCACCTCAGTGGCAGGTGCCACCTGCACGCGGTGCTGGGCGAAGCATAGCCCGGGCGGTTTCCCGCCTCGCCTGTCTCCCCGGTCTGCTGAGTTGCGCATGCTCTGTTGCCTAACGGTTCTGCTCAGCTGCCTAAAGGTTCTGCTCAGCTGCCTAACGGTTCTGCTCAGCTGCCTAATGGTTTTGCGCAGCGATTTTCTCCCAGGAGAGGCTGGAGTGTCCAAAAGCTTGGCCCGACTGAGATTTCTACTGGTGTCAGGGCGGGTGCGGGGACTGAAGAAGGGCGAGGGCGAGCGGCGGGGACTGGGGAAGGGCGAGCAGCGGGAGGTGCGGGCTCTGTCTAGCAGGTGGCTGCAGCCATGGAGAGGCTCTCTGCCGCCGCTGTCAAGGGCCAGACGGGCCCGGAGCGCCGGAGCCCCTTCAGTCAGCTGGTCTACACCAACAATGGCTCTTACGTGATTCACCATGGGGATCTCAGGAAGATCCACAAAGCTGCCTCCCGTGGCCAAGCCTGGAAGCTGGAGAGGATGATGAAGAAGACGACAATGGACCTGAACATAAGAGATGCGAAGAAGAGGTACCAGACCGTGCCTGAGCCGGGGCTGCAGGAGGAGGAGGCGGCTGTGGGAGGATCGCCCCTTCAGAGTGGGGGCTGGGGGTCCTGGGGACGAGGGGAGCAGGTGGAGGAGTGGCGGGCAGCGGGGCGGCTGTCCTGGGCCCCGAGGTCTTGATCTTCTTCCCGGGCAGGCCCCCCAGGCCTTGGATGGGGGCGCCCTGCAGGGTGGAGGGCCCAGGCCACCTTAAAATCAACCTCAAACTTTAGTTAGCTGCTTTCTCCTTCACTTCCACTTCCTCTCACAGAGCACTGTGTAGAGAATTTTAAAGTGATTTAACTTACAAAATTAAGTACATACAGGGTTTTACTTTTAATGTACAGGTTTTAAAAGATAACGTTAGATACATTATGAAATGGTGCATAATGAAATAATTCCCATAATATATTAACTTCTTGGCTAAAAATTTTTTGGATAAAGTCCAGTATCCATTTCAATATCAATGAATGTCTATGTAAATATAATCTTTGCTGAGGGACCTTAGAAGGTAACTTTGAGGTGGGAAGATGGTTTATGTTTTCGAATTTAAGAAGACTCATTTTTCTCAAGATGCAAGTTCTTTATCAGTTTTACATAAACCAAATAAAATCATCAACATTTTAACATTTTTAAAATTACACACTCTGTCTTTTACTACTGTGATGACATTTAAAAATTTTTCTAACGGAGTAGAAAAGTCTTGCTCTTCTAGATTTCAAAATGTGCTATTAATTTGCACAAAATGGGCCACGGCCAGGCACGGTGGATCATGCCTGTAATCCCAGCACTTTGGGAGGCCGAGGTGGGTGGATCACGAGGTCAGGAGATCAAGACCATCCTGGCTAACACGGTCTCTACTAAAAATACAAAAAATTAGCCGGGCATGGTGGCGGGCACCTGTAGTCCCAGCTACTCGGGAGGCTGAGGCAGGAGAATGGTGTAAACCTGGGAGGCGGAGCTTGGAGTGAGCCGAGATCGCACCACTGCACTCCAGCCTGGGTGACAGAGCGAGATTCCGTCTCAAAATAATAATAAATAAATAAATAAATAAAATTTGAAAAAAGAAAAAAAAAAGTCCAGGCGTGCTGGCTCATGCCTGTGGTCCCAGCACTTCGGGCGGCCGAGGCGGGTGGATCACCTGAGGTCAGGAGTTCAAGACTAGCCTGGCCAATATGGTGAAACCCCGACTCTACAAAAATACAAAAATTAGCCAGGCACGATGTCGGTAGCCTGTAAGCCCATCTACTCGGGAGGCTGAGGAGCGAGAATCGCTTGAAACTGGGAGGTGGAGGTTGCAGTGAGCTGAGATCCCATCACTGCACTCCAGCCTGGGCGACAGAGTGAGACTGTGTCTCAAAAATAAATACATAAATCACAAATTCTTTGATAACAGCTGAAAAGACAGGTAAATGAATACAACAGAGTAGAAAATCCAGAAACACCCGAATATCTAAGAATTTAGAACTTGATAATGCTCACACTTTATACTAGTAGGGAAAGAATAGTTTCATAAGGGAAATGCCTGCTTTTTGAAGAAAACTAGATTTTTATGCCACAAAGTAAATTTCTAACGGAATATAGATTAATTTTTTTAATATACAAAATGATAAAAGCACCAGAAGAAAACATAAATGCCTATTTACACAGGTACATTTTTATGTTGACAACACCTTTCTAAGAAGCTCAGAAGCAAGCAGTCTGAAGGATAATTAAGCAAAACAAAATTAAATTAAACTGTAATGAGAAAAAATAAAAGGCCGCATACTTGTAAAATATTTACTACACATGTATGTGCGTGTGTGTATACATATTAGATTTAAAAATCGTCCTTTTATAGATAATTCACTTAAATCAACAAAAAACCCTCTAATTTAAAATTGAGCAATTTAAATTAGAGATCTAAATTGCAGGTCTAAAAATAGTACTTTGCTTCTAATTTAAAATTGGAAAAGTATTTTCTTAAGATCTGCAAGTGACCTATGCACACAGAAAACAATATTTAGTGTTCCTGGTTACAGAAGGCATTTAAGTTAAAAGAGGAATCAAACACTGCTTTCTATCTACAAAGTTTATGAGGAAAAAGAGCAGTGATATTTACACTGCTGTTTAAAGTTTAAGTTGCAGATAACTTTTCAAATAGACAATTTGGTGGTAAGTACCATATTATTAAGAAGAATCCATATAATGACTTTTATAAATACATTTCAGTGAATTTACAGCATGGGATAATATGTGACCACTGAAGGTAGAAATATGTAGAGAAGTAGGTGACATTTGAAAATGTATTTTGGTGTATCAAGTGAGGGTAAAGTTCAGTTTGATTATACATACACACAGACTACAGTCTTGTGTTATCTGAAATTGTGTATGAAACCTGATAAAATTTGTTATTTGAGGGCATTTGTTTTAATATAAAATGTTTTTCCTTTTTATTATCTTTGATTTCCACATTGAGCATGTACAATGCTATTAGAAAAAGTTTATTATTAATGAAATAATTTTTGGGAAGAGCAGGAATATAATTTTGCACCAATGAAAATAATTTCTCACTTTCCATACTTTAATTTTTATTTTTTGTGGATTAGTATATTCTGTGAACTTTTAGCATCTTCAAAAGACAATCTTTTTACCTGTGCTTGTTGATTTACATATACATCTTATTAGACACATATTTTTATTATATATAGATTTATTACATATATGTCAATAATTATAGATTAATTAGTGTAGTTTTATTATTAAGAAAATAAAATAGAAAATATAAGTGCTTTATTTATAGCAGTTTTTTTAAGGTATTGAACTTCTCAACTGTATTTATCCTTTTAATCAATTTATCACATGTAAGCTGAATGCCTATTATGTAGAAGATACATTAACTCTCAAGATCCTTTCATCCTTAAAAATTTTACATTTACCTGCTCAGCCTTAGCAAAGTGAGAGATTTAAAGTTGGAGTACTAGGACTGAATCTCAATTGAAGCTTTTCCTCTCATCTTTAAAACAAAAACACTTCTGAAGTAAGAAACTAGTAAAACATAACTACCAACCATGATTTTGGAAATTTATAACAGCTTTAAATAGTAATATTAATCATTGGAAATACCTAATTTACATGCATTCTATAAATTTAAATATGAATTTACATACATTCTATAAATCTAAATATGGAATAAAATGATCCATACCTACTTTAATCCCAAGTTTTCTTTGGCTTGAAGTTTTAAAAATATTAAAGAAGTACTTTGTTTTAACAGTTTGTTTTTATTTCAACTCTCCTTTTGTGTAGCACTCTTAAAAGCTAAAATTTCTTTAAGTGTTAATCCTATGACTAGGACTGCCATCATCCTGTTGTATATACCATATGCCACTTCATGGAAGGCACCGTGAATTGTGTGATGCCTCCTTATTTATGTAACAATAAAAGATTGTTTAAATTTCTGCAGAATATACTTGTAACAAATAATGACTTATAAGTGGCATTTCAATGTCAGAGATGTTAAAATATGAGAAATAGAGTATCTTAGAATTATTAAACTACAGGTTTATCTCTAACCTTTAAAACATACCACAAAGTAGGCATAATTGTACCATTTTACTTAAAATGTTTTCTTTGTTAAGTAGTAGAAATAATTACAATATCTAACAATTACTGAGCTGTTACATGTGCTAGGAATTCTTTGAAAAACGTTGCACAGATTCTCATGAGGCATCACAGTGATGTCCTGTGAGATAACTGCTGTATTCATCTTCACTTTATTGATGAGAAAATTGAGGCACAGAAAGGTTAAGTGATAGCTAGAAGGTGAAAGACTTTAAAGTAATATTCAAGCCCATGTTGAACTGAATCAAAGGCCAAGCTCTTTCTATTCAAATAGGCCACTCTTTCATTAATGTAGTGAGTAATAAGAGCGAATGAATGTTGTACTTTCTTCAGGAGAATATTAAATATTTGTTTTGAAGGCAGAGAAAGAGCATGATATTTAATGTTGACAATTACATAAATCATTATATGTTTTGAGACAGTGGACTAAAATTTCCTAAAAAGTCCTCTCACTCTCGTAGGACTGCTCTACACTGGGCCTGTGCCAATGGCCACGCAGAAGTAGTAACACTACTGGTAGATAGAAAACGCCAGGTTGACGTCCTTGATGGTGAAAACAGGACACCTCTGATGAAGGTAAATTGTAGCCAGTTCT
Source organism: Homo sapiens (assembly GCF_000001405.40). Taxonomy (NCBI): domain Eukaryota; kingdom Metazoa; phylum Chordata; class Mammalia; order Primates; family Hominidae; genus Homo; species Homo sapiens. Next base: position 64,884,384 of record NC_000009.12, on the reverse strand, counting down.
TTCAGCAGGAGATGGATTTGGTTTAAATACATAGAATAAAGATGAATTTATCTCATTGAAATATAATTAGTTTGTGAAACCTGTGGAATATTTATTTATATTTCCTATAATTTATAATTTACTTCTTGCTTTAATACTAACAGGCTCTGCAATGCCAGAGGGAGGCTTGTGCAAATATTCTCATAGATTCTGGTGCTGATCCAAATATTGTAGATGTGTATGGCAACACAGCTGTCCATTATGCTGTTTATAGTGAGAACTTGTCAGTGGTGGCAAAATTGCTGTCCTAAGGTGCAGACATCGAAGTGATGAACAAGGTAGACGTTAACCAATGCTATTTTCAAAATATTTGAAATCCATTTGTTTTAACATTAACATATGTAAATTGTTTTATATTTGGAAGCTCAAACATTCCTATTTTTCTATGAAAATAGTTTGACAAAACTTAATTGTCTAGGATTTTGCTTTAAATATTAATATTTTTACAAGAACTATTAGTATGGCTTTTCTGTGCATTATGATAAATATTTGAATTTGTTAAAGGTAAAACATTTTCAAATATTCTTTAGCACCCAAGTTTTTTTTTCTTTCCAGTTAGTGTAAAACTACAGGAAATTAAAATTTGCCTGCATAAATTGAGTCAACATGTAAAATTTCAGAGACATGCAGAAATCTGGATTTCTTCTTAAAGGATTGAATCTGGTGTCTCTTGAGCCCATATGACTGTTTGGTATGCTATGAAGACATTCTAGCTTTACATAAAGCATATGTTTCCAGTTTGCTACTGTGCCCACCTAGTTACATCACTTATTCAACTGACCTCTTTTGCCTCTGTAAATATTTCACTTATCAATTCCTCTCTCATAGTATATTTTGGTAAAGATTTCAAGTTATCAAAGACAGTTTATAGGTGTTTATAATATATAGTTTATATTTTACATTAATTCATTAATAATGGGGTAGTCTTCTAGAATTTAGAATATTTTTTAAATGATTATTTTTCTTCATATAAACCATAAATAATCATCTTCTATTAGAAGGCCTTTAAGCCTTCTTAGATTAATCATGGTTATATTTGAATAGGTTATGCATATTGCAGAAAATATTATATCTTTCTCCGCAGAATTGTCCCTTAAAATTCAAGTTATTTAGTGGCTTCTATTTTGCTAAGCCATATACATGAGTTAGAACTTTCATTAATAAGCCATTTTATTCATGCTTCTGATATTTTGCCAAAAAATAGTATCAATTACAATAGAAACCAGAATAAAAATGGATTATTGCATTTTAAGAAGTAGATATGCATTAGGATCCTAGGAGTATCATTATAATAGAGAATAAAATTTTATACTGAATTTCTTTCCTTTCTTTCTTTTTTTTTTTTTGAGACGGAGCCTTGCTCTGTCACCAGGTCGGAGTGCGGTGGTGTGATCTCGGCTCACTGCAATATTTGCCTCCCTGGTTCAAGCGATTCTCCTGCCTCAGCCTCCTAAGTAGCTGGGATGCAGGCATGTGCCACCATGCCCAGCTAAATTTTTTGTATTTTTAGCAGAGATGGGGTTTCACCATGTTGACCAGAATGGTCTCGATCTCCTGACCTTGTGATCTGCCTGCCTTGGCCTCTCAATGTGCTGGGATTACAGGCATGAACCACCTCACCTGGGCTTTTATACTGAATTTCTAATAGCTGAGATAAAATCCTATTGTCTGGTAATAGGATAAACCCCATGGACCATTTAATAATGAGCAATCAAAGTTTATTTGAAGCCAACCTCTTTTAATTTAGAGCCACTTCCTTATTGACCCATTTAGAGCAGAAGTGCCTGACATTGGCATTTGGAATCTTGGGATCATTGACAGAAGAGAATCAAGTGAGTTTGTATCACCCAGAGGAAACCTCCATTTTTGGGGGGAAGCTTTCAGAACTGCATCCCTGAAATTCTATTTGTCAAATGTTAATGTTTGCCACAAAAATATACTGTCAATAGGGATTAGGTAAAGTTCAATTCATTTCTTGAATAATGAACATTTAATTCACAGTTTTATAACATTTCTTGAACACAGATAATGGTGGAATCTGTTGGGGTACAGTGCTTCTGGTAAGGTAATTATTCTTTGGAATATAGTTGAAGAAACACTGTTCTAGAGGTAATAATTTAGATTACTAACTTAGTAAAAAATAAAATATTTACTACTATGTCTTAGGGTTTAATTATATAGAGGTAAAAGATACAGACCCTGCCCTCAAGAAGCTCTTGGTTTACATGGGAAACAATAAAATCATTACAGTATAATGATTTTTGGAGATAACCAGAGTTGATGTAGTGATGCAGAGGCTGAATGTTTACAAGAGAAGGTGCAGTACTACTATGCCATATACCAGTGAGACATGAGTCTTTTCACCCCTTCCTTTTAGCCTTGGTCGTGATTTACAAAGATAAACACTTGAGCACTCAAGATACTTAACATTTGTTAATACATGTAAATGGTTAATTCTACACTGACAGGCACATATTAAACTGGTTCTGTTCCTAATAATGAAGTTATCTCTTTGTGATTTTAGCACAGCCCTCATGCTTGCCATATGCCATGGATCATCAGAGATAGTTGGCATGGTTCTTCAGCAAAATGTTGACATCTGTGCTGAAGATACGTGTGGAATGATTGCAACGTTATGCTGTTGCTTGTGGGTTTAATCTGTAAGTGTTTACATTTAAAGACTAGGTGAGATTTTATAGTTTGTTTCAGGTAGTTTTTGAATGACAGTGAGTTAGTTCACTTCATCAGCCAGAAACCAGGCAAAAAGCTATACTAGTTAGAAGGAATAATGGCTCCAGGATTCTTTATTTTAGGGCTTTAGGGATGCTAATGTTGTCTACTTGATTTGAAGTATAACCCCTATGCATGGGATAAACATAATGTCACAATTTTGGTTTTTCTAATTAGTTATTTGGGTCTCAAAATGTCCACTTTAAGCAGAAAACCTGACAGTGTCCCCTGGGGGCTGTCTTCCATACCTTCATTCTTGAATCTTTTAAAAGAATCTGAACCTAAGTCCAAGGAAGACATTCTTTTTGTACAAGTCAGAAGGATTGGGGGGTTGGGAAATGGCCATTCTCTTTATTTTGTTGTTTCCATTGATTCTGTTGCTGCATCATTGCCATTGAAACTGCTTCTGCAGTCTGGTAATGATTGACCTTTGTGACCAGGATGCCCTTAGTAACGCAGATCTCTCAGTCTTCATGGTGTAGACTTCGAAGTTATTACATGTTTTTAAAGTTCACGTACATATTCTCAGCCATTGTTTCCAAAGTACCAGCACCCCACTCTGGCAGCTAGAACTTTTAGCTTTAGCCACACACATAGTGAGCAAATTGACCCTTCTTCTCACACTCAAAACCTGACATGAAACCCACATCTTAGCCTGGATATGGCCTAGACCTTCATGGTAAGTTATCCTTTGATTGGCTTTTTTCTATTTTCTCTAGCCAATATTAGTTGTGGTAGTTTGAAACTGTAACTCAGGTTGAAATAATGTTACAGGAAGAAATTAGAGATCCATTTTGTCTTTGTTACCAGATCTATATCTCTGGCCCTTTATATCCTGTGTAGCACCATTTTGTAGGTAGTGGAAGGTCTCACCTTATTCTGTAAAATCCCATGTCATCTTTCCCAAGTTGTAGTGGGTTCCAACTTGTGGTTGTCCCTTCAAGTGATTCTTTTTTCCTAAAAGTAAAAATCTCCCATGCTACTTACATCTCTACCTCGAGTTTTTTAAATATTTTCAAATGCTGCATCACCATGAAGCCATTCAATAGACTTCACTAAATCTCAAGTAAGTTGGTTAGATTTAACAGAGCTAAGCCTCATCCATCACTGATCAGTCTTCATGTATAAAAGTAAGGATTTGTGCTGGCTTCAGTGGTACATATAGTAAAATTGAAACAACGTTGAGAAGACCAGCATGGTCCCCGCACAAGGATGACATAGAAATCTGTAAAGTGTTGCATATTTCTTGCAGTCCCCAAAAGGACATTTTACTCCTTTCTAACTAGCTCCAAGGAAATGGTGTGAGTCAAAGCAAAATGGGTGACACCCAGTATTGCAATTGTGATTTTCATACAAAAAAATATTTATGTAAGGTGATCTATGAAATGAGATGTGGTAACACATAGGATCTTGTGTGCAATATTTTGTTAGTAGGGATCTCAGAAATGAGAAAATACCAACTTGCATCTTCTTTGTGGAACTTACAAAAAATAAAGGTAGCGTTTTGTCTTCCACAGCAGCTGGAAATGAACATAGTGACTAAGCATCATTCTAACAAAGATTTGTTGGTTCAGAGTTTAAGGAGGTAGATAAAGAGTAGCAGTAGTCCAAGCCAGATGCTGACATCTATTATTTTCTGCCCTTGGTGTGGCTGATGAGCTCAGTAATAGAGTATAATTAGGTTATCTGATTTAATGATTTAATATATTTATAAATAAATTTCATTACAAAATATAAAATAGCTTAGATGCTCTGAATTACAAGCCACAAAGAATAGAACATCTAATATCCAAAAGTAGGAATTAATAACAGAAAATTGCAATATTTGAATATTATAACCTATGAAGAAACACATTTGTTTTTTCTTTTTTTTGTAATTTAATTTTTGTAAAGACATGGTCTCCCTATGTTGTCCACGCTGGTCTTGAACTTCTGGACTCAAGCAATCCTCCTATCTCAGCATCCCAAATTGCTTGCATCACAAGCATGAGCCACTGCACCAGGCCAATATATTGGGTTTTATTGGGAATTTTAAAATAGTTTCAGCAATAAGGTTCAAGAACAAATTATTTTTTTGCTTCACTTTTTATTTTAAGAATTTTAAAAATGTTATCTTGTTAAATCTTTATAATAACATAGTGAAATAAGGCCCTAAAATCCTCATTGTTAGAAGACATTGAGTCTAAGGAAGCAACTTGTTCAAGAAAAAATACCTGTTGGTAGCCATGCTAGGATTTATTCTGAGTTAAGGACATTTTTCATATGTCAAGCTACCTCTAGTTAATTTACTAAGTTACACTGCCCTCACTTCATGAGTGTTTTATCTTTCTTCTTCTCTAGCCTGGGCGACAGTGCGAGGCTCTTGTCTCAAAAAAAAAAAAGGAGAAAACAAAAGTTTGGTAGTGTTTAAGGAAAGCAAGCTGAATGAGTAGAAGTTTTCCAGGTAAAGAGTCAGAAGGATGATATTTAGCAGAAGGAAAATTTAACCAGACTGTGTGTTTGGCAGAAGGAACATCTGAAGGAACACCTGACGAGGCTGCACCCTTGGCGTAAAGAACACCTGACATGGCTGAAAGCTTGGTGGAAAGAACACCTGAGGAATAGGATACAGCGAATTCCTTTTCAAAGATTTTAGCCTGTAAAAATCCTTTAAAATTCAAGAGGGGGAAGATTAAGTACAATGAGTTCTGAGTTCCTCATCAAAGAGTAAATATGTCAGTATGTTCAGCTTCTCTGTTCTTTGTTCTCCGTTTTAAAGTTTAACTTCCTCATTATTTATGCCTCCTTGCCCCTAGTTTCATTAAACAACCCCCTTCTAGCCTCTAACACCTGTTTTGTCTTTAGTCATTCTTAGTCACCTGCTCTGTCCTCAGTCATCCTTAGACACCTGCTCTGTAACTGTCTTTCCCGCTGAAAGTACACACCCTGCCACTCCAGCTCATACTCCTGCTCTCTTTGAAATAGCCCATCTGAATTAGCTAAGAGTGTGCAGTCCAACCCTATCCAATAGGGAAAAGACACAACAGTAGGGACTAGCTGCATTAGGAATAAGAACACTTTCCCCTCCCTTGTTCAGTATGATCTTGCCATTGCTCCATCTGCAAGACCACTCTTTCATAGAAGTAAATTTGCCTTGCTGTAAAAACTTGTTGCTGGAGTGCTGACTGTTCTTTGTTTCACTGAAAATTTATTTTCCACAAATGTGGGGGCCCACCCAGCATTCCCATTCTCCTCTGGGGGAGGGTCCAGTCCTCTCCTGTGAGGAGGCGCACCCCGCTGCCTCGTTGCAGTGGCCATAAAGGTAAGGAATCAAGACTCAGCTGGTGCGATTGATAAACCTGGGCTCTCAGCAACGTGGAAAGAAACAGGCCAGCATCTTTGGGGAAAGGATCTTCACATACCGTGGCGACCAGGTAACTGTGCACAGACCGAGGTAAGAAATGTCGCAGGGGTGACAAAGTATTTCCTTGGTGGTCAGGATATTCTGGAGGTCGAAAGTGTGTGTGAATGATCACAAGCACTACTGCTTGTGTTGCTGTTTGTGTAGATGATACTAAGCATTATTGCTGTGAGGAGTGAGTGGGTCCTATCTGCGGTTTTTTTATTTGAACAAAAAACCTTTGAAGAGGAATTCAGTGTATCCTCATAGGGCTCAGGGCAGATCCTGCTGTGAGGTTTATACCATGATGCGAATGCTAAGAGGGACCTAAAATTCCTGGGAGAGAAGCAACCAGAGTGGATGAAGCGAAAGAAGCGTGCAAGGAGCCTCCAGCAGGTGGCGTTAAAGGATAGGGAAGAAATCTCTAGCATGTGGGATTGAGCCTAACCAGGACCTAACATGGGAAAAGCCCCAAGAAAGACAGGGCGCAAAAAAGAAGAGGATAGTAACAAAGACATGCCCCCTGATAGTCCCCTGGGTCTCATGTTAAAATATTGGAAGCATAATGAGAGGACTAAACATAAGAAAAAGCATTAGAGGATAAAATATTGCTGTTTCATTTGGACCCAAGGTCCCATTTTCAAACCCTCAATCTTCTGGCCAAAGTTTGGGTTGAATGAGGATGTAATGTGTCAACTTCTAATTCAATATGTTAATGATAAAAATCTGGTTTCTCAAGAACTAGATTATGGAGACAGGGACCTGTCTTTATTCCCTTAAAGACAACTAGGGAAGAACCCGATCCAGCATCTCAAATTGAAAAGTCAGATGAGCTGACTCCCACACCTAAAGCCAGCACATGGGATTCCCTATACCATTTTGCCCTGCTCAGTGCCTCTGTCCCTTCCCCTCGGGCAGCTGTTGCCACCCCAGATCCCACCCCAGATCCTTCTCCTGCTCAAGCTGTTCCTCCTCCTTACATCTAATTCTTGGGAGTTATCATCCCATGAGCCTGTCCCCTGTCAACCTAAATACCTCTCCCTAAAGGGACTCCAGCATGAGGTACAGCAATGTAAAAAGGACATTCAGAACTTCCCTTTTCTCTCCACACATAAGGAGTCAGAACCAACTCTCTTCCCCTTAAAAGACATGCCACTAGGAGGAGGAGCCATTGTATTTGTGAATGCTCTCTTGACCAGTTCAGAAGCCTGAAGTTTGAAAAAGGAAATTAAGCCATTGTTAGACGACCCTTATGAGGTGGCAAATCAGGTTGATCAATTCTTGGGACCTCAGTTATACACTTGGGTCGAGTTTATGTCCATCTTAGGCATCCTCTTTTCGGAGGAGGAAAGAAGAATGATCTGATCTGTAGGGCTGCTAAGGCAATTTGGGAATATGAACACCCTCCTTGTCAAAACGTTCCTACCACGGACCAAAAATTCCCTGCCCAAGATCCCCAGTGGGATAATAAAAACACAGCTCACCAAGAAAACATGCAAGACATAAGGGAAATGATAATGAAAGAAACTAGGGATTCAGTACCCCAAACTCAAAATCTCTCTAAAGCATTTGATATACAACAGGAGAGAGATGAGTGGACTATGAAATTCCTAGACAGACTAAAGGAGCAAATGAGACAATATGCAGGCCTAAATTTGGAAAATCCCCTGGGACAGGGAATGTTAAAGCTCCATTTTGTCACTAAAAGTTGTCCAGATATTTCCTTTTATTTTTTTGAGATGGAGTCTCTCTCTGTCACCCAGGCTGGAGTGCAATGGTGCGATCTTGATTCACTGCAAGCTCTATCTCCCAGGTTTGCTCCATTCTCCTGCCTTAGCCTCCCGAGTAGCTGGAACTACAGACGCCCACCACCACGCCCAGCAATTTTTTTGTATTTTTAGTAGAGACGGGGTTTCTCCGTGTTAACCAGGATGGTCTCAATCTCCTGACCTCGTGATCCACCCACCTTGGCCTCTCAAAGTCCTGGGATTACAGGCATGAGCCACTGTGCCTGGCCAACATTGTCCAGATATTTCAAAAAAGTTACAAAAATTAGAAGATTGGGAAAACTGACCTCAAGTGAACTTCTCAGAGAGACTCAAAAAGTATCTGTAAAGAGAGACGAAGAAAAGCAAAAACAAAAGACAAAACTTATGTTATTCACCTTCTAACAGATCGCTCCAAACCCATGTACCCCTAAACAAAGCTTCCAGTGGGCCAGAAACTATAAAGGTTCCAAACCCTCCTTTAAAGGACCCAAGCCTCCATTGGGAGGATCAAGGCTCTCATCTACCAGGCCATCTAAATAGTATGGGGGAGTAAAATCAAAGAATCCCAGAACTGAGAGTGAGGAAGGGCAAGGTAGGCACTACAAATGTGGAAGAACAGGCCACTTCAAGAGAGAATGTCCCAAATTAGAAAAGGAAAAAGAAGCCCTTCCACTCATGGCTTTTGAGGAAGAATAATGGGGTCAGGGGTTCTGTCTCTTTTATCTTGAGTTCCACCAGGAGCCCTTGATAAGTCTAGAAGTGGGACCTAAGCATGAGTTTATAACCTTTTTAGTCAATTCAGGAGTGGCTCGATCCTCTGTTTGTTTTCCCCCCATCTAAATTGCCTGCTCTTCAGAGGAACTTTTGGTTTGTGGGGTAAAGGGAGAAGGATTTAAAGCAAAAATTTTAGAAAACACAGCAGTCAGATACCAGGCTCAATCAGCTCATATTCAGTTTTTGTTAATCCCTAAAGCAGGGACTAATTTACTAGGGAGGGATTTAATGTTGAAGTTAGGCATAGGCCTGCAGCTCAGCCCAAGAGGATTCCTCACTTCATTAAAGCTACTCACCACTGCAGATGAAAAATATATTAATCCTAATGTCTGATCCAAAGAAGGAAACTGAGAGAAACTCTGAGTCCCTCCAAGCACATGAAGCTAAAAATCCCCAGGGAAGTAGTAAGGAGGAAACAATACCCCATTCCCCTAGAGGGCAGGATAGGGTTGAAACCTATAATTGAAGGTCTTATTAAAGATGGGCTTCTTGAGCCCTCTATGTCCCCTTATAACACCTCAATATTGCCAGTCAAGAAATCACATGGGTCATACCGGCTGGTACAAGACCTTAGGGCTATTAACCAAATAGTCCAAACTACCCACCCCATTGTCCTCGATCCTTACAGCATTCTCAGCAAGATTCCATATAATAATCAATGGTTTACTGTAATAGATTTGAAGGATGCTTTTTGGGCATGTCTCCTGGCAGAAGATAGGCCAGATATATTTGCTTTTGAGTGGGAGGATCCCCATTCAGGGTAGAAACAATATCGATGGATAGTCTTACCCCAAGGGTTCACAAACTCCCCTAACCTTTTCAGTCAAATTTTAGAACAAGTATTAGAAAAAGTTATCATCCCAAACAAATATGCCTGCTCCAATACGCTGGTGAAGATATAGAGAAGGTAGCTGGCTTCTCTACACATATTCTCAACCATCTGCAGTTCGAGGGGTTATGAGTCTCAAAGGGAAAGCTTCAGTATGTAGAACCTGAAATTAAATATTTAGACCACTTGATAAGTGCAGAGAAGTGAAGAATAGGGCCTGAACGAGTTGAGGGAATCGTGTCCCTACCCTTGCCTCAAACTTAAGAACTCAGGAAATTTTTAGGGTTAGTTGGATACTGCTGCTTATGGATTAACTCACATGCACTAAACAGTAAAATTCTATATCCAAAACTTTCCCAGGGGAAGACTGACCATTTCCTGTGGATTTCTGAGGAAGTCGATCAGGTTGAAGAGCTGAAAAAAAGGCTTATAACAGCCCCTCTCTTAGCCTTACCTTCCCTAGAAAAGCCATTCCACCTTTTTGTCAATGTGGATAATGGGGTAGCTTTAGGAATGCTCACTTAAGAACACGGAGGCCATCGGCAGCCCATGGTGGCCTTCCTGTCAAAAGTCTTAGATCCAGTTACTTGTGAGTGGCCTCAATACATCCAATCCATTGTGGCTACAGCACTAATGGTCAAAGAAAGCAGGAAGTTAACCTTTGGAGGAAAATTGACAGTAAGAATGCCCCATCAAGTTAGAACTATCTTAAACCAGATAGCAGGGAGGTGGCTTACTGACTCAAGAATCTTAAAGTATGAGACTATTCTGTTAGAAAAAGATGATTTAACATTAACCACTGATAATTCCCTTAACCCAGCAGTTTTTCTAATAGGGGATCCAAATCTAAAGAGATAGCACACATGTTTAGATTTAACTGATTACCATACAAAAGTCTGACCAGACCTAGGAGAAACTCCCTTCAGGATGGGATGACACTTATTTATAGATGGTTCTTCCCAGGTGATTGAGGCAAAAAGATGCAATGGGTATTCAGTAATTGATGGAGAAACTCTTGAAGAAATTGAGGCAGGAAAATTGTCTAAGAATTGGACTGCCCAAACTTGTGAGCTGTTTGCACTCAGCCAAGCCTTAAAGTACTTGCAGAACCAGGAAGGAGCCATCTATACCAATTCTAAGTACGCCTTTGGAGTGGCTCATACATTCGGAAAAATTTGGACTGAACGAGGTCTCATTAATAGTAAACGTCAAGATCTTTTTCATAAGGAGATATTCACCCAAGTATTGAATAACCTTCAGTTGCCAGAAGAAATAGTGACTGTCCATGACCCAGACACCAGAAAAGTCTTTCTTTTGACAGTCTAGGAAATAACCCAGCAGATTACATAGGCAAACAGGCTGCCATTTCTTTTAAAACATCTATTTTTCACTGAACTCTTTACCTTCTTCCTCCTAACATAATCTCCATTTTCTCTTCCACTGAAAAGAGAAACTAATAAAAATAGGTGCTAAGGAGAATTCAAAAGAAAAATGGATATTGCCAGACCAGAGGGAAATGTTGTCCAAACCCCTTATGAGGGAAAACTTGTCCCAACTGCATCAAGGGACCCACTGGGGGTCCCAAGCCATGTGTGACACTGTTCTGAAAGTTTTTGGGTGTATAGGAATTTATACTCTGGCCAAACAGGTTACAGAGAGTTGCTTAGTATGTAAGAAAACTAATTAACAAACTATAAAAAGATTACCCCTTGGGAGAAGGAGTCCAGACTTAAAGTATCCAGATTGATTACACAGAGATGCCTCCAATAGGTCGTCTAAAATATTTACTAGTGACAGTAGATCACCTTACTCACTGGGTCAAAGCTATTCCCTTTTCAAATGTGATGGCCAATAATGTAGTTAAGGCCTTAATTGAAAATATAGTGCCCAGGTTTAGGCTAGTAGAAAACATTGACTCAGAAAATGGAACCCATTTTGCCTCAAACTGTTACATTTGATGCTTGCCTTGTTATACCTTGTGGAGCCTTGTCAGGTCAAAGACAGCTCTCCAATTCAGAAAAGTACCTCTGTACTTCCTGGCTGTCCTCAGACTGGACATTAGTGAATTTGGATCATTTAGTCTGGGAAAGTTTCAATGAAGACCCCAGTGTCAACTGGGAGTTTTGCCCCCTTGACACAGAGCTTTTATGACGTAGTTGGTCCAACTACATGCAAGAGAGAGCAAGGATGGCTGCCCCAACCAGTAGTTGTAATTTCTAAAACCATACCTTCATTTTACTAAAGATATAGCTCCCCCTAACTTTCAGGTAAACTAGTGCAACTCAATACAGGTTATTATTTCAAACCTTCAAAGTTCTTCCCCTTCTCTAAACCAATTCCCTTCTTTAAGCTGGTTTTATGATATGGGAGCTGAGTTTTCAGAAACAGACCCTATTGGTTCTTTGAAATATGCTTCATTTCTCCCCTACTGCTTACAGCTTCCCCTAAGTCTTCTTCCAAAAACTCTCACAATGAAACTGTTGTTCCTCCTCCATCTAATGAGAAGACCAAGGTAGCTATTGTAAAAGTTAAAGACCTAAAACAAACTTTGGCAACTGAGACAGGATATCAAGATGTGAATGCCTGGTTGGAATGGATCAAATACTCCATTCGCACTTTAAACAAAAGCAATTGTTATGCTTGTGCACACAGCAGACCAGAGGCCCAGATTGTTCCCTTTCCACTAGGATGGTCCTTCAGTCAACGAGGCATGGGCTGTATGGTAGCTCTTTTCCAGGGTTCCACAGCCTGGTGTAACAAGTCATGTCAATCTCTCTCTCTGCTATATCCCAAAGTTCAACACCTTGCAGGTCAGCCCCCAAGGACCATCCAGCTTCCTTCTCCTGACACTAAGTTCACTTCATGTCTCTCACAACAAGGAGGAAACTTAGCTTTGCTTGGAAACCTAAAAGATGCAGTAAGCTTAAGACTTTCCAAGAGCTTACCAATCAGTCAGCCCTTATACAATCCTGAGAAGATTTATGGTGGTATTGTGGTGGATCTTTACAGGACACTCTGTCAAGTAACTGGAGCAGCGCTGGTGCTCTAGTCCAGTTGGCTATACTTTTCACTCTGGCATTTCATCAACCAGAAAAAGGGAAAACACAACATAGTAAAGCAAGGGAAGTCCTTTATGGGTCTTTTGACTCCCACATTTATTTAGATGTTATTGGAATCCCATGAGGAGTACCAGATATATTTAAGTCCAAGTTCAAATAGCTACCGGATTTGAATTGATATTTTGGTATGTGACAATAAAAATGTAGATTGGATAAATTAAATCTATAATAATCAACAGTGGTTTATTAATTACACCAGGGGTGTTGTCAAAGGAATAGCGGAACAATTGAGGCCCACTAGCCAGATGGCCTGGGAAAACAGAATGGCCCTAGTTATGATATTAGCTGAAAATGGTGGTGTTTGTGTTATGATTAAAACTCAGTGTTGTACCTTTATCCATTGGGGGCAAACAACACTGCCCCCAATGGGAGCATAACAAGGGCCCTACAAGGATTTACCACTTTATCCAATGAATTAGCTAAAAATTCTGGAGTCAATAACCCTTTCTCAAGATGGCTAGAAAGGTGGTTCAGTAAATGGAAAGAAATTGTAGCCTCAATTCTTACTTCTCTTACAGCAGTAATTGGTGTACTCATTCTTGTTGGGTGTTGTGTCATACCATGCATCCATGGGCTAGTGCAAAGGCTTATAGAAACAACACTTTCTAAAACCTCCCTTAGCTGTCCTCCACCTTATTCAGATAGGCTTTTCCTTTTAGAGGATCAAGTTGAAAAAAAAAATCCAAGACATGCTAAAAAGGTTTGAAGAGGAAGGGCTATAAAAATTGAAAGAGGCAATTGTAGAATACAGTGAATTACTCTTCAAAGGTTTTAGCCTGTTAACATCCTTTAAAATTCAAGAGAGGGAAGATTGTTAAGTACAGTGAGTTCTCATTTCCTCTTCAAAGAGTCAATAAGTCAGTATGTTCAGCTTCTCTGTTCTTTGTTCTCCATTTAAAGTTTAACTTCCTCATTCTTTATGCTTCCTTGCCCCTAGTTTCAGTAAATGACCCCCTCCTAGTCCCTATCACCTACTCTGTCCTTAGTCATTCTTAGTCACTTGCTCTGTTCTTAGTCATCCTTAGTCACCTGCTCTGTAACCGTCCTTCCTGAGGAAACTACCCACCCCGCCACTCTGGCTTGCACCCCTGTCCTCTTTGAAGTAGCCAGTCAAAATTAGCTTAGAGTGTGCAGTACAACCCTATCCAATAGGGGAAAGATACAGCAGTAGGGACTATCTGTATTAGGAATAAGAACCCTTTCCCCTCCCTTATCCAGTGTGCCCTTGCCATTGCTCCATCTGCAAGACTCACCCTTCTATAGAAGTAAATTTGCCTTGCTGGAGTGTTAACTTGTTGTTGGAGTGCTAACTCTTCTTTGTGGCACCAAAAAGTTATTTCCAACACGAAGCTGCACCCTTGGTGGAGGGAACATCTGACGAAGTTCAATGTTTGGGGAAAACAATATCTGGAAAGATTGAAGAGTCAGCAGGAGAAACACCTAGGAAAATTACAAGGCCTGTGAAAGAAACATCTGAGAAATTTGCATGGCCACAAGAAAGACCTACAAAGACCACATGGGAGGAAAAAGAAACATCTGTAAAGACTGAATGCGTGGCAGGAGTAACATCTAATAAAACTGAAGTTTTGGAAGAAGGAACATCTAAGATGATCACATGTCCTACAAAAAAACAGCTACAAAAGCAAGTACACATGGTAAGATGCTTGAGTGAACTTTGTAGAGTTTATTGGCACTTTGGGTTCCCTAGTGGAAATAGTGTGGTATGGGAGTAGTCGGGAATGGCTTGAATGTCTAGATAAGGCAAGCTTGGGCAACACATTTTAATAGTGTAGAAATGAGTAGATCTTATTCTATAGGCCCTGGAAAAATTCCCAGAATACTTCTGGCTGTAAATATTAGATGAACTAACTAACAATTGCTAAAACCATAGAAACCAAAGTTTTTTTGGTGGTACAGGGATATTATAGGATCTCACTCTGCCCCCCACCCCCATTATTAGTTGTGCTATCGGCAGTGTTTTGTCCATGTCTCCTTTCTTGGTTGGCTAATTAGCAACAGCTCCAATCATCATGCTAACTCAAGACAATATCTGAAGGCTGGGGGTGCTGCTTTTGTTCACATTTTTTTTTTTTAAATAGGAAGAAAACTTGGAAGCTTGCAGTAATCTTCCTGTAACATTTTATTGGCTGGATTATACCACATGCTTATTTCTATACCAATCACTAGGAAAGCAAATGTAATTACTGTGATTAGCTTAGAATAATGATTTTTCTTTTAAGACTGGATGGGGGTAATGGAATAGTAAATATCTAAATGAACTTGTGTTTCTACAGCAATAAAGAATAAATAATGACTATGCATAGGAAGCCAGCAATGTTTTCTGCAGGAACACAGTGGAAAAGTTTGAGCAGGGGAATCACAAGATTAGATTTGAGTATCAGGGCATTCTGGTCATGGTATAAAGCAGAGATTGGCAAACTTTTCCTGTAAAGTGCCAGATAGCGAATATGTTGGGTCATGTGGTCTCTATTACAGCTATTCAACTCTGCCATTGTAGGGTGACAGGAGTCATAGATAATGGATGGGCAAAGAGGCATGATTGTACTCCAATAAAAGTTTGTATAAAAAACCATTTAGAAAGCTGAATTTGGCCTGTGGCCTATAGTTTCTGGCCCTTCATATAGAAGATAGATGGAGGATAATCACATAAAAAGATTTAAAGATGAAGTTTTTGTAGTAGTTCATGCGATGGTCTTTTTTTTTTTGTAACAAATCTGTGGCCTAGTATCAATCTATTATGAAAGTTTGATCCATCAAGGGTAAAATGAATCAAGTTCAGAAGCTCAATTTACACATTTAAACATGTAGGTCCTTCTTTGGCATTATTTTATTTTGATTAATTTTTTAACTTAAAAAATAAGAACAGTAATTTGTAGGGTTTCTTTTTCCCTGTGAAAGCCATCAGTTAAGGGGCCACGTTTAACTAGGAAATATAAATATAAAATAAATAAGTATGTATTTCCAGTGGCACTGGAAAGATAAAGCAAAGGCAGAAAAGAGGTGCAGTTAATATGGCTTAGTGATAATTGAGTTTAAAAAGCTAGGGGACAGATAAAATCTCAGGTCATTCATAAGTTTTCAGATTGTGCACAAGCATTTACAATGATCATGGGGAAGGAGTAGGAATTTCTCAGGTTAACAGAGAAGTGCAAACAGTCATGAGACAGACCAACAGTTTTCTTTACATATTGAGTTCAACGAAACATTCTTGTGGGATACTTTCAGTAGGCAATTGGATTATATGCATTTCTAGCTGGAGATAGAACTCTGCTTGAAGATGCAGGCTTAGAATACTTTTATTATAATTATTAGGCAAAGCCATAGATCTCAATGAGCTTATCCATGAGGCAGTAGATGTAGAATAAAAAGAAAGCCATTGACAAAACCCTGGGAATATCAACATTTCACAAGAGTCAAAGGACTTGGTAAAGGAGACTGAGCAGTGGTTAAAGAAACGTAGAAGAGGAGTCTGAGAAAGTGATGTTACAAATTTCTTTTAAATGTGAGAATTTCAAGCAGTAAAATTACTCAAAAGTCTACTGGATTTAACTTACAAGTTCTTCAGTGGTAATCTGTTCAAAAGAATTATTTTAGAGTTGTTAGGTATACTTTTGATGTGGTTGATATTTCTGGTATCCAAGAAGAAATCTCCCAAGATCCTACCTAACTTTTTGTAACTAAAGCAGCATACATACACAGGGAGTGGGAAAATGTCTAGACTGGTGAGTACACATGCCAACATTTTTCCAGAATTTTCTGCCTCCCTATACGGCTTGAGTAAGGGGTTTAGAGATTTTAGACTATACTTGGGAATTTGTCTATTTCTTTTGCAGTTCTGTCAATTTTTGTATCATGTATTTTGAAGCATTTATGTTATTATGTACATAAATATTTAGGACTGTTATGTTTTCTTGATTAATCGAACCCTTTGTCACTATAAAATGACATTGTATATTGCTGGTAATATTTTTGCTATGAAATGTACTTTGGTATTAATACAACCACTCTTCCTCAGCCTTCTTTTGTCAAGTGTTAGTGTGGTATATCTTGTTTCATCTTTTAACTAATTTTTGTCTTTATATTTAAAGTTTATTTCTTATATGCATTATACAGGTAAGACTTGCTTTTTTATCCATTCTGACAATCTGCCTTTGAGTAGAGGTTTTTAGAGCAGTTTAATTTATAATGTAATTATTGATATGATTAGAGTTGTCTGTCATCACACTGTTTGATTTCTATTAGTCCCAGATCTTCTTTGCTTTGCTTTTTTCCTTTTTCTGCTTCCTTCAGACTAGTTTAGTAATTTTTATGATTTAGTTACATATCTGTACATGCATAACTTTTTTAGTTATTAATCTAGTGTTACATTTCTTTATGATTTAGTCATATCTTTTTTGGTATAAGTTTATTTGGTATTAGGTATAACTCTTTGCTGTCCTAGTAGTTGCTTTGGGATTTATAGTGTATGAATTTACCTCATCACAATCCACCTTCAAGTAATATTATATCATATCATAGACGGTATAAGAAATTACAACCATATTTTCATTTCTTTTCTATCAGCCAGATCCCAGCCTAGATCTGTGGGATTATGGCTGTCGTTAAGTTTAAAACATATTTAGCCAATTTTTTTCTCAAGTTTTTTATTCTGCCTCTCCTCCTACCTCTTTGGGGACTTATATATTACCTGCTGGAAGTTTGCTCATAGTTCACTAGTGTCTCAAATTTGTGACTCTTTTATTTCATGATGGCGAATTAATCTATGCTCATATCTACTCAGTGCAGCTTTCATCTCCAGCATTGTAACTTGTATCTCTACAAGTGCAATTTGATTTTTAAAAGTATCTTCTACTGCTTTACTTATCTTCTTGAATTTTATGGTAGAATAGAGTTGAGTTACTTATAAAGAGCTTGATCCCTTTCATTTTTCTTTTTATGGTATGAGCTAACTCCCCATACCTGAGGCAAGGCCTTTCTGAGTATTCATTCTCCTGTGAAGTCTCAGTTTTCCCAGGCAAATCTATAAAAATAGATGCTCTTCTTGGCGCTGTGTGAGCACCAGTTGTGATTTCCTATAATTTTATAGGCCACCCCCCACCCCCACCTGGTTTGTTCTTAGGTAGTTTTCTAGCTCACATGCAATTTCCAAAATTTTGCTAAATATTGACAGGGGGTTTCTTGCCATTGATTCTGTATCTCTCTCTCCTCCTCAGTGTTTGTTCTGTAATATCTGTCTGCTTTGGTTTTACCAGACTCTAAGCTTCATCAATGTAACCAAGAGAGTCTGGTAGATCCCACCTCAGTTTTTTCTTCCTGTGTCATGTCTCGGAATCTCTGTCAAGGCAGGAAGCTGAAACATTCATAAGGTTTGCTTTCTTTCGTGTTTTTTTTTTTTTTCTCTTTTTCAGGGATTATTATCTCTTTGCCTAATGTCCAGTGTCTGAAAAATTGTTTACTGTATTTTGTGTGTTTTGATGCTAGTTATTTTAGCTATGAAGAAAAATCATACCTGTTGCTCTCCCTTGGCTAGAGGCAGACTACACTAGAGTTTCAGCACATGCCACAGACTGGCTAAAATGCTTTCCTTCCCTGTTTGCTCAACTGCTTCCTTTTCATTCTTCATTCCTCAGTGTAGCTATACGTTCCTCGGGGGAATTTTCCATGAGCCTAGTATAGATCTAATTCTTAGCAATCTGTTTTCTTACAGTATCTATCTGAATTTATAACTGTCACTTTTCTGGGGCTTCGTCTTTTAGTACATTTTAAGTTAAACAAAGGCAGAGGTTTTTGTTTTTTTCTGTTTAATCTGCAGAGCTTAGTATAATGCCTTCCACGAGGTAGGCAAACAATATATATTTGTTCAGTGTATGAATTAGTGATTTTTAAAATATGCAGTTCTTTATATCCCAAAAGTACTTATATATTTTATTTCTATCTCCTCCTGGAGACAGATTCAACTAGCCTATCAAAATTCTTGGATGCAATTCTTTCTTGTGAAAGAGCAAGGGAACTTAAAAAATATCCCTGTGAGCCAGGCGCCGTGGCTCACGCCTGTAATCCCATCACTTTGGGAGGCCAAGGCCGGCAGATCATGAGGTCAGGAGATCAAGACCATCCTTGCTAACACAGTGAAACCCCGTCTCTACTAAAAATACCAAAAAAATTAGCCGGGCGTGGTGACGGTTGCCTGTAGTCCCAGCTACTCAGGAGGCTGAGGCAGGAGAATGGCGTGAACCCAGGAGGCGGAGCTTGCAGTGAGTGGAGAACGCGCCACTGCACTCCAGCCTAGGCAACAGAGTGAGACTCCGTCAAAAAAAGAAAGAAAAAAAAATCCCTGTGAACAACTTACAGCAAAAATGAAACAAATGAAAAAAAAGCTTCGTGTACTACAAAAGGAACTATCAGAACCAAAAGAAATAAAATCATAGAGAATCAAAAAGTTAAAAGAGAACAAGAGCTCTGCAGTGTGAGGTATGACATACTAGTATATAGGATACTTTTAGTACTAGCTGACTTACCTTCTGAGGTTTAACTAGAGAAAGAAATCTCTGTCTTGTAGTGTCAAATCCATTTAAATAATACAAGTTATTAACTGTGAATACATCTCCTGATAATTAAATGCATATTTATTTAAATCACAATTTTAATGGCTACATAGAAGGCCATTATTTGGAAACCCCATTATTTACTTAAAAAATTATTTTTTTATTTTTAATTTTTTTGTGTTATAATAAGTGCTGCAAGGCATAATTGCATGTAAATCCTTTTCTACCATTCTAATTATTGACTTGGAATAAATTATTCAATATAAAAATATTTGGTTAAATTATAGGAAGTTTTAAGAAGTTCTTTGTTCATTACTTCTAAATTGTTCTCAAGAAAATTTATATTCATTTATAGTTCAACAAAGAGAGTGTGAAACGGCCATTCCACTACCCCCAATAATCATTTTCCTTTAATTATACACTTGTAATCTTAATATGCATGGAGTATAAAGAAAAATATAGAGTAATTTATGACTAGTATATTCAACATCTCTCTCTCTCCTACATAAATAAAATCAATTCAGAATTCTATGTTAAAAACACTTATTATTTTTATTTTTTAATTAAATATAATATTCTGTCTTATTCTAAAAGAGATTTAAAATTTGTTGATAAAATATAAAATAATCAACAAGATACATTTAAAGTATTACTAAAAAAAGAAACAAAAGATATATGGGATAACAGATATTAGATTCTTCAGCCTAGTCTCAGATTTTAATATTATAATTATGTTTAAGGATATTTGCCTTATTTTTTAAAGATGAATATTTATGTCTAATAAATATGTAAACTTGTTTATAAAAAGTAACGTCATTTTAATTAGTTAACTCTAAATGATCTGTCCTCATTGAGGAGTAATTTTGACTGTTATATTTTTAAAATAATAATTTTCAACTTATAACTTTACTGGATAGCTTCCAGTATTCTTTTCTGTAACAGTTGTTGAAGTTACTAGTAACAGAATCTTTCTAACTAGAAGATGTTTTTTTTTCACTATTTTTCAAGTATGTGTATCATTTGGAAGAGAGTTCAGTAATAAATTAAATACCTCAGAACTAGAAAGGAAAAACGTATTCAAGAATATAGGAATTTTATTGGAATAATAAACCAATATAGGAAGAAGTAGATCTCAAAGTGAATTCTATTTTCTAACAAAATGAATTTTAAGATAAGTATATTTAATGGCAGAGTGACTTTAAAACAAGAAGAGAAGAGAAGAAATGTCAATATATTAAATGAAAAAATTAGGGAAGAATTAGGAAAATTCGAAGAGCAGCAAAAGAAAAAGTTAGAAGTGAAGCAACTTGAACTCACTCTCCGAATGTACAAAATGTGGAATTGAAGACTGTAAGAAGTAATTTGAATCAGCTCAATCAATCACTGGTAAAAATTTTATATATTTCTAATTTTATTTCATCAATATTACTTTTAATATCCCTTCGATTTAGTATGTATTATTCAGAATTATGATAATGCCGCTATAATATTTAGGTACAAACTTTTGTATATTTCATTCAAAAGTTTTCATTTCTATTGGGTATGTACCTAGGAATGGAATTGCTGGGTCGTAAGGTACCTATGTATAACCGTTTCAGCAATCACCTCACAGATTTCCAAAGTGTGCACTATTTTACTTTCCCACCGGCAATGTATGAAAGATCTAATTTCTCAATGGCCTCACCAGGCTGGAGTGCAGTGGTGCACTCTCAGCTCACTGCAAGCTCCACCTCCCAGGTTCACGCCATCCTCCTGCCTCAGCCTCCTGAGTAGCTGGGACTACAGGCGCCTGCCACCACGCCCGGCTAATTTTTTGTATTTTTTAGTAGAGACGGGATTTCACCATGTTAGCCAGGATGTTCCGGATCTCCTGACCTCGTGATCCACCCACCTCAGCCTCCCAAAGTGCTGGGATTACAGGCGTGAGCCACCGCACCCAACCATTTGTCATTTTTTATTGTAGGTACACTAGTGGGTGTTAAGTGATATCTGCTTGTGGTTTTGATTTTGCGTTTTCTTGATGGCTTGTGATGTTAGGCTTTTTCTTCATGCGCTTATTGGACACTCTTATATCTTCTTCACAAAAATGTCTATTTAAATATTTTGCCTATTTTTATGTATTTTTCCTTTTTACTGTTGAGCTGTAAAATTTATTTGTGCATTTTGGATACAGATTTCTAATCAAATATATAAGTTGCAAACATTTTCTTCACTTTTCTGGTTGTCGTTTTATTTTCTTTGTTACGTCCTTTGAAACACAAATGTTTCTAATTTTGATGAAGCCCAGTACATTTTCTTCTATCACTGTGCTTTTGGTGCCATATCTAAGAAACTACTGCCAAATCCAAGGCCATAAAGATTTATTGTTATTTTTTATTCTAAGAGTTTTATAGTTTTGCAATTCAGAAACTTAAAATCAAATACTGCATGTTCTTACTTAAAAACGGGAAATACATAATGCGTAAACATGAACAAAGAGTGTAAAATGATAAGACACTGTAGACTCAGAAGGGTGAGAGGGTGGGAAGGGGAAGGGTGATGAGAAATTACTTAGTGGATACAGTGTACATTGTTCCAGTGATAAACACACTAAAAGCTCAGACTTCACTCCTACCCCATATACCCATGTAACAAAATTGCACTTGCACTCCTTAAATTTATACAATTTTAAAAAATGGTTTTAGAGTTTTGGTTCTATGATTAATTTTATAATGTTTTATTGTGGTAAAGCCTATGTAATAAGCTTTGCCATTTTAAACATAAAATTCGGAGGCATTAATTACATTCATAATGTTGTGCAATCATCAAAACTATGTATTTCCAAAAAGTTTTTTCACCCCAAACTGAAACTCTGTACTCATTAAGCAATAACTCCTCATTCTCCCTTTCCTCCCAAGTCCCTGGTAGGAATAAATTTTATGGTATTTTAATTAATTTAAATGTAAAAAACTAAATGCAGCTGGTGGCTATCATACGGGACCTCACAGTTCTAACACCACCAGTATCAACCCCTGGACAGATATAATCATTTCTAAGCTGCCTTTGCATTTCTTATTATTCTATTTATGGTAATCTGTAATCTATTCTCCCACAAAGCTGGACTATTCCTGTAAGAACATATCTTATACCATTTCATTCCCAGCTCTGAATCCTCCAGTGGTTACCTATGACAATTAACAAAGAAATCCAAGCTCTTTACTATGGTCTGTATTTATCTGCTCCTCAGAGTGTGCATTCTCCTTTCCGCCTCCCAGTGCCTGCAGCCTGACTGGTCTTTGTAGTGATCTTTGAGCTCATCAAGTGCTGTCTGTATTCAGACTCTGCACAGTGTCTCTTCTCTCTGCCCTCTAGACATTCGCTTAACTCACTCCGTCATACCATTCTGACCTGCTCAAGTGTCATCTCCTCAAAAAGATTGTTCCAGAGCTCTCTATCTAAAGTAGCAGTCCCTGACACCCTGAATGTGATTACCCTACCTTATTTTCTTTGTATTATTATACTTTTTATTTAGACAGGGTCTCACTCTGTCACCAAGGCTGGGGTGCAGTGGCACAATCATGGATCACTGCAGCCTCAAACTCTGGGGCTCAAACAGACCGCCTGTCTCAGCCTCCCAAGTAGCTGGGACCACAGGTGAGCACCACCACACTTGGCTAATATATTTCTTCATAGCGCTTAGTACATCCATCACTTTAGTGTGCAACTGTTTGTGCATTTATGTTCTATCTCTGTCACTATACTGCAAGCTCCATAAAGACAGACCTTCTCTCTCCAGTTCCCATAATACTACCCAGCATAAAATAGGCTGTAAGTAAACATTTATTGACTACATAAAAGAAGAATCTTATTCATGTCAAGGCTGTAATCTATGTTAGACTCAAAGAGATAGTCTCCTGACTAAATAGAAGTGTTTCTTTATTAAAGCATGCCTTTAAAAAAAGTATTGCACATGGTGGATAAGCTTTTGTATGTGCTGCTGGATTCATTTTGCCAGTCTTTTATTGAGGATTTTCACATCAATGTTTATAAGGGCTATTGGCCTGAAATTTTCTTTATTTGTTGTGTCTCTGCCAGGTTTTGCTATCAGGATGATTCTGGCCTCATAAAATGAGTTAGGGAGGAGTCCCTCTTTTACCATTGTTTGGAATAGTTTCAGAAGGAATGGTACCAGCTCTTCTTTATATCTCCAGTATAATTCAGCTATGAATCCATCTGGTCCCGGGCTTTTTTTGGTTGGTAGGCTATTCATTACTGTCTCAATTTCAGAACTTGTTATGGGTCTATTCAGGGATTCTACTTCTTCCTGATTTTGTCGTGGGAGGGTGTATGTGCCAGGAATATATCCATATTTTCTAGATTTTCAGGTTTATTTGCAGAGAGGTGTTTATTGTATTCTCTGAGGGTAATTTGCATTTCTGTGGGATCAATAGTGATACTTCTTTTATCATTTTTTTTTTTTGAGATGGACTCTCACTCTGTCACCCAAGCTGGAGTGCAGTGGTGTTATCTCGGCTCACTGCAACCTCCACCTCTGGGGTTCAAGCAATTCTTCTGCCTCAGTCTCTCTAGTAGCTGGGTCTACAAGCACACACCACCACACCCAGCAAATTTTTGTATTTTTAGTAGAGGGATTACAGGCATGAGCCATCACACCCAGCCCCCTTTATCATTTTTTATTATGTCTACTTGATTCTTCTCTTTTTTCTCTGTTAGTCTAGCTAGTGGTCTATTTATTTTGTTAATCTCCTGGATTCACTGATATTTTGAAGGGTTTTTCGTGTCTCTATCTCTTTCAGTTCTACTCTGATCATAGTTATTTCTTGTCTTCTGGTAGCTTCTGAATTTGTTTACTCTTCTCTAGGTTTTTTAATTGTGATATTAAGGGGTCGATTTTCGATCTTTCCAGCTTTCTGTTGTGGGCATTTAGTGCTATAAATTTCCCTGTTAACACTACTTCAGCTGTGTCTCAGAGATTCTGGTACGTTGTCTCTTTGTTCTCACTGGTTTCAAACAACTTTGTTATTTCTGCCTTAATTTCGTTATTTACCCAGTAGTCATTCAGGGGCAGGTTGTTCAATTTCCATATAATTGTGTGGTTTCAAGTGAGTTTCTTAATCCTGAGTTCTAATTTGTACATGTACAAATTAGAGTACACCATGGAATGTTACGCAGCCATAAAAAATCATGAGTACATGTTCTTTGCAGGGACATGGATGAAACTAGAAGCCATCATTGTCAGCAAACTAACACAGGAACAGAACACCAAACAGTGCATGTTCTCACTCATAAATGGGAGTTGAACAATGAGAACACATGGACACACGGAGGGGAACATCACACACAGAGGCCTGTCAGGGGTTGGAGGGGAAGAGGAGGGAGAGCATTAGACAAATACCTCATGTATGTGGGGCTTAAAACTTAGATTACAGGTTGATAGATGGAGCGAACCACCACAGCACATGTATACCTATGTAACAAACCTGTACATTCTGCACATGTATCCCAGAACTTAAAGTAAAACTTTTAAAACAGATATAAATATTGTATACATAAAAAAGACACACAATGTTTATGAATAGAAAGATTTTATATTGTAAATAAGTCATTTCTACTCATTAAATTATGGTTGAATGCAATCCTACTCAAAATCCTATCAGGTAATTTGAAAATTGACAAGCTAATTTAAAATTTTTTTGAAAATTTAAAAGGACAAGAAGAACCAAGAAAGTCCTGAAGAAGAACAGAGCTCAAGAATGTATACCATCAGATGTCTCCAACTTTATTACAATTAAAATAAGATGGTATTAGCAGGACATACAAATAGAGAAACAAAAAACAAACTCATACTTACACCGTCACCTGATTTATGACAAGGGTGAAACTGCAGTGCAGTGAGGAAATAATAATCTTCTCAATAAATGGTGGTAGATAATTTGGATATCAATATGGGGGAATAAAAGACTTTAACCCTTGTCTTGTGTCACAAACAAAAGTCAATCGTAGGTGGGTTATAAAGCTCAATCTGAAATGTTAAAAATTTTAAAAAAAAGCTTCTGTAACATAGAAGAATATCTTTATGACAATGGGGTAGACAAAAATTTCTTAAGCAAGACTAAATAAGCGTTAACTACACAGAAAAAGTCTGATAAATTGAACTACATTAAAATTAAGAAATTGGTATTAACGAAGTCACCATTAAGAGAAAGAAAAGACAAGTTAAATTGGGAGAAGATATCTGCAATGTTTAGGTCCAGTCAAAAACTTATATCCAGAATATATAAAAATTTCCTACAAATCTTCATGTATTCTGGATATAAATTTATGATTGGACATAAACCAAAAAAAGTCCAGGACCAGATGGATTCACAGCTGAATTCTACCAGAGGTACAAAGAGGAGCTGATACCATTCCTTCTGAAACTATTCCAATCAGTAGAAAAAGAGGGAATCCTCCCTAACTCATTTTATGAGGCCAGCATCATCCTGATACCAAAGCCTGGCAGAGACACAACAAAAAAAGAGAATTTTATACCAATATCCCTGATGAACATCAATGCAAAAATCCTCAATAAAATACTGGCAAACCAAATCAAGCAGCACCTCAAAAAACTTATCCACCATGATCAAGTGGGCTTCATCCCTGGGATACAAGGCTGGTTCAACATACGCAAATCAATAAATGTAATCCAGCATATAAACAGAACCAATGACAAAAACCACATGATTATCTCAATAGATGCAGAAAAGGCCTTTGAGAAAATTCAACAATGCTTCATGCTAAAAACTCTCAAAAAATTAGGTATTGATGGGATGTATCTCAAAATAATAAGAGCTATCTATGACAAACCCACAGCCAGTTTCATACTGAATGGGCAAAAACTGGAAGCATTCCCTTTGAAATCTGGCACAAGACAGGGATGTCCTCTCTCACCACTCCTATTCAACATAGTGCTGGAAGTTCTGGCCAGGGCAATAAGGCAGGAGAAAGAAATAAAGATTATTCAATTAGGAAAAGAGGAAGTCAAATTGTCCCTGTTTGAAGATGACATGATTGTATATTTAGAAAACCCCATCGTCTCAGCCCAAAATCTTCTTAAGCTCATAAGCAACTTCAGCAAAGTCTGAGGATACAAAATCAATGTGCAAAAATCACAAGCATTCTTATACACCAACAACAGACAAACAGAGCGCCAAATCATGAGTGAACTCCCATTCACAATTGCTTCAAAGAGAATAAAATACCTAGGAATCCAACTTACAAGGGATGTGAAGGACCTCTTCAAGGAGAACTACAAACCACTGCTCAAGGAAATAAAAGAGGATACAGACAAATGGAAGAACATTACATGCTCATGGATAGGAAGAATCAATATCGTGAAAATGGCCATACTGCCCAAGGTAATTTATAGATTCAATGCCATCTCCATCAAGCTACCAATGACTTTCTTCACAGAATTGGAAAAAACTACTAAGTTCATATGGAACCAAAAAAGAGCCCGCATCACCAAGTCAATCCTAAGCAAAAAGAACAAAGCTGGAGGCATGACGCTACCTGACTTCAAACTATACTACAAGCTACAGTAACCAAAACAGCATGGTACTGGTACCAAAACAGAAATATAGACCAATGGAACGGAACAGAGCCCTCAGAAATAATACCACACATCTGCAACCATCTGATCTTTGACAAACCTGACAACAACAAGAAATGGGGAAAGAATTCCCTATTTAATAAATGGTGCTGGGAAAACTGGCTAGCCATATGCAGAAAGCTGAAACTGGATCCCTTTCTTACACCTTATACAAAAATTAATTCAAGATGGATTAAAGACTTAAATGTTAGACCTGAAACCATAGAAACCCTAGAAGAAAACCTAGGCAATACCATTCAGGACATAGGCATGGGCAAGGACTTCATGTCTAAAATACCAAAAGCAATGGCAACAAAAGCCAAAATTGACAAATGGGATCTAATTAAACTCAAGAGCTTCTGCACAGCAAAAGAAACTACCTCAGAATGAACAGGCAACCTACAGAATGGGAGAAGATTTTTGCAATCTACTCATCTGACAAAGGGCTAATATCCAGAATCTACAAAAGACTCAAACAAATTTACAAGAAAAAAACAAACAACCCCATCACAAAGTGGGTGAAGGATATGAACAGACACTTTTCAAAAGAAGACATTTATGCAGCCAACAGACCATGAAACAAAGCCCATCATCACTGGTCATCAGAGAAATGCAAATCTAAATCACAATGAGATAAAATCTCACACCAGTTAGAATGGCTATCATTAAAAATTCAGGAAAAACAGGTGCTGGAGAGGGTGTGGAGAAATAGGAACACTTACACTGTTGGTGGGACTGTAAACTAGTTCAACCATTGTGGAAGACAGTGTGGTGATTCCTCAAGGATCTAGAACTAGAAATACCATTTGAACCAGCCATCCCATTACTGGGTATATACTGAAAGGATTACAAATCATGCTGCTATAAAGGCACATGCACCCATATGTTTACTGCGGCACTATTCACAATAGCAAAGACTTGGAACCAACAAAAATGTCCATCAGTGATAGACTGGATTAAGAAAATGTGGCACATATACACCATGGAATGCTATGCAGCCATGAAAAAGGATGAGTTCATGTCCTTTGTAGGGACACAAATGAAGCTGGAAACCATCATTCTCAGCAAACTATCACAAGAACAAAAAACCAAACACTGTATGTTCTCACTCAAAGGTGAGAATTGAACAATGAGATCACTTGGACACAGGAAGGGGAACATCACACACCAGGTCCTGTTGTGGGGTGGGGGAAGAAGGGAGGGATAGCAATAGGAGATATACCTAATGTAAATGACGAGTTAATGGGTGCAGCACACCAACATGGCCCATGTATACATATGTAACAAACCTGCACGTTGTGCACATGTACCTGAGAACTTAAAGTATAAAAAAATTATTAAAAATCATTGAAATGTACACTTTTAAAAAAAAGAGTGTATTCTATCAGGATTCTGACTAGAGTGCTCTAGAGTATGACATAGGATAGGGAATGTCTTAACAAGCTTCAAAATTCTAGGAACAATGAAACTAGGAAAAAAGCTTTGAAAAATGCCAGGGATTCAACTGCCTCCCTGGCCTTTCCCTGCCAATCAATGTGCCCCAGCAGCCAATTTACACAGCACTGTGTGCAGGCTTGTAAATAGACCTTCCAGTTCTGCTATAATCAAGACCTTATTGTCCATAACTCAATTTAGAGAAGGTTTAGCTGTCTACCAACTCTTGTGCAGAGTTTCTGTGAAGTTTTGTTTTGGGTTGCAAGAATCTGGAAAACAAATGCAGACATTTTTGAGGAAGATTTTGAAATTTCTATTTACAAGGTACCCAAAATGGGATGCAAACTTGAATTTGGTTGATCTTCTGAAATACATACCTGTGTTTTAAGATTTGCTTGAGCAAACCTTTAACCATGGAAATTTGAAACAATGATTTCCAGGTTGAAATAATTCCAGTTTTGTCATATAAATACCACAAATGAATCTGTTTTAGCACAGGGTACAAATATCTTTTTTCCTTTTGTGCATTTGGCAATAGTGTGTTTTGGTAATAAAACATAGATCTGCATATTAATGAAACATAGCTCTGCATATTTTGTCTGGGGAAAATTAGCATTCTGTGAACAAAGTCAACAATTTCTGGCCTCGCATTAGTTTTCCTATTATAATTAAAACTTAGTTTTGGCCAGGCGTGGTGGCTCATGCCTGTAATCCCCGCAATTTGGGAGGCCAAAGCAGGCGGATCACGAGGCCAGGAGGTCGAGACCATCCTGGCTAACATGGTGAAACCCCGTCTCTACTAAAAATACAAAAAAAAAAAATTAGCCAGGTGTGGTGGTGGGCACCTGTAGTCCCAGCTACTCAGGAGGCTGAGGCAGGAGAATGGCATGAACCTGGGAGGCAGAGCTTGCAGCGAGCTGAGATCACACCACTGCACTCTAGCCTGGATGACAGAGTGAGACTCTGTCAAAAAAAAACAAAAACAAAAACAAACAAAAAAACACTTAGTTTTGAAAATATCTTGGTGTTAAATTTCCAATGCTTCAATATTACAATTAAAACCTTGCTTTACTGAGAGCAGAAACATAATGCAGAAAAGAAAAAAGACCAACAGTCTCTAGATTGCTGAATTTATGTGGATATGATGGGGTTGGTGTTTAATGATTTCTCCCTTGAATCATAGCAAAGATGCTTTTGTGAAGCATAGTTCTTTCATAAATATACTTTCCAACCATTCAGCACGACCTATCTTTTGGTTTCTTTTGCTTTGTGTTTCTGCTCTGATATCATTTCTGGAAACAAATTACAGTAACAAATTTATTGAGAGCTGGCATTGTGAATTGTGCCTAGGATTTAATTCATAAAGGGAAGGTGAATTCTGCTGAAAGGTGCTTAACACACTGCCCCCCAAATCAAGAGAAACAGGCCATTCTGGGACACCATAGCCTGTCTCACACAGGGGTCAGGAAGCAGAGATATCAGGGAATTGGGACTATGTCTTTATGATAGATATGGTTAGGCTTTGTGTGCCCCCATCTCATCTTGAATTGTAATCCCCAGGTGTTAAGGGACACACCTGGTGGGAGGTGATTGGATCATGGGGGGTGGTTTCCCCCATGCTGTTCTTGTGACACTGAGTGAATTCTCATGAATTCTGATGGTTTTATAAATCGAAGTTTTTTCTGCACACACATGTTCTTTCTCCTGCTGCCATGTAAGAAGGTCCAGTTTGCTTCTCCTTTGCCTTTTGCCATGATTGTAAGTTTCCTGAGGCCTCCCCAGCTATGAGTAACTGTGAGTCAATTTAACCTTTTTGCTTTATAAATTACCCAGTCTTGGGAAGATTTTTATTGCAGTGTGAGAATGGACTATTATAGTAAATTCGTGCTGGTAGAGTTGGGTACTGCTGTAAAGATACCCAGCAATGTAAAAGCGACTTTGGGTCTGGAGATGGAGATGAGAAACCTATTGGGAACTAGAGCAAAGGTCACTCTTGCTATGCTTAAGCAGAGACTGGCAGCATTTTCCCCCCTGCCCTAAAGAGCTGTGGAACTTTGAACTTAGATTATCTGAAATTGAAACTTACGTTTAAAAGGGAAGCAGAGCATAAAAGTTTGGAAAAATTTGCAGCCTGATAATGCTATAGAAAAGACAAACCCATTATTTGGGGAAAAATTCAAGCCAGCTGCAAAAATTTGCATAAGCCACAGGGAGCCTAATGTTAATCACCAAGACAATGGGGAAAATGTCTCCAGGGCATGTCAGAGACCTTCACAGAAGCCTTTCCCATCACAGACCAGGAGGTCTAAGAGGAAAAAATGGCTTTGTCTGCAGGGTCCAGGCCTTGCTGCTTTGTGCAGCCTCAGTACTTGGTGCCCTGTGTCCCAGCCACTACATCTGTGGCTAAAAGGGGCCAAGGTACAGTTCAGACCATTGCTTCTGTAGGTACAAGCCCCAAGCTTTGTTGGCTTCCATGTGGTGTTGAGCATGTGAGTGCACAGAAGTCAAGAATTGGGGTTTGGGAACCTCCACCTGGATTTCAGAGGATGTAAGGAAAAGCCTGGATATACAGGCAGATGTTTGCTGCAGGGGTGGAGCCCTCATGGAGAACCTCTGTTAGGGCAGTGCAGAAGAGAAATGTGAGGTCAGAGCCTTCACACACAGTCCCCACTGAGGCACTGCCTAGTGGAGCTGTGAGAAGAGAGCCACTATTCTCCAGATCCCAGAATGGTAGATCAACCAACAGCTTGCACTGTACATCTGGAAAAGCTGCAGACACTCAATGCCAGCCTATGAAAGCAGCTTGGAATGGGGCTGTACCCTGCAAAGGCACAGGGGCAGAGCTGCCCAAGACCATGAGAGTCTACTTCTTCCACCAGTGTGACCTGAATGTGAGACATAGAGTCAAAGGAGATTATTTTGGAGCTGTAAAATTCAATGAATACCCTGCTGGATTCTGGACTTGCATGGGGCTTTTAGCCCCTTTGTTTTGTCCAATTCTCCTATATGGAATGGGAACATCCTCATCCAATGCCTGTACCCTCATTGTATCTTAGAAGTAATTAACTTGGTTTTGATTTTATAGGCCATGCTAATCAGCATTCAGTTCTAGATTCCAATTTATTCTCAGTGTGCCTGTATAACTTTTCTTTCTATATATATATAATTAAATTTCTATTACTTATTTGAATGTTATAGAATACTCTTCATATATTTAAAATAAAACCACCAGGTATAATGATTTCTGGCTTAGTATAAAAAAGCTTTTACCCAGTTAGTGTTATTTACACAGGTGGATGTGGCTCTACAACATTTAGAGAAGAAGAATAAATTCAGCTGTCATATGTTGCCATGACTCTGCCTCTGAAGAGATTATGAAAAAATCCAAATTTCAGCAAAATTATATGGTTGTTTTCAGTACCTCTGAAGGTGCTATATCAAGAATTCTCATGCTACTCTTTGAGAAAACAGATTGCGTTTTTACCTAGAAAATCAACTGCAAGGCATTTTTATAACCTTACCCCAAGTAAAAAAAATACATTGAAATATACTAATAAATGCAGACTACATTACTTGAAAAATGGTAATACAGAATGCCACTTTTAATATTTGAAAATATGAATTTTTGGTAGAAATAATGTAAAATAAAGCTTCTGGTAAGCCTTAGGCAGTTAAATTTACATCAGTGTAAAGTAGGATGAAAATCTGTAAAAAATAAAAACAAAAAAACAAACAAAAACCTACACCAAAAAAACCCTAACATCCACCAATGCATACATATTGATCTTTGTGCTGGGAAAATCTAAAGCAGAACATTTTGGTAAACTTGATAGTTATTTATTTTGACTATATTGGCATGTTGATAAAACTACTTATATTTAATTTGAGTGAAACATGTCCACATTATTAAAAGTGTTGCTTTGTACTATGAATGATGGATGTAAAGTCTTGATCCTCATCCAAATAAATATGGCAACACTTTCTTCTGCTTCTTTCAAGCTGAGGCATTCTGAAAGCTCAAATTTGAAGTGAGAGGGACTTAACATCAGAGCCTGAAAAACCAAGAAGAATGAGGTAGGATGGTCAGCTCTGAAGCTCAGGGTGGCCTGGGGAAACTCAATATAATGATGTCAACTATGAAGCTTACTGGGTAAAACTACAAATAGGCCGATCTCATTTCACAGAGGTAAGCCGACACTCCCTTTTCCAAGAAAGTAAAAAAGAAAACAAGCAAATAAAACTAAAAATACAAACGTGAAAACATCATGGCTTAAATTTGGTGGGAAGAAGCCTCTGGGATCAAAAATAGTTGTGCCAAAAGAATTGAGCCAGCCTGGTTTGGTATCTCACGCCTGTAATCCCAGGACTTTGGGAGGCCAAGGTGGGCAGATCACCTCAGATCAATAGTTTGAGAACAGCCTGGCCAATATAGTGAAGCCCCATCTCTACTAAAAATACAAAAAATTAGCCAGACGTGGTGGCAGGCACTGTAATCCCAGCTACTTGGGAGGCTGAGGCAGGAGAATAGTTTCAACCCAAGAGGCGAAGGTTGCAGTGAGCCGAGGTCGTGCCATTGCACTCAAGCCCAGGCAACAAGAGCGAAACTGTCAATTTAAAAAAAAAGAATTGAGCCAGAATAAAATGTATTTAAGGGTTATTAAGGGGAATGTTTCTAGCACATAAGTGTTTGTTCCACGTCTTATTATATTAGGCAATATCCTTTCATGTAATATCAGCTTCTCCAAGATAGGGATGTCAAAGAGAAACTAAGACAAATGCCTAATATGTCATAGGCATTTTGTTCTCAAATTTAACAAACTTGTAATGATTATATAAATTTTACTGAACTGTGTTTTATGTATAAACCTCACCTAAAGGCATTATCCAGTACATCCAACCTTCAGTCTTTTCTGGGATGTTCTGTTGCCTGATTTCAAATAAAACTTATTGAAATTCTAGCAATTTCTCCAGTCCCAGATGTAAAAATGAGAAAGCAGAAATAAAGCCAAATTACCCCCAAAAGAATATGCATTATACGTATAGAACAAATGAACCCAAAACCACATAAGGTAAACAACAAAACTACTGGTTCAAAATTAAGCCTAACTTCAACAGTACCAGGCAAAAACCATTTGTAAAAATTACCAAAGTCAAAATACAGAAACCGTTAGACTATTATGCCAATAAATATCAGGGAACCTGCCCCGATAGTCAGGTAGGTTCTTTTCTATTTTCCCTAAGTGTCAGCTGGTTTGAGAAATAAAGGGTGAAAGTACAAAAGAGAGAAATTTTAAAGCTGGGCATCCAGGGGAGACATCACAGGTCAGTAGGTTCCATGATGCCCCCCCAAGCCGCAAGACCAGCAAGTTTTTATTAGGGACTTTCAAAAGAGGAGGGAGTGTACGAATAGGCTGTGGGTCATAAAGATCACGTACTTCACAAGGTAATAGAATATCACAAGGCAAATGGAGGCAGGGCAAGATCACAGGACCACAGGACCAGGGCAAAATTAAAATTGCTAATGAGGTTTTGGACACCATTGTCATTGACAACATCTTATCAGGAGACAGGGTTTGAGAGCAACCGGTCTGACCAAAATTTATTAGGCAGGAATTTCCTCTTCCTAGTAAGACTGGGAGTGCTACAGGAGACTGGGGTTTATTTCATCCCTACAGTTTTGACCATCGAAGATGGCCACACCCAAGGGGGCCATTTATAGGCCCACCCTCAGGGGTGCATTCTCTTTCTCAGGGATGTTCCTTGCTGAGAAAAAGAATTCAGCGATATTTCTCCCATTTGCTTTTGAAAGAAGAGAAATATGGCTCTGTTCCACCTGGATCACCAGCAGTCAGAGTCTAAGGTTATCTCTCTTATTCCCTGAACAATTGCTGTTATCCTGTTCTTTTTTCAAGGTGTCCAGATTTCATATTGTTCAAACACACATGCTCTACAATCTGTGCAGTTAACGCAATTATCACAGGGTCCTGAGGTGACATACATCCTCCTCAGCTGACAGGATTAAGAGATTAAAGTAAAGACAGGCATAGGAAATCACAAGGGTATTGATTTGGAAAGTGATAAGTGTCCATGAAATCTTCACAATTTGTGTTTAGAGATTGGAGTAAAGTCAGGCATAGGAAATTATAAAAGTATTAATTTGGGGAACTAATAAATGTCCATGAAATCATCACAGTCCACATTCTTCTGCCATAGCTTCAGCCGGTCCCCACATTTGGGGTCCCTGACTTCCCACAACAAATAAAAAATTACCATTTAAGAAATACATTAAATATAACAGAACGTATACAATTACAATAAAATATTTTTAAATGATAATCTTATTTTCAAATATTTACCGTATTTAGACAAGACTTTTAATGAAAAATACTTATAGCTACAATGTATGAATTAAAACAGCCCTGGAAGAAATAGTAATTCTATTAATAATAAAGATTAAGGCAGGGCACAGTGGCTCACACCTATTATCCCAGCACTTTGGGAGGCCGAGGTGGGCAGATCACCTGAGGTCAGGAGTTCGCGACCAGCCTGGCCAACATGGTGAAACCTCGTCTCTACTAAAAATACAAAAATTAGCCAGGTGTGGTGGCAGGCATCTGTAATCCCAGCTACTTGGGAGGCTGAGGAAGGAGAATTGCTTGAACCTGGGAGGTGGAGGTTGCAGTGAGCAGAGATTGCGCCATTGCACTCCAGCCTGGATGACAACAGTGAGAATCCATCTAAAAAAAAAAATTAAAGCTTCAAGGTTGTGGAATAATTTATCCTGGACACACAGCTAATGACCCAAATCAAGCTCAGATGTGTTTGATTTTAAAATTCTCCTTTTTCCACTGTGGACAATGTTGATGTAACAGTTAAATCTTGGTCTCAGAGTTGGTGGTTGGGAATAAATCAAGGCAAGTACTATTATGCTTTGTTTTGTATTCTTTATCACCAACATTTTCTTCTCTAATATGTCAGTATTTACAATTGGACCACAGCTGACTTTTACTGAAGTCTACTATAAAACATAGCTAAATTGAAAATTAATGTGATCACAAAATGATTTGTCATGAAAGCAGGTATATTTTTCAAGTTTCAGCTCAGTCACAAATTTGTATGTATTTGAATTTTTTGAAAATTTCTGACATATACTCAAGTAAATATCAAATGTATTGTTTTATTCAATTTTTTGGATTCAATTAAAAAATAATTTTTATTCAAGTTTGTTGTTATATTTACTTTTGACCAAATTTGACTTTCCAAACAGGAAAAGCTAAAGCATTTTTTTCAAAGGTTCAAGGGACTTAAGCTTACTGGCATCAAATGTTCTGTAGTAAAACAGGCAAATAAAACCTAATATTTTTATCAATAATAATTTAATAGTTTTATGTCTGAGAACCTAAGAATCAAAGACATCAACTCCAGATGATGTCAATTGCATAATTACACTGGTAAGATAGAAAATGATTATCAGAATCTAACAAATGATGGATATGGCAACCTAACACCTGACAAAACCATTCAGGATGTGTTAGACAAACAAGAAGGTACTACTAATGTAAAGCTTTTTCTTTCTCTAACTTTACTTTTTTTTTTTTTTTTTTGAGATGGAATCTCACTCTGTTGCCCAGGCTGGAGTGCAATGGTGCAGTCTCGGCTCACTGAAAGCTCCGCCTCCCGGGTTCACGCCATTCTCCTGCCTTAGCCTCCTGAGTGGCTGGGACTACAGGCGCCCGCCATGACACCTGGCTAATTTTTTATATTTTTTAGTAGAGACGGGCTTTCAAAATGTTAGCCAGGATGGTCTCAATCTCCTGACCTTGTGATCCACCTCCCTCAGCCTCCCAAAGTGCTGATATTACAGGCATGAGCCACCGAGCCTGGCCCAACTTTACTCTTTATTCTCAACCTTACAACCATCAGATACTCATGTACACAGAATAAGAAAAATTAACTTTTTTTCCTTGAAGGCAATGTTTCATCTTGTATTTTATAATATCTGTTCCACATTGCTGTGACAATGCTGTTGAAGTGCACCTTCTTTCCTTCACCAAAAGATCACCTGTGTGAATTTGAATAGATGGTCACTGGAGGGGACCAGCTTGGCACATTGGATTGAATTGTCTCTTTGCTTTTCAGGGAAAGTGGCTTTGAAAAGACTGAAAATAAAGTGACTGCTGATTAAGCAGATGGCTTGCCATGTAAATAGGACAATTGTTTGAAAATCACATCGCATGAACTACAACTATTAAAATGTGAAATGCATGATGCAAATAGTGCACAAAAAAATAGAGTGAAAATGATGAATACAGCCATAAAAGACAGCCAAACTCCATTTTAGCAATAAAGTAAAATATAATCTGCTGTCAGGGGAAGGTAATTTGAAGTACTTGAGATGTTCTTTAATTTAAAAATCCAAAAATATTTTTAGCTTTAGTTACTATAAAACATGTTTAAGCATTTTCCATTTGAAATAAAATTTTAATTTCATGCTTTGTCAGTTTCCCTAAATAAATAGAAAATAGTAAAATATCGCATACTAAAAAAATCAACTTCTTTGGTAATAAATCAGTTCAACTGTCAGACCAAAACATAGTTACATTTTACCCAATGTCATGCTGACCAATTTGATCAAATGCCACTTCCTTATAACTAAGAGAGATGCAAAGATGTAGACTTTATGTTGAGTGAGACAGGTAAGGATTACTAGGAGTTAGATAATTGTTTTATTAATCAAGGTCGATTTTAATTACTATTTTGTCTCTATGTTAATTAATGGTCTTGATTCAAGAAAATTTTTTTAAAAACTCGTCTTCTCAGTCAGGCAAAATATTAACAAAAAGGCATAGAAATGAAGGCATTTAACACAGTCATAGTTTACATTTTAAAATTAAAGTACTTCTAGAAATAACAAAAAAAGAAAAACGATATAAAAACAAATGAACTTAATTTTTGGTGCAAAGCACTCATTACTAAGCCTAACACAAATATTTTGGTAAAGGCTTTCTAACACTGACATTCTTCTCATGACTTAAAAGAGCCACTAATTTTACTTTTGACATATATTTAGTTTTAATGTTAAAAGCTAAAAGGAGCCTATTATTTTATTTATAATTTGTGGTCTTCATGTACATCATCATCCATTGAGTCGACTAAAGTTTCTGAAAGTTTCAGAAACAGTAACATAAGAATACTTTTTCCAGCCATGCATGGTGGCTCATGCCTGTAATCCCAGCACTTTGGGAGGCTGGGGTGGTGGGATCACCTGAAGTCAGGCATTCGAGACCAGCCTGATGAACCTGGTGAAACCCCATCTCTACTAAAAATACAAAATTAGCTGGGCGTGGTGGCACATGCCTGTAACCCCAGCTACTCCTTTAATGACCACATGTGAAGTTTCTTTTGAACTAATTATAACTGCCTATTTTTATTGCTTTTTTTGCTCCTATTAGAAAAAATATTAAAGTTCCTGTTACTACAAACACAATCTATTCAAATCTAAGCATAGTGCTTATCTTAAAAGATCTGTATGCTTGGAATTCTGGAAATCCTATTCTCCATTTAAAATACTGCTTTTCAGTAAGCCAAATGGGGCAATTGTGGCTCACAATCATAAATTATTAAATATTAATACCATCATCTAGATGGAACTTTTAGTTATCTGCATGTTCAAATGGTTTTAACTTACAATAAGTCAGAAACTATAAATTTTTATAAACTATAAAAATAAACAAAAAATATATTTATCAATGCATTGTTTTTCAGTTTTAAAATACTTAGCCCCAGGATTATTTCTAGTTGACATAACACTAGATTTCAGATGATGTGGATGTAGAAACTAGAAACATCCTGGTTGACTCTGCTTCACTTTCTGCCTTCATTTAGCACACAAACATAGCAGCACAACGAAAGCCAGCAATGCTACCCCTTTTGAGAAGCACACCAGTGCCCTTCTAGGGAGAATATATGTGTGAAAAGATTCATCTGAAAGTCATGCCATCTTCTCTTTTATTTACAGACTTATACAAATAAAAATTTAACACTGCCATATAATCAGAAAATTATTCTAAAAATTCCTTCTGACACACTATTCTTTTTCACCAAAATGGCTGTGATGAAATGATTGCCTTTGCAGGACTGTTGTCTTAAGTAACCAATACTCCCGTTTCATTGTTCTTGAACTTTAACCATAACGCTTTCATGCTTTTTCTAGAAATGTTATTTCCTAATTATGTCACTTAGGTATGATTACCATAGCTTCATATTTTCAAAAATGGTTCTAAAAAAACTTAAACCACTGACCATCTTTGTTTCCCAAAGGAGTAGACTAATAAATTAACACTATCATCTAGCATACTGTAAATAGATGAAAAATAAAGATGTAGAGCAGGGGTGTCCAATCTTTTGGCTTCTCTGGGACACACTAGAAGAATTGTCTTGAGCCATACATAAAATACACCAATGA
Source organism: Homo sapiens (assembly GCF_000001405.40). Classification (NCBI taxonomy): domain Eukaryota; kingdom Metazoa; phylum Chordata; class Mammalia; order Primates; family Hominidae; genus Homo; species Homo sapiens. The sequence goes on along the minus strand of NC_000009.12, from coordinate 64,845,650 downwards.
TGATAAAAAAATCACAAAAAACTCATAATGTTTTTAGAAAGTTTATGAATTTCTTTAGGGCTGCACTGAAAGCCATAATGGGCCACATGCAGCCTGTAGGTCATGAGTTGGACAAGCTTGATGTACAGTCATTTATTTTAGCTGCACACTCAAGACTAAGGCCAAGAGCTTTCAGAGAAAATAGCTTATAGGATGTCAGGAGACCTATTATAGAAACATTCACCCCCATGTCTAAAGGGGACAAAATTCTATGTCTTCCACCCTTAATTCCAACCATTAACTAAAACTGGAGAAATCTAACATGGCATTATATCACAAAGTACTTTATTATTTTTATTTTGGATTCAAGGATACACGTGCAGATTTGTAACATAGGTATACTGCATGACATTGAGGTTTGGGCAATTAATAATCCCATTGCCCAAGTAGTGTACATGATACATGATAAGTACTTGTTAACCCTTGTACCCCTTCTCCCTCCATTTTGGAATCCTTAGTGTTTATTGTTCTCATCTTTGCTTCCATGTGTACCCAATGTTTAGCTTCCACTTATAAGTGAGAAAATGTAGTATTTGGTTTTCTGTTCTGTGTTAATTTGCTTAGGATCATGACCTTGAGCTGCATCCATGTTGCTGCAAAGAGTATTACATGATTCTTCTTCAGTGGCTGCATAGCATTGGATGGTGTGTAATTACCTAATTTTTAAAATCCATCTGAAGATTTATGAGCACATGGTTTCATTCCACATTTTTGCTATTGTGACTAGTGCTGCAATAAACATACAAGTGCAGGTGTATTTTTGGAAGAAAAACTTATTTGTATTTGGGTATATGCCCAGTAGTGAGGCTGCTGGGTCAAATGGTAACTTTAGTTTTAGTCCTTTGAGAAATCCCCAAAATGCATTCTACAGGAGCTGAACTAATTTGCATTCCCACCAAGAGTATATCAGGGTTCTCTTTTCTACACAATTTTAACATCTGTTTTTTTTTTTCACTTTTTAATAATAGTCATTTAGACTGGGGTGAGATGGTATCACATTGTGGTTTGGATTTACATCTCTCTAATCATTAGAAATGTTGATCAATTTTCCATATGTTTGATGGCTGCTTTTTTTGTCTTTTAAAAGTATATGTTCACATTTTTTGTCAACATTTTTTCTTAAATTCCTTATAAAACATATATATTAGTTATTTGTTGTATGCAGTTTACACATATTTTAGCCCATACTGTAGGTTGTCTGTTTATTTTGTTAATAGTTTCTCTTGCTGTGCAGGTCACAATTTTTAATTTTTATTTTTGTTGTTTTCACTTTTGAGGATGTAGTCATTAATTCTTTACAGAGACCAATGCCAAGGAGAGAATTTTCTAGGTGTTCTTCTAGGATTTTTATAGGTTGAACTCTTACAGATAAGTCTTTAATGTATCTTGAGTTAATTTTCTATATCATGAGAAGTAGCAGTCGAGTTTTCCTCTTCTGCATATGACTAACCAGTTTTTCCAGCACCTTTTATTGGGTAGGGAGTTCTTTCCATTTGTTTCTGTTGATGCTGTCAAAAATCAATTAATTTTAAGAGTTCAGCTTCATTTCAGGGCTCTCTCTTCTGTTCAATAGGGATGTGTGTGTGTGTGTATCTGCATCCATATTATATTGGTTACCGTAGCTTGTGGTAAAGTTTGAAGTTTGGTAACATAATGTCTCCAGGTTTATTCTTTTTGTTTAGTATAGCCTTGGCTATTTGAGCTTTTTTGTTTTCATATAAATTTTAGAATAGTTTTTTTTTGTCTAATTTTATTAAAAATGGCATTGGTAGAGTGATAGAAATAGAAATAAACTGTCGATTGCTTTGGGCAGTATGAACTTTTTAATAATTCTAATCCATTATCACGAAATACTATTCCATTTATTTGCATTGTGTCTGATTTCTTTCAGTAGTGGTTTGTAGTTCTTCTAGTAGAGATATTTAACCTCCTTTGTTTAATGAATCACTATTTTATTTTTTGTTTCTGGCTATTGTAAACTGGATTGTGTTCTTAATTTTGCTCTGCTTAAGTGTTACTGGTGTATAGAAATGTTCCTCATTTTTGAATGTTGTTTTGCATTTTGTTGTTGCTGAGATTTTGCTGAGGTCTTTTATTAGGCTTAGGAGTCTTTTGGAGGAGTCTTTGAAGTAGGTAGAAAATTATATCATCAGTAAAGACAGATAAGTTGATTTTCTCTTTTCTTATTTGAGTGCTTTTTCTTTCTTTATCTTGCCTGATTGTTCTGGCTAAAACTTTCAGAACTATGTTGAATAGGAGTGGTGAAAGTGCACATTCTTTTCTTCTTTCAATTTTTTAGGAAGGATGCATTAGTCTTTCACCTGTTCAGTATGATGTTGGCTGAGGATTTGTCTCATATGGCTGTTATTATTTTGAGGTATGTTCCTTCAATGCCTAGTTTTTTGAGAATTTTTTTCATAAATAGATATTACATTTTATTAATTGCTATTTCCACATCTATTGAGGTAATGTGGTTTTGTTTTTTAATTATTTTTATATGTTGAATCACATTTATAGATTTCACATGTTAAAACATTCCTGCATTCACAGAATAATGTCCACATAGTTGCAGTGAAATAACTTTGATTTCCTGAGTCAGTTTGCAAGCATTTCATGAATAATTTTTGTGTCTGTATTCATCAGGCATATTGGCCTGTAATTCTTTTTGTTGTGTCTTTACCTGATTAATATATCAAGATGAGACTGATATTATATGATAGAATTAATTAGGAAGGAGTCCCACTTTGATTTTTTGGAATACTTTCTGTAGAATTACAGGCAACTCATTTTTGTATACGTGATAAAATCATGCTGTGAATGCATCTGGTTTAGCACTTTTTATAATTGGTAGATTTTTTTAATCACCAATTCAATTTGCTTACACATTTTTGGTTTCTTCAAGACTTCTGTTTATTCCTGATTCAATCTTGGGAGGTTGTATATTTCTAAGAGTTTATTCATTTCCTCTAGACTTTCTAGTTGGTGTGCACAGAGATATTTATAGTAGTCTGCAAGTATGTTTTGTATTTTTGTGGGATTGGTTGTCACAAATGTAACATTCAAATAGATGTATAAAGAAAGTGTAATAAAATTCAATATCTCCTCATAATAAATCTCCTGAACTAGTTATAAAATAAATGCAATTCAAGGTAATGTCATGTGTAACAACAATGCATACCTAATATACTAAATAAGGAAAAACTGTAAGCCTTTTCTCTAAGAGCTAGAACAAGACAAGGATGTCCAATTTCTCCAATCCTTTTTTTTTTTTTTTTTTGAGATGGAGTCTCACTCTGTTGCCTAGGCTGGAGTGCAGTGTGCAATTTTGGCTCACTGCAAGCTCTGCCTCCCAGGTTTACACCATTCTCCTGCCTCAGCCTCCTGAGTAGCTGAGACTACAGGTGCCCACCACCACGCCTGGCTAATTTTTGTATTTTTAGTAGAGACGGGGTTTCACCTTGTTAGCCAGGATGGTCTTGGTCTCCTGACCTCGTGATGCATCCACCTCTGCCTCCCACAGTGCTGGGATTACAGGTGTGAGCCACCACGCCCAGCCCAATTTCTTTGATCTTACTGAACATAATACAAAATGACCAAGACAGAAAAATTATTCAATAAAATCAAAGCGATCTTAAATAAAATGAAGAAGATAAATTATATTTTCCTTGCAGATGATATAATCTTAAGTATAGAAAAACCTAGGACTTCACAAAAAATTATTAGAATAAACAAATTTATTAAACTTGCACAAAATCAACATAAAAAATTCAGTAACATTTCTATACACTAACAATAAAGTATCTGAAAATAAAACCAAAAACCAATCCCATCTACAATAATTGCAGCAGTAACTATACTTAGAAATGAATGTAACCAAAAAGGTGAAAGATCTGTACATTAGAATCTAAAAAAAGTTAGAAAATAAATAATATTCAAACAAAAAGATATTTCTAATTCATAAATAGGCATGATTAATATTGTTAAATATCAGCATTACACAAACTGATATACAGATATAATAAAACTTCTATTAAAATACCAGTTAAATTCTCTACAGAAATGTTTTTAAAAAATCTAAAATGTATATTGCCCCACAAAAGGCCTTAATAGCTACAAAAATCAAGCAAAAAATGAAAAATAAAAGGCTGAAGGAATCACTCTACCTGACTTTTAAATGTCCAACAAAGCTACAGTAATCAAAACAGAGTGTTACTTACATAAAAATGGACACAAAGGCCAACAGAGCAAAAGAGAAAGACCAGAAATAAATTCATGTATTTACAGACAACTGATTGTAAATAAAGATGACAATATTTTTTGAAAAAGAAGAGTCTCTTTTATAAATGATGTTGAGAAAATATATATCCACATGCAAAATAATAAAATCAGACCTTCATCTCATGCCATATATAAAAATTAACTCAAATTAGATACTTAAATATGAGACCTGAAAATCTAAAACTAAGATGAGGAAATATAGAATGAATGCCCCATAACGTTGGTCTGGGCAGTGACTCTTGGGTTTAACCTCAAAATTTTAGGGGGAAATAGACAAATCAGATTCCTTAAAATTAAGAAGCTGCTGCACACCAACCGATACAATCAGCAGAATGACATAACTGAAAAATGGAAGAAAATATTTGCAAATTACACATGTGAAAAGCAGTTAATATCAAAAATATATAAGAAACTCAAAGGACTATACAACAAAAAACAAATAACCATGAAAAATAAGCAAAAGATATATATAAATAATTTTCAAAGAAAGACATACATATAGCTTGGCAGATAGATGAATATGGCTCAAAGTCAATTATCATCAAGGAAAGGCAAACCAAAACAACTCTAAGATATAAACTCACTCCTGTTAAAATGTTTAAAAAAGTTGTTGGTAAACTTGAAAAAAAAGAAAGAGGGTAGTTTTCACACTGTTTGTGTCAATGTAAATATAAACAGCCATTATGAAAAATAGAAATTTTGCAAAACAATTAAACTCTAACATGTAATTGAACTACTGGATATCTATCACAACACAAATGAAACTAGATTGATGAACAGACATCTGCAATTCTGTTTGTTGCAGCACACTTTACAGAAGCCAAAACATAGAATCAACATATGTGTCCATCACCCAATGACGAAATACAGACACTATGGTATATATATACAATCGAATAGTGTATTTTCAACAGAAAATCTTATTTTTAATCCCAAAGATAAACCTAAAGGACACTATAGTTGTTGAAATAAGGCATAGAAAGGTTAATATCTCATGATTTCACTCACATGTGGATTCTACAAAACGTATCTTGATTACCTAATTACAGTTGGATAAGAAAAATAAGTTGAAGAGATTATAATGCATGTATTGTATTTCTGAAAAAATGTTAAGACAGTAAATGTCTTCTCACCACAAAAATAATAACTATGTGAGGCAAAGTATTTGACAATTACCTAAAATTAGGCATTGACAAAGTATATTTACTTCAAATTACTATTTCACAAAATAAATACATATTTCATCAGTGAATTTAAAAATATATTTATAAAAACTATTAAAAATGACAATGTTTCAAATTCTGACCTGTGTTTTTGTCATAAACCTGTCTGAATAGTATGAAAGATACAGTTTCTGTGCTGTTTTGTCACCTAGTCAGTCATGACCGTATGAACTCTAATATTTACCACCATGTTTGGGACCCAGCACAGAGCATGGGAGAAGTCAATGTACCTTAGGGCTTTTATTTTGAGCTTGAGACAACTGGAGTTTCTGGTGCTGGTGGTAATGATAGGGAAGACACAAAAAGGGCAGCTCTTGCTGTGTTTCACATGATTAAACCACTCTGAAGAGAGTAAATTAGTTTGCATCCCAGATCACTGAAGACATTTTTTAACTCAAAAGATGCCATGATCTTTAAAACTTTTCCAGATAAAATGACCAAGGAGTTGACCAGTGAAACCTCTAAAGACTGAACCTCTAAATTGTAAACTGCACCCAATAAAAAAGTACGTTATACAAGTGTGAGAAATTCCTCAAGATTTTAACATTAATATGAAAAAGTTTATTTCACATGTGAAATCCACAGGTGTCACTCTATTATTTTTGAATATTTAACATTCACACCAAAATAAAAGATTCTGAATAAAAACTTAAGTTGAGCTGTAAGTATGTAATAAAAAATTAAATTTAACATTCTCCACTTACCATTAACTCTTCTAAAAGTTTAATTTCTAAGACATATCTTCTAACTAATTTTATATTTTCCACACATTGTGTTAATTTTTTTTTTTTTTGAGATGAAGTCTCGCTCTGTCATCAGGCTGGAATGCAGTTGTGCAATCTCAGCTCACTGCAACCCCTGCCTCCTGGGTTCAAGTGATTCTCCTGCCTCAGCCTCCTGAATGGCTAGGTCAACAGGTGCATGCCACCATGCCCAGCTAATTTTTGTATTTTTAGTAGAGATGGGGTTTCACCATATTGTCCAGGAAGGTCTCATCTTCTTGACCTAGTGATTCTCCCACCTCAGCCTCCCAAAGTGCTGGGATTATAGCTGTAAGCCACGCAGACAGACTGTGTTAAAATTTAATAAAAGTTTGGTTTTACAAAGACAAGAAATTCTGACTGATTTCTTCCTCTCACCTGTGAACACTGCATGCCTTTTATCTCAATTAACAGATCTGAAAGTTACATTGAGACACTTTCATCAGAACCTACAAAGTACTGTGTGAAGTGACATGGCACAAAACAAACAGCAATAAAGATGTAGCCATAACACAAAGAATAAAAAGAAGGGCTGTGATGCATACACAGTTGGGATAAACATAAGTAGACACACAAACAAAACTAAAAATAATCAGAAAATAAGCAGAATGTCTCTTTAAATTCAGAAAGAGTCAATTTTGCAGCATAAGAACAATGTCCTCTCCATATACAGAATCGATTTTATTTCTTCACCATGTGTATTTCTTTATCTTCACTTGGAGCTACAAACTAACTCCAGCAGAAATATTTGCGGCCAATAATGGTGCATCTATTACACAGCAAGCATTGTGTTTGTTACATTTACATATCAAAATACCTTTATGACTTATGAAGCCTCCCCAGCATTTACCTAAACAAATTGGCTGAATGAATAAATTCACCTATGTCAATTATAAAGAGTAAAAGGAACAATAATAAAGGAAACTTAGCTTACACAGGTTTCTCCAATTAAAATAACAAAATGGGATGTTCTAACTAAATGAAATATAAGTTGGTCAGATGCAGTGGCTCATGCCTGTAATCCCAGCACCTTGGGAGGCCAAGGTGGGTGGACCACCAGGTCAGGAGTTCAAGGCCACTCTGGCCATTATAGTGAAACACAGTCTCTACTAAAAGTACAAAAACATTAGCTGGGAATGGTGGCACATGCCTGTAGTCCCAGCTACTTAGGAGGCTGAGGCAAGAGAATTGCTTGAGCCAGCAGGTGGGGGTTGTAGTGAGCTGAGATCCCACCACTGCACTCTAGCCTGAGTGACAGAGTGAGACACCATCTCAAAAAAAAAAAAAAGAAAAAAGAAAGCAACAAAAGAAATATAAGTTAATACACTCATTGTGAAATAACATTGAAAAATTATTTTGCGTGCATTAGTAAATTTTATAAAAATTCTTAGAATACCTGAGCAACTCACATAATGAATACTTAATAAATTATAAACACAAAAAATATGAAAAAAATATCAGTCTACCATGAGTACCAGGCACATGAAAGAAAGAATTTGCATGGAAAGATTTGGAAACGCAATCCATAAGACTTCACAGTAATTAATTAAATAAAATACAGAGAATACCGATATTATTCAAAATCACGGAGGTTTCTGGTCTTCTAGTAAATGATTTGTCCACTTTATTAAAGTGATATTTTGTTCCAATATTTCTTGTCTTCTGAAAATAGGTACACTCACACTCACACAATTACTTGCCCCACAAATTTCTTACACCTAATGTTTATATTAAGAGTGAAATATTTGTATATTTAGCACCATGTAAGTAAAAAACTAACAGTCTGTATGAGTTTACAGGCAGAGAGGCCACTTGTTCAAAATATATATGACCAATTTTTAAAAATATTCATTCAGGACTTAGAAATGTGAGATTTCTTATTATACTACTATGTAATTATTATTATGACCATAAAAAACCTCTGTAGCAAGTAATAATTTACTTGTACATTTTTAAATAACTAAAAATGTTTAATTGGATTGTCTGTAACACAAAAAAAATGCATTATGTAATGAATACCTCATTTACTCTGATGTGATTGCAAGTTGTATGCCTGTATGAAAATATTCTATATATGCCATAAATAGGTAAACAATACTCTGTTCCTACAAAAATTTAAAACGTTAAACAAATTTACATTTTTACCCATTGAAACAATACTCTTAAACTTTTCAGGTTAATGCCACAGGCAAAAGAGATTGCTAGAGAGCTCATTCTACTATGTTACCATCTTTTATCTACATCTTTAATAAGGTGGGACACATTAAAGTTGGTGACATAACACTTTACTAAATGCAGGTCTTAAAAAGTTTAAAACTATTTCATTTAATTTAAAAGCTAAGTTATCACAGTCTTATAAAAGAATTTTAAAATTCCCTACATTTTATTACATAAAAGTACAATTGGTAAAACAATTTACTACTAAAACTCAAAGTTTTCCTTTCACTATAATGCAGAATATTACTCTAAACACATAACTCATGTATCACAGGAAAAATGTTAAAAGTCAGCCATAAAGAGCCTCTCCAATTGGATTTTCAATATACATCTTACATTTTAATATCCTTACTCTTCCACGGAAAAGTTAATGAATTATGCCTACCTAATAAGAAAGGAATCTCTCAGATTTCTGATGCAACAGAAATTGATGACATGCTTTTACACAAACAACAGGAAAAAAGGAACAGAATGAAGCAATTTTACAGTTGAATTACCTCACTATTTGCTTTTCAAAAAATCTACATTTTTTTCAAGGAAAAACATATACCTTGAATGTAATTATAACTCTCCAAAAAATAATCTTCCACTCCTCTTAAACTTATATACAAATAAATTATCCAACAGTTTTAGCTTTGGATTACTTTCTATACAGAACATTCTGATTTCGTGTAACGTCTTAAGTGCCAGTGCCTTAATTCTTCCTACTGTGAATTTTCTAAAGTTTACAAAGACTTAATTTTGACTAAATATTTTTACACATGTATTCCATCTGCAAAAATATCTTTTATTATAAACTGCATGGTGTTTTTTAAGCTGTAGTTTCTGAACAAATGTTTTTCCACATTTATTACATTTGTATGGTTTCCTTCAACATAAATTCTCTGATGCTGAACAAGTTTGAGTAATTCCTTTAGAGTTTTCTTCTAGCATAAAATCTGTACATTATATAGGGCAAGTAAAGGTATTACAACCCTCTTTATATTTGTAATGTTTGTCTCCAGAGTACTCTTTTTTAAGGGTTTAAATTTTTCAAGGTCTTTCAAAAGTAATTACATTTATAATAATTTTATTAAGTATGAACTTCCTGATGTTGACTATGATGTGAGCAAATAGAAGTGGCTTTTCCACACTCTGTATAATTTTTCAAGTATAAATGCCTTTATGTGCCATAAGGTATGAGCATGTTAGAAGTTTTGACACATTCTTTGTTTGTAGAGATTTTCTCCACTATTAATTATTTTATCTACAGTAAGATGTGACAACCATTTAAAGACCTTGCCACATTGTTCAGTTTTCTGAGGTTTCTCACTGATATTTCTCCAATGCTTAGGAAAGTCTGAGGTGTATTCATAAGCTTTGCCAAACTTTTTTAGGTTCATAGGAATAATCTTTAGTATGAATTATGGCTGGATATATTTGAGCAATACTTAAAAGATTTTGCCACAGTCTTCCGATTTGTATGATTTTTTTTCCAGTATGAATTCTCATAAGTTTAGTAAGGCTAAAGGACTGGTTAAAGGCTTTCCCACATTCTTTACATTTGTGGGATTTCTCTTCAGTATGAACTCTCTTATGTCAAGTAAACTTGAGCAACAAAAAAAAGTTTTGCCACATTCTTGACATTTGTAGGGTATCTCTCCAGTATGAACTCTCTTATGTTTAGTAAAGTTTAAGGACCAGTAAAAGGCTTTGCAACATTCTTCACATTTCTGGATTCCTCTCCATTATGAATTCTCTTATGTATAGTGAGGCCTGAAGACTGCTTAAAAAGCTTTGCCACATGCTTCACATTTGTAGGGTTTCTCTCCAGTATGATTTCTCTTATGTTCATTCAGTTTTGAGGAGTGTTTAAAGACTCTGACACATTCTTCGCATTTATAGGGTTTCTCTTCAGTACGAATTGTCTGATGTATAGTAAGCTCAGAGGACCACTTAAAAGCTTTGCCGCATTCTTCACATTTGTACAGTTTCTCTTCAGTATGAACTATCATATGCTTAGTAAGGCTTGAGGAATAGTAAAAGCCTTTGCCACATTCTTCACATTTGTAGGATTCCTCTCCACTATGAGTTATCTTATGTTCATTCAGTTTTGAGGATAGTTTAAAGACTTTGCCACATTCTTCATATCTGTAAGGTTTCTCTCCACTATGAATTATCTTATGTACATTAAGGTCTAAAGACTTCTTAAAAGCTTTGCCACATTCTTGACATTTGTAGTGTTTCTCTTCAGCATGAACTATGTTATTTTGAATAAGGTTTGAGGAACAGTAAAATGCTTTGCCACATTTTTCACAATGGTATGGTTTCTCTCCAGTATGAATTTTCTTATATATAGTAAGATTTGAAGACCCTTAAAAGCTTTGATGCATTCTTGACATTTGTAGTGCTTCTCTCCAGTATGAACTATCATGTTTAGTAAAGCTTAAGGACCAGTAAAAGGCTTTACCACATTCTTCACAGTTGTAGGGTTTCTCTTCAGTATGAATTCTCTTTTGTATAGTAAGCCCCAAAGACTGCTTACAAGCTTTGCCACATTCTTCACATTTGCAGGGTTTCTCTCCCGTATGAATTCTCTTGTGTATAGTAAGGTTTGAAGACCACTTAAAAGCTTTGCCACATTCTTGACATTTGTAGGGTTTCTCTCCCCTATGAATTATCATATGTTTAGTAAAGCTTAAAAACCAATAAAAGGCTTTACCATATTCTTCGAATTTGTAAGGGTTCTCTCCAGTATGAATTCTCTTATGTAGAGTAAGGCCTGAAGGTTGCTTAAAAGCTTTGCCACATTCTTCACATTTGTAGAATTTCTCTCCAGCATGAGCTCTCATATGTTCATTCAGTTTTGAGGATTGTTTAAAGGCTTTGCCACATTCTTCACATTTGTAGGGTTTCTCTCCACTATGAATGATCTGATGTATAGTAAGGTTCGAAGACCACTTAAAAATTTTGCCACAATCTTTACATTTGTAGGGTTTGTCTCCAGTATGAACTATGTTATGTTGAGTAAGGCCTGAGGAATAGTAAAAAGCTTTGCCACATTCTTCACATTTATAGGGTTTCTCTCAAGTATGAATTCTTTTATGTTCTTTCAGTTTTGAGGATTTTCTAAAGGCTTTGCCACATTCATCACATTTGTAGGGTTTCTCTCCCATATGAATAATCTTATGTATAGTCAGGTTTGAAGACTATTTCTTCACATTTGTAGGTTGTATCTCCAGTATAAATTTTCTTATGTTTATTCAGTCTTGAAGATTGTTTAAAGGCTTTGTCACATTCTTCACACTTGTAGGGTCTCTCTTTAGTATGAATTCTCCCATGTATAGTAAGACCTGAAGACTGCTTAAAATCTTTGCCATATTCTTCACATTGGTAGGGTTTCTCTTCAGTATGAATTATCTGATGTTGTCTTAGGTGTGAGAACCTGTGAAAGAATTGGCCACATTCTTTACATTTGAAAGGTTTCTCTCCAGTATGTCTTCTCCTAAGTCTATTTGAATTTGAAAATTTCCTTAAGACTTTCACACATGTATTACATTGAAGTATTTTGCTCTGAGTAATCGACAAACATTGGTTAAGTTCATTATAACCTCCTTCCTGCACCTTAGATGCATTCAAACTTTTACAGCCTTTTCTTATTTGTAAATTCTCATGTCTGCATTTCCCATATCTTCTCAGCATCACTTTTTGAAATGAATTTTTTATGTTCTGATCTAGCCAAAGGTCTTGGGTGAAATGAGAACACAGCTGAAAGAAATAAAAATAACAAATTATCTCACTAGGCCCATGTAAATATACAAATCTATTGTTTACAAATCTAATACATAAAATTATACAAAGTACATTAGCAACATGGCATAACAAAAATACCACAGGTCTTAATTCTTTTATAGACTTATAACAAAACTGTACTGACCAAAATGTCTTTATGGAAAATCTAGAAATGAGTTAAGTGTGTTCAGTGTACCAGGTGAGCAAAATGCCACAAGCCATACTGAATGGATAGAAAAGTTTGTTACATTTGCCCAACACCTTTACTCCTCCATAATGCAGCATGGCACTTTTAGAAGTAAACTGCAATGCCTGGCATCTTCCTCAATATAGAAAAAGAAAAAACTGGCTCGTGTATTTTTACTTCTGGCTTCTGGGCACTTTTACAGAGACTTGTTTCTGTCTCCAATGACAAAATGTGCTGAAAGAAATGATGGTATACTTTGAAATAACAGCTTGAGTCTGCTGAGACCAAAGGTAAATGTTACAGCAACAAACTACAGTACCACAGACATGCAATATGTACAGGAAGTAATTACAGACTGTTAAGAAACACAGACAAACCTCTTTAACTGAATAATCAACACAAAATTCCACACAAGACACATCATAACATATTTGATAGGCTCCCAGAATCTCTAGTTGAGACAACTGGTTTCAGATTATGTCAGGACAATACCGCATTATAAAGATTGTGAGAGGTAGCTGTTTGTTAATGTCCAAATCTCAACCAAAGAGTACAATACATACAAAATATTACAGTGACATGGCCTAAGAAGTAAAAAAAAAAAAACTTAAAACTGTCAGAAAACAACCATGAAAATAAAGATGTACACATTAATTTTAAAAATTTAACCTAAATGGGAACACAGGTAACTAAATAAAATCAGAAAAAAATAGAATATCAAGTAAAAGATGAAAAATATAATAGAAATTATGGAAGTAGAAAATAGAAATAGAAATAATACCTGAGGCCAGGTGCAGTGGCTCATGTCTGTAGTCCCAGCACTTTGGGAGTTTGAGGCAGGCAGATCACTTGAACCTAGGGAGTTCAAGTTTAAACTGGGAAACATGGCAATACTTCTCCTCTATAAAAATTAAAATTAGTCAGGTGTATTGGCACACACCTGTGGTCCCAGTAAAGAGGAGGCTGAGGTAGGAGGATCACATAAGCCTAGGGAACCCAAGGCTGCAGTAAGCTGCAATCATGCCACTGTACTCAAACCTGGGTGACAGAGCAAGACACTGTCTCAAAAAATTAAGAATACCTGAGAAATTCTCAAAAGTAAGAAAATAAGGTTGTAAAAATGAAGAAGCTCAACATACTAAAACTAGGAAACATACAGATCCATAACAAGACATGCAAAGCAAAGTTCCCAAAGTCACAGACAAGAAGAGAATCTCAAATGCTGGAAAATACATAATTATGGTTGCATGATATAACCAGTGACTCTTTCAACAAAAACCTTGCAGGCCAGAAGGAAATTGTGTGCTATAGTTGAGGTGCCAAGCGAAAAATAGCTTCTATGTAAGAATAACATAACCAGCAAAACTGTGCTACAAAAATGAAGAAAAAGCAAAGACCTCTAAAGATAACCAAACGTGGAAAAATTATATCAACACTACATGTGCCATACAAAAAATGCTGAGAAGAGTCCTCCTATTAAAACTATATGATGCTAAAAAACAAAACTATCATATAAAAATAGGTAGCTTTCTAGGAAAGATATAAAGATATGCAAATATTATAGAAAAAATATCCTGTAGCATTATTATAATACCAAAAAATGTTTTATTTAACTATTCTCTAAAATTTAAAGATAAAAGCTAAAAATAATAATGAACATCTGTTAATAAATACATAACATAAATAGATATGTTTAGTGACATCAATAACTAAGTTGAGGACAGATGTAATAAGAAATAATTTGTGCATGAACCCGAATTTAAATTTCACCACTTCAAAATATATTGTTGAAATTTTAAGAGGTTTTTATATAATCCTGAAGGCACCCACAAAGAAAATGTCTGTACAGGTACAAAAAAGGAAATAAGAAAGTAGTGACAGCCTATCCATACAAAAATCAAAAAGACACAAAGGAAGATAGAATGAGAAACAGACCTACAAGAATCATTAAACAATAAAATAACAGTAATCTTTGTCTTCAGAAAATAAATATTTTAAAAATAGACTTGCCAATCAATACACATACATTGAATAGAGGGATTATATAAAATTTTATATACCAAGATACAACTTGCCTCTCTTCAAGAGTCACTTGAGATCTAGTAGTGAAATCAGCCTGAAAGTGGCAAGTGGAAGAAGACATTTTAGGCAAACATCAACCAAATGAGAGCAGAAGAGATCAAAATTGTATTATACAAAATACATCGTAAGTCAACAACTCTCTTATTTTATAAAATATACTTTATGTCAAAATTCACAAGAGAAAAAAAGGTCATTAAACAATAATAAAGATATCATTTATTGAAAATGTATGACAAATATGTGCATACATATATTTATATGTTTGTGTCTGTACATATATTTCTCATATTAGGTTTCCTAAAATACAAAGCAAAAATTGACAGAATTAAAGCAACAAATAGAAAGCAATATTATTATAATAAGATATTTTAATACTTCAATTTCTGCAATGAACAATAAAACAAAACAATATTAATAATGGAAAAGAGGGCCAGGTACGGTGGCTCACGCCTGTAATCCCAGCACTTTGGGAGGCCAAGGCAGGCGATCACGGGGTCAGGAGATGGAGACCATCCTGGCTAACACGATGAAACTCGGTCTCTACTAAAAACACAAAAAATTAGCAGGAGGTGGTGGCAGGTGCCTGTAATCCCAGGTACTCAGGAGGCTGAAGCAGGAGAATGGCATGAACCCAGGAAGTGGCGCTTGAAGTGAGACGAGATCGCACCACTGTACTCCAGCCTGGGTGAGAGCAAGACTCTGTCTCAAAAAAAAAAAAAAAAAAAAAGGAAAAGAGAAACTGAAAGCAGTACAGATGGGAACAAGTGGCTCATGCTTGTAATTCCAGCACTTTGGGAGGCCAAGGAAGACAGATTACCTGAGGTAAGGAGATTGAGACCAGCCTGGCCAACATGGCAAAACCCCATCTCTACTAAAAATAGCCAGGTGCGGTAGCAGGCGCCTGTAATCCCAGCTCCTCAGGAGGCTAAGGCAGGAGAATTGCTTGAGCCAGGGAGGCGGGGTTTGCAGTGAGTCGAGATTGCGGCACTGCAATCCAGCCTCGGTGACAGAGCAAGACTCCATCTCAAAAAGAAAAAATATACAAAGAAAGAAGTATAAAACAATATTATGCCTAACAAAGAACACCCCTTAACAATAGCAGGGTACAACCATTCTCAATAGCTCACATACATTCTCTTTGATAAACTGCCTGTTAGGCCATGATAAAAATAAAAACTTACTAAATCTTTAAAAATTGAAATTGATAGATTACTTTTTATGACCAAAATGGAATGAGAGTAGAAATCAACAAAAACAAAACTAAAAAATTTACAAATACATGAAAATTAAACAACACACTCTTCAGCATGCTCAAAGGGTAAAATAATTAATATTCAGCATGATCGAAGGGTAAAATAACTAATATTGTGAAGATGCCCATACTGCTCAGTGTAATCTACAGATTTAATGCAATCCCTTTCAAATATCTAATTTTATTTTAGCAGAAATAGAAAAAGCAACCCCCAAATTATATGAAATTTTAAGAAACAATGAAACACCCAATAATCTTCAAAGAGAGGAACAACGTTGGAGGCATCACAACTCCCTGATTTCAAAACACATTTTATAGAGTTAAAACAATTTGGTTTGGTTATAAAAAGTGAACTAGACCAAATAAAGAGAATGTAGTATAAACATAAACTCTCACACATATAATCACAGGAAGAGTTATTTGCACATCCATAATTTTTTTTTTTTAGATGGAGACTCGCTCTGTTGCCCAGGCTGGAGTGCGGCGGCACAATCTAGGCTCACTGCAACCTCTGCCTCCCAGGTTCATGCCATTCTCCTGCCTCAGCCTCCCAAGTAGCTGGGACTGTAGGTGCCCGCCACCATGCTTGGCTAATTTTTTGGTATTTTTAATGGAGATGGGGTTTCACCGTGTTAACCAGGTTGGTCTCGATCTCCTGACTTTATGATCCACCCACCTTGGGCTCCCAAAGTGCTGTGATTACAGGCGTGAGCCACCACGCCCGGCTGCACATCCATAATTTATACAGCATTGTTATTGACAGGCAATAGGTGAAAGCAATGCAAATTTTTCTCCCCAGATTACTGGATAAATATAATTTGAAACATAAAAATAATGGAATATTACTCAGTGTTTAAAAACAGGGAATACAGTCCGGGCACAGTGGCTCACACCTGTAATCCCAGCACATTGGGAGGCCGAGGTGGGTGAATCACCTGAGTTTGGGAGTTCGAGACCAGCCTCACCAACATGGAAAAACCCCGTCTCTACTTACAAAAATTAGCCGGGCATGGTGGTGCATGCCTGTAATCCCAGCCTCCTCTCAGGAGGCTGAGGAAGGAGAATGGCTTGAACTTGGGAGGCGGAGATTGTGGTGTGCTGAGATCACTGCACTGCAGTCCAGCCTGGGCAACAAGGGCGAAACTCCGTCTAAAAAAAAAGGAAATATTCTAACAACCATAACAAACTTTCATGAAATTATGCAGGACAACATATGTCAGCCACAAAAAATACTGTATGAATCCACTTACATGAGATATTTAAAGCAGTTAGACTCAAAAACAGGGAAACAGAATTGTTTGTAAAGGGCCAGAAAATGGGAGAAATGAGTAACTGTTTAATGTGTATTCAGTTTTAGTTTTGCAAGACAAAAACATTCTAGAGATATATTGTATAATAATGTCAATATAATTAATATAAACTACATATTTTTAAATTAAGATTCTAAATTTTATGTTCTTGATAATTAACAATAAACAGTAATAATACCTAAAAAAGGAACAAAATTGACAGTTTTTAAAATTACCTTCAAATCAAAAAAGTGTTTCTCCCACACCAAAATAGATTCCCAAATAGATATTACAAGTAGGAGAATTTTTATGACTACTCAGATAAAACGACCATTGATCACTTACAAACATACAAGTCATAAACAATACAGAAATAATATGTGTATACAAAAACACAGAAATTATTATATTGGGAATAGACATATGACTGATTCATATGTAACTTTGTCTCCACGCTGTCTTAAAGTGTACAGAGTTGAATATTGTCATTCACAATTGTCACACAAAATAAAAACTAAAAACACAATTAACTGATGTGACGTGGCATACTCTAAAATATGAAACAAAAATGAAATAAAATTGGCTGGGCATAGTGGCTCACGCTTGTAATCCCAGCACTTTGGGAGGCTGAGGCGGGCAGATCACGAGGTCAGGAGACCGACACCATCCTGACTAACACGGTGAAACCCCATCTCTACTAAAAAATACAAAAAAATTAGCTGGGCATGGTGGCGGGCACCTGTAGTCCCAGCTACTAGGGAGGCTGAGACAGGAGAATGGCATGAACCTGGGAGGCGGAGCTTGCAGTGAGCCGAGATCGTGCCACTGCACTCCAGTCTGGGCGACAGAGCAAAACTCTGTCTCAAAAAAATAAAATAAAATAAAGTAAAATGAAATAAAATAAAATTGCAAAACAAAATGAAAACATGGAATGTTAAACTTACTGAACACCATTAAGTAGATTACTACATTTGGAAAAGAAATCTTAGAAGACGAATGTAGGGAAAAAGTAGTAGAGGGGTTATTTGAAGATAAAAGAGGATGAGAACTTTCCTAATTTTTATGTGATAAAAGAAAAACTAATACCAATCAACACTGTTTGCTTTGAAATTATTTGGAATTATTCTGGAATTAAAAATAAGGAAACAATAAAGAACTTACAAAATAAACAAAAGGTGAAGGCATTTATCATCACCGGCATGGTCCCACAAGAAATGCTACATGGTGGCCAGGCACCAGTGGCTCATGTCTGTAATCCCAGAGTCTTGGGAGGCCAAGGCAGGCAGATTAGTTGAGGCTAAGAGTTCAAGATGAGCCTGAGTAACATAGTGAGATGCTGTTTATTTTTTTATTGCCAAAAAGAGTCCATATGTTGAAAAATATAATGATGCTGACAGCCTTAAAAAACTACATGAAACTATAAAGCTTTCTGTTAAATGTAAATATATAAACACATATACAGTGGTTTACTACCATAATCATGAAGCAAAATCTCTTAAAATTCTGCTATAGAATTTCAACAAAAAAATCTGCACAAATCTGTTAATAGATATAAAATATAAAACAATATTTATAATAATAAAAAACTACAGGATGTAAGCGTGGGCACAATGGCTCATGCCTGTAATCCCAGCACTTTGGGAGGCCGAGATGAGTGGATCACGAAGTCAGGAGTTCAAGACCAGCTTGGCTAAGATGGTGAAACCCCGTCTCTACTAAAAATATGAAAAATTAGCCGGTCGTGGGGGTGGGTGCCTGTAATCTCAGCTACTTGGGAGGCTGAGGCAGAGCATTGCTTGAACCTGGGAGGCGGAGGTTGCAGTGAGCCGAGATCACACCACTGCACTCCAGCCTGGGTGACAGAGCGAGACTCCGTCTCAAAAACAAAACAAAACAAAACAAACAAGCAAAAAAAACACTACAGGATGTAAAGAGGTATAGTTTTTGTATTCAACTGAAGTTATGACATACTAATATTGTTATAACTTTAAAATGTTTTACATAATCTCCAATTACCTAGATAATACAAGTTTATAGAAAGTATGCAATTCAAAATGAGAAAGGAAACAAAGCATAACACTACAAAATCAAAAAAGCAAAAATTAAGACAGTAAAATAGGAAATTATGGAAAACATCTCTACAAGAAACACAGAAAATAATAACAATCAAAATGGTAATAGTAACTTCATTTCTCTAAGGAATCATTTTAAATGTAAATTGATTAAACTAATAATAAGAAATTAAATGACTAAATGGAATAAGAACAAACAAAATCACACAATATGCAAAAAATCACACAGTATTCTTGTTTGAACTTGGTGTACTCTTTTAGGACACATAAGAAGCCTTATTAAGTTTAAGAAGACTAATCAGGTGTGGTGGCTCATGCCTGTAGCCCCAGCACTTTGGGAGGCAAGGACTGGAAGATTGCTTGAGACCAGGATTTCAAGATACTCACTTTAACTTTGATTCAAATAGGTTGAAAGAAACAGAATGAAGAAACATATTCCATGCAAACAGTATCCACAATTAAGTGAGGTGGTCATAATTATATTAGACAAAATACGCTGTAAATCAAAAACTAGCATGAGGTAAAGATTGTTACTATATAATGGTAACATTGGTCATTTACCAGGAATCTATAAGTATTATATCTATTTAAAAGATCAGGGTTCCAAAATGTATAAAGCTAATATTGACAGAAGTGAAGCAAAAAATACATAGCAACATAATAATTACAGACATTAAGACCCCACTTTAATAATCAGTGAAAGTTTAGATAAAACATCAATAAGAGAACAAAACCTGGATGACATTATAAATTGTATTAATTCATTTTATATTGCAATAAGTACCTAAGACTGTGTAATTTATAAAGAAAAAAGATTTGTTTTCTTCATAGTTATGCACAATGTACAATAAGTGTGGTGCCAACATCTGCATCTGGTGAGGGTCTAAGTAAGCTTACAATCATGGTGAAGGCAAAGAGAAACCAGACATATTGCATGGGGAGAGAGGGAGCAAGCATGAAAAGAAAGTGCCAGGTTCTTTAAACACGCAGCTCTCATGTGAATTAACAGAATGAGAACTCATTGATCACCACGGGGATGGTGCGAAGTCATTTACAAGAGATTTGCTCCCATGACCTAAACACACCACACAAGGATCCACATCCTACATTGGGAATCCCATTTCAACATGAGATTTGAAGGGTACAAACATCCAAATCATATCATAGACCAACTACACATTAAAAATATGTACAGGACTCTACAGTAAAAAGGAACAGATTACATAATATTCTTGTTTGAACTTGGTGCATTCTGTTAGGACACATAACAAGTCTTATTAAGTTTAAGAAGACCAGCCAGGTGTGGTAGCGCATGACTGTAGCCCCCAGCACTTTGGGAGGAAAGACCACTTGAGACCAGGATTTCAAAACCAGCCTGGGCAATATAGTGAGAACCCGCATTTCTACAAAAAATCAAAAAACTAGCCAGGCGTGAAAGCACACGTATGTAGTCCCAACTACTTGGGATGCTGAGGTGGGAGGATTATTTGAGCCTCGGAGGTTGAGGCTGCAGTGAGCCAAGATTGTACCACTGCACTCCAGCCTGAGTGGCACAGTGAGAATCTGTCTCTCAATAGCAACAAAAATAAATAAATAAATTTAAGATGACTAAAATTATACAGTTACATTTTCTGACTAAAATAAAATGAAACGACATCAAAATCAAGAGATAAACTGGCAAATTCAAAAATACATGGAAATAAAACACACTCTTTAATATATTCTTGCTCAAGGTCCAGATAATTTAATCTAAATGTGAAAACAACTCACGGTGGTGAAGAAATTCCAATGGTACATTGTTGACCAGAAATATTGTTTAAAACTCTTTAAATTGATTATGAGCTAAAACTAGCCAAACACCCATTAGAAAGAACAAAGAGGCATTGTATTTCCTGATTTCAAAATATATTAAAAAGCTATAATAAACAAAAGCAATGTGGTACTAACAGAGACAAATAAACAGATGATAGAACAAAATAGCCCAGAAATGAACCCTTCTTTATATAATCAAATAATCTTCCACAAAGTAGCCATGACTACACAATAGAGAAAAGAAAATCTCTTCAACAAATGATGTTGCAAACTGAGTATCTACGCTGAAGAAAATAAAGTTGGATTATTTTCTTGCACATTTTAAGTAAAATAATGAAACTAAAAAACATATAACGAATACAACTCTTAAAAGAAAAAAATAGGGAAAATACAGAACACTGGTTTTGGCACTTTTTTGTAGATATGACATCATACTTATGAAAAACATAAAAACCCCCATAATTTAACTATGCTAAACTTCAAATTTTCAGCACACCAAAGAAAATATTTAGTAGAATGACAATGCCACTGAAGAAATGGGTGAAAATATTCGCAAATTACATGTGATGAGTTAATATTCAGAATTATAAACAACTAAAACTGAACAACTAACATTGAATAAATTGATTTAGAAATGGACAAAGAATTGAACTGATGTTTAATCAAAAATATATATGTAAGTAGAAAAAAGCACTTAAAATAATGCAAAAAAGGACCAATTGTAGAGAAATACAAAACAAAATTACAATCCAAAACAAAACCACCTCATACCCATTAGAATGGCCATGATAAATTTTTAAAATGCCAAATCTGTTGAGGATGTAAAGAAATTAAAACTCATGTGAATGGTTGGTGGGGAAAAAAGGATGCAACCATCATATTATGAATGTTTCTTAAAAATTAAATTACATAATTCAGGAATTCCATTTATAAAACTATATTCAAATATAAATCATATTATTTGACTGGAATATAAAATATATTTTTATATATTAATATATTTATAAATGGAATCCAAGAATTCCACTTATAAATCTATATTCAAACATAAATATAAATGTATATTCCAAATATAAATCTATATTCAAACAAAGAACCTGGAAGATATACTTGAATATATATTTGAAATATTGGTATAATAAATATATTGTACCAATATTTATACATTTAATATATATTAATGTAATATATATTAACTATATTATACCAATATTTATATATTTTATATATACTAATATAATATATATTAAATAAATATATATTATATAAGTAAATATATATTTAATATATATGTTAAATATATAAATATTGGTATCATATATTTATTATACCAATATATTATATAAATATATACACATATATTTATATATACACTATATATATAAATATAGTATACCAATACTTACAAAAGCCAAAAGGCAGAAGTAACCCAGATATCCCTTGACTGATAAACAAATTAAAAATGTGACATATACATACAGTGTAATATTATTCAGCCTTAAAATAGTAAATCTGTCACATTCTTACATAAACGTTGAGAATATTATGTCAACTGAAATAAGATAGTAATAAAGTGACAGATACTATATGATTCCATGATATGAGTCATCATAAGTAGTCAAATAGAAACAGAAAGGAGAATGGTGTTACTCAAGGTCTAAAGAGAGGGTAAAATGGGCAGTTGTTACTTAATGGGTATTGTTTTAATTTTAGAAGACGTAAAAGTTCTAGAGATCTTTACATAACAATGTAAATACTCTTAACGACTACAATGTACAACTTTTTTGAGGTAGGTTCTCACTCTGTCCTGCAGGCTAGAATGAAGTCACATAATCATAGCTCACTGCAGCCTCAACCTCCCATGCACAAGTGATTCTCCTGCCACGGCCTCACAAGGAGCTAGGACCACAGGTGGAAAACCCAACACCTGGCTAATTTTAAATTTTTATGGGGAAGGTCTCTCTATATGCTGTGCAGGCTGGTCTCAAGTTCCTCAGCTTAAGCAATACTTCTGCCTCAGTTTCCCAAAGTGCGGGCATTATAGGCATGAGCCTCCACCACACTCAGCACTGAAATATAGACTTAAAAAGCTTTAAGATGGTAAATTTTATGTTATGTGTTTTCACAATTTTTTTTGAAAACAACTACAGGTGATATAGGTCTTTCTATAAATCACAAAATATATAAATATATAAATATAAATCACCGTCAAATCACTAAAGTGTTTCTCTCACACAAAGAAAATATATATATTTATCATTAAACACCTGGTGAATATACCACTGTTTCTATGACTACTCACCTTCACATAATAAGACAACTATTGAAAATCAGCAAAGAAGGCTGGGCGTGGTGGCTCACTCCTGTAATCCCAGAACTTTGGGAGGCCGAGGCAGGCGGATCACCTGAGGTCAGGAGGTAGAGATCAGCCTGGCCAATATGGTGAAACCCCATCTCTACTAAAAATACAGAAAAATTAGCTGGGCATGGTGGCAGGCACCTATAATCCCAGCTACTCGGGAGGCCGAGGCAGGAGAATTGCTTGAACCTGAGAGGCGGAGGTTGCAGTGAGCAAAGATTATGCCACTGCACTCCAGCTGGGCCTCTACTGTGGCCTGCAGACCTTGGCCTCTACTGTGGCCCCTAAAAAAGTTCAGTGACTCAGTTTCAGCTGTCTTTGCCACAGTTCACAACAATTCCTGCCAACACAGGAACCCACACAGTGATGTGGAAAAAAACTTCCAAATACTCAGTGGTAGCCACACTTACCACATCCCGATATAAGGTCCACCATATGCACAGACAATTGCAGAAATCTGTCCTCGTTTCTGCACTATAAATAAAAATCCTGAAGGAAATCCAGCCCACCCAGACATTAGATGGGAATCACAACAACCAAAGCCCCTGGTAAAAAGTCACTTCAAAGTTGAATCCACTGCATACGCAGCAGCCTTGTGACACAGTTATAAACTCTTCCCTACTACAAGCTCATAGGGCATCCCATTACCCTGTGGACCCATTACCCTGGGGACCCAACAAAAGGAGATCTGTACCTCCTGAAACCAGTTTATAAAAAATTAAAGAGCTGTTTGCTTCTTCAAATTTATAGACACCAGGGTAAGGCTACATGGTTCCATTGTCAATGTTTCTATTTTAACATAGCAGTGAAAGTACTTTGCAGAAGAATTAGTCAAGAAAATGACCCTAAAAATGACATTCAAATTGAGGAAAAGAATTAAAATGTTGCTGTTTGTAGGTGACATGATCTTATATATAGAAAACCATAAACAATACATCAAAAACTAACAAATGCCCTCAGAAAATTGGCAATATATAAAATTAACATATAATTATCAGTTATGATTCCATATGCTAACAACAAACCACCTGATAAAAAAGGAAGAAAACAATCTCATTTCCAACAGAATTAAAATAATAAATTTCTGAAAAATAAATTTAACAAAGAAGGCAAAAGGTCTTTACACTGAAACATATATTGTGAAAGAAATGGAAGAAGTCACAAACAAATGCAAAAAGATTGCATGTTTATGAACTGGAAGAATAAATATTATAAAGTGCCATATGAGTCAAAGTGATCTACAGTTTCAATGAACTCTCTATTAAAAATCCAGTGACATTTTTCACGGTAATGGAAACTACAATTCTAAAATTTGCATGAAACTACAATAGGCTTTGAAAAACCAAAGCAATCTAGAGGAAAAGGAACAAAACAACCAAACTTCATACTTTATGATTTCAAACTATATTTTAAGACTGTAGTAAAAAAAAAGATGATACATGCAAAATATGGACACAAGAAAACAATGAAACAGAATAGAGCCCAGAAATAAACCCAGGCATATAAAGTTTACTAATCTTTGACAAGTGCACCAAAAATACACAATGAACAAAGTATAGTCTTTTTAATATTTGGTTCTGAAAAAACTGGATACCTCCAGGCAAAAGAATAAAACTAGCTTATTTTTCTTACACCATGCTAAAAGTTAAATTACAGACTTAAATATGAATCCTTAAAAAATCTGAAAAAAAAATACATGGAAAACCCTCATGATATGGTCTTAACAATAATTTGTTAGACATAATACCAAAAGTACAGCAACAAAAGCAAATATAAACAAGCTGGACTGCATCAAACTAAAAACCTTCTGCACAGAAAAGGGAACAATAAAATAAAAAAATTTGTAGAATGGGAAAAAATATTTGCAAACCATACATCTGATAAAAGATTGATATACAAAATATATAAGAAATGCAAGCAGATTAAAAGCAAAAACAACAGTAACCCAGTTCAAAATAGGCAAAAAACTAAACTGATATTTGTCCAATGAAGACATACAAATGGCCAAGAGATAAGCCATAAAGTACTCAATATCACCAAATATCTGGCAATTGCAAATCAAAACCATGATGAGTATCATTTCAAACATGTTAGAATGTATAATGTAAAAAGAAGAAACATAACAAGTGTTGACAACACTTTGAAGAAAAAAATTCTGTACATTCTTGGAGAGTTATAAATTGATGGAGTCATTACAAAAACCAATAGAGGTTATTTGAAATACAGAACTACTGCACAATCTAGCAATAGTAGTATTGTGTATATAATACTGTTTATATAACAAAAGGAAAAGAAATAAGTAACTTGAAGACATATCTGTACCACCATATTTGTTGCAGCATTATTCACAATTGCCAAGATATAAAAAACCTAAATGTTTGTGGATGCTAAATAAAGAAAAGCTGGTGTAAATAAACAATAGAATATTATTTAGCCTGAAAAATAACAAAATCTTGCCATTTCAACAACATGGGTAGAACTGGAAGACATTATGCCAAGGGAAATAAGCCAGACACAGAAAGGGAAATACTGCACATTCTCACTTATATGGGGAATCTAAGAAAGATGAACTCACAGAAGCAGAGACTACAATGAAAGTTGTCAGGGACTAGATATGGGAGAAAATGAAAAGATGTTGAAAAGGCACAAATTTTCTGTTATGAGTAAGTTTTTCAAATGTAATGTATAGCTTCATGATACAGTTAACACTAAATTTTTGTATGCTTAAAATTTGGTGTCAGCAGATCTCAGATGTTTTCATTACAAAAAAGGTACCTATGTGAGGAAAGGTGATAGAAATGCTCATAAACATAATTGTGCTCATCATTTTACAATCTACACATGCAGTAAGTCATTACATTGTACACAATAAATATATAGAGAATTTTTATTTGTAAAAAAATCCACAGTACACACCTACATATATATACACACATATAAATTACAGTTCTGGTAAACTTTATCCTAAACAAGATAAAATTACAAAATAGTAATTTAAAAAACAAGGAAAGAAGTGGGAGCTTAAAATATGCTCAGTAATGTTCTAAGTTCCTTGACATAGTGAATTGAAGAAATGGAGGAAATATCTACGTTACATTACAGTTGAGAAATTAAGACAGAATTGAAATTACCAACCTCAGTTAGTACTAAAAGAATAATAATATCAATTCAAATAACATTAGATATTCTTAAAGAGATACTTAATATTCTGATTAAATTACTGAGTATGAATTTCTGTAGAAACACATATGAAACCTCCATAAAATAAGAAACTATAAAGCAGAAAACATACAACATATGTTTGTTGTATTTCTGGGATTTCTGAACCAAATCTCAATATCACTACTTTTACATATTTCAGACACAATGCAGAAAGCGAACTTAAAAATGGTTAAACACAGGGTTTCTAAAAAATATGCAGCTATTTGTATATCCCCAAAGCAATAAAAGTAGTCAGATTGTGCACTCTTTTATAAGCCGTAAAGAGAACTTTGGCTCTCACTGCAAATCTGAAGAAAAATTATTGAAGAAAATGTAGAGTCATTAGAGAGCATGGGACAGAGGATGCCCCTATGTGAGAACAAGTGAAAAAACCCAGGCTTCTCAGAAATGATATCCACTGGAGCACAGCTTCCCAAATCACATGTAAAAGTCTGGGTTCCTCTCAGCCTTTGGATGTCTCATCTATGTCATCCTCTTCTTCATTCGCTTTCACCCACCTGGGTGCTTCATACTCCATGGCTTTTTCCTTTGCTCCAGACAGGTGACCCGGTCTGGCTTAGAGAAGACAATACCTGTTTTATTTTAAAAAGCAGCATGAGCATGACTTTTCCTGGAATTCTCCATTTACCAACCTAATACTGTTCTAAGTAGAGAAAAGAGGACATAATAGAAGATTCTAGAAAATTAATTACAAAGTACTTTTTACTGACAGAACCTTTAGCATATTCAGAAAGTACATTAAATATGTGGGTCCTCTGTTTCACACCCCAGTATTACTGAATCAAAAATTGGTGGTGGCAATTGAATTTTAAGGTGTGGACAACATTATTTTATGCTGCTAAATTTCTGAAATTACCACTTATCTAGAGTGAATAATATAGATAAACTCAGGAAAGGGGAAAATTCAGGTCAAAATGAAACAACCTGAAGAATTTATTTTCCACACCAAAAAATCCTCAAGATTGTCTTGAAAACAGGGATCTGAAATTTACTCATGCAAAGCAGAAATTACCAAAACACATCCTACAAAGGAAGAAAATGAAACCTTTAGGGTAAATTAGGAATTCTATATTGAAGTTATCCTCAACCAAGAAGACCGGGTTTCTGTAGTTCTGTAACATCACATCCATATACAAATTCTGCTGAGCAGCATCCAGGTATTGACACTCCTCCAGACAGAATTCTACGGCTACATCCCTGAATGTCAACAGTCCCCGAAAACACACACACACCCACTTCAAGTGGCCATGGGCAGAATTTTTAAATTGACTCAAGATAAAATGAGTGAAGAGAACTGATTCTGACTGATGCGACTGAAATTGTCCTATAAAATAATTCCCAACAAAGAAATATTCTCTGTTGTATTCTCTATCTCTGAGAAAAGAGAGCATAAGATTCACAATACCAGTGTAGTGTATTGATATTTTTTGAATGATAAAGTACAAAATTAACAACAGGAACATAGACATGTACATTTTTGAGTGTTCCATTTAATCATACAGTATAAGTTCTGCATATTTCTCAGATTAAAAAGTCAGGCTTACTTATAAAGTACCTCTCAAATTTTAATGTGTACAACAATAAACTGGAGATCATTTTATGCAGATTTTGTTTCAAGAAACCTGAGGTAAAACCTGAGTTTCTGAATTTCTAACAAGCTCACAAGTGACACCAATCTTTCTGGCCCAAGATAAATATTTTGTCAAACATTCATTAAGTGACAGAGCCTGGGTTTTTATGACCAGTAAACAAAGATGAGAGACTTCACTTTTTAAAGAAAGACATATGCAAAGACAATCTAAGAAGAAAAGAGAACTTCCAGATTACATGTGATGCTTTATGCACATCAGCTGGTAAATGTCCCCAGGGTACTCAATAATAAAAAGAAAAATAACTCTACGGTGGAAAAAAATTCTCAGAGAACTATTTAACTAAGCGAATCAAATTAACACCAATTATAACAGAACAAATTTTCATCATGCGCCGATGCTCACAGAAGGACACAATATCACTGCTGGGATACTAGCCCCCGCCAAAGAGGCAAATTATAATTCAAATCTAATCATAAAGAAACAAGTTTTATGCAAAATGCAAACGACAGTAATCGCTCATGTTGTGTAATCTCTATTAAAGTATTTACACAGACTTTCTTTAGCATTCTAGAAAGCGAGTATCTTCTAATTATTTTTTTCAAAACTTTCTGAATTATTCTGGGTAATAAATGCCATCCTGTTCAAATGTGCATATTTTAATCCTGTTCCGCATCGAGTTGATGGAGCACACAGACAGAACTTCAACATTACATATTCCCATTTTTCATGAATATCTAAGAACCCCACCTCTTCCCCAGTAGGAATCTTGGGTATCCATACCTTTCCATGTGCACCAGCACCAGCAACAAAGGGTATTTTTCTTTTTTTTTTTTCTTTGGAGATGGAGTCTCTCTCTGTTGCCCAGGCTGGAGTGCAGCGGCACGATGTAGGCTCACTGCAACCTCCAGAACCTCTACCTCCTGGGTTCAAGTGATTCTCTTGCCTCAGCCTCCCAAGTAGCTGGGATTACAGGCACCCACCACCATGCCCAGCTATTTTTTCTATTTTTAGTAGTGACAGGGTTTCACCATGTTGGCCAGGCTGGTCTCGAACTCCTGACCTCAGGTCATCCACACACATCGGCCTCTCAAAATGCTGGGATAATAAGCATGAGCCACCGCGCCCAGCCAAAGGGAATATTTTTAATATTATGAGTCATAAATTAATGATGAGAATTCTGCATAGCAGAGAAGAAGCCAAGATGAAGAGAATGTCGAGAAGACTCTAGTGTATAGAAAATAATATTTTTTCAGAGTGGTTTGACTATCATGAGAAGAAAAAGTGTTTAAACAAACTTATAGGGAGAAACAGCATAAAGTCAAGAAGTACAGGTTTGTAAGTTCTAAACATATGGCATTCCAGGAGGCAGAGTGAACACTGCTCCTGGTCTGAGACACAGTCACCTGAGAAAAAGCCATTTTTCTCTTCATCGTCCTTCTCTAGGATTTATTCTCAGGTGATATTCTCTGGACAAGTCACACCTGCATCTTGGGAATATGCCTTTAAAGGAATCAGCACAATCTCTTCACCTGCTACCACCACAAACACAGGTAGAAAGATCCAGGCATGCAGAAAATGTCCACTCATTTATGTTCTTTATAACAGGTGAGATTCAAGGACAGTGAGCTCCTCCACAAAGATCAAAATTTATCTTTCTCTTTTCCTGCCACAGATGCCACAATTTCTGCTACAGCAATGGGGATATGGGCCACACTAACTTGTCCCTACTAAATCCAACCATTGGAATGGACCTCCCTTTGGAATAAAGTTTGAACTCAACTCTCATGAATGTATTTTGAATTCCTCATGTTTGACCCTGGCCTCAACCTGGAGTCACATGAGGCACTTAATTATATCAACAAGGATGCTCCCACCCACACCAATATACAGAGCCTGCGGGAAGGGCACAAGTGAAAAGATTTCTGCAACCTGGCCATGGAATCTTAATTAGAAGCCTGGGCCAAGAACCACTTAGCTAAACATTGCCTCTCAAACTTCAGTGTGCATATAAATCATTTGGTAACCCTGGCCCTACACTATGTAATGTGATTCTGCAGGTTTTAAAAGCATCCATGAAAGTGCATTTTAAACACATCTCCTGTCAATGTTGATGTAGCTTCCCCAGACCCATCATTAGTAGCATTTAGCTAGAGAAAGCAGGCATGGAACAAACTCTTACACTCATCACTCATCACAACACAAATACTTCTGATCAAATAAAAAATCAATCTCTATCCTGAAAAACCACATTCTTTGCTAGCTCTTTAACTTCAGAGACAGGAGAAGGCAACAACGTCTGAGTAAGTCTGCACTGAAAAACAACATGTACACATATACTTATGCAATGCTTATTAAGCAGGTACTATGTGCTCCGGAGTATGTTACAGAGCACTGTGCCGGGAACATCACATTATGTGATTTAATCTTCATAACAACTTGAGAGTTGGGTACTAAGTGTTAAATAATTCTCAGAATTTAGATGAAGGGGCCAGCATTGTTTTCTTCCCTGTTTATCTCTTATTGATTTTTTTTTTTTTTTTCGGGACGGAGTTTCACTCTTGTTGCCCAGGCTGGAAGTGCAATGGCACGATCTCAGCTCACCACAACATCCGCCTCCTGGGTTCAAAGGATTATCCTGCCTCAGCCTCCCGAGTAGTTGGGATTACAGGCATGCACCACGACACTGAGCTAAGTTTGTATTTTTAGTAGAGACAGGGTTTCTCCATGTTGGTCACGCTGGTCTCGAACTCCCGACCTCAAGTGATCCGCACACCTTGGCCTCCCAAAATGCTAGTATTACAGGCATGAGCCACATAGCCCGGCCTCTCACTGATTTTTTTTAAAAATGTATAGCATAAGTGATAAATGTAGACAGATGGGAGGGATACAGAAAGGAAAGGGTTAAGTGCAGTTTAAAGGGATTTTTTATTGTGTTTCTTTTACTTTCTTGTGACTTGTGGAGTAACTACTGGGATGGAATGTCTCTACAAGCACTGGTTTTAATTAAAAAGAAAGAAGTTAAGACCTCAAAATATATAGCTTATTGCTCTAATTTATCTGCTTTTGGGTTTCAGAATATTGTGAGCATAAGCTCTGGAGAGGCAGCAGAAGCCACCTCCCAAATCTCTGGTCTCCTCTTATGAGTTCTGTGAGGAGAAACTCCAGGGTGGGACCAGACCTGAATGAGCCTCAGAAAAGGGTGAATCTGGACAGAGCTGGGGTAGAGAAACGGTCCAATGTTGAATTATGATCTCTATGCTGCTGGAGTACTTCTTGTTCTGTCTTTCCTAAGCCTGTCCAAGAGAAACTTAAGAGTTTGTATAATTTTAATCCATTTAGCCACTAATCTATTTTATAACATATAATAACAAGCAATTTAACCAAAACTTTTAGGGCTTCCTAGGATAATTTTATTAGAAAATATGTATTCTTAGCAAGGTAAAAGCAGTAGAAATACAAATAACTCTCCTGTTTGAGAATAGCTCTTCAGGTGGTGACATCAGAAGTCACAACAACATCAGAGTCATCGCCCAAGTCCCCTTAACACTCCCACTTTATTGTATTGACTATATGATGCTTAATTAAACCATTTATCCAGTTGCTCTAGACTGAAAGTTTTTGAATGACAGGGACCCTGACTGCTTCATCTATTTTTCTAAAGGCCATATGAAATGGAGGCAATTTGTTTATCAGTCCAAGTCTCCAGAACTCCTGAATTTTTTGCCAAGGAAACTGGAGAAACTCTCGTCCAGGTACCAACGAAGGAGATTCTTTCTACAAAAGAAGGAACAGACACTGAATGACTCATTTCCCTTCCTCTAACATGGAAGCAGAATTAGGCACTCCTGCCAGTCTGACCTAAGTCTGTACAGGACATCCTGAAATGTCTTAAAGATTCCCGGGTGATTGTGAGAGGATTCCTAGTGACCATAGACTGATGACCATATGTTGATCCAGGTAGGAAAGACTCAAGCTGATTCTAAATAGAAAATGGAACTGCCCTGGTAGAGCTCCAGAACCTGGATCTACATGTGATATCACCTGTTCTGATTAGCTAGGTCTTAGGTAAGAGAAAGGACAAGAATACTCTACTCCAGTATCACATTTTACAAATAGGTAAACTTATGTCATTGCTCTGGGTATTTTGTGGCTTTGATCTCTCCCTGCTGACATGCATGTTTACACTTACAGATTGTGCAACCAGATTCTATTTACACCAGCAGCCTCTCACATAATCATAGCAGGTCACTGGAAAAGATCTGGAAAGCTCAAAGGGTACACTCTGAAGGAAGGGCTTTAAGATTTCTATGCTGACATCTCACAGATCAGAAAATGTCTCCTATGGGTTTTCTGTACATTCTCAATCCAAAATCTGGCTCTCTCCTGTGAATCCCAGGGAGAGCTCAGCTCTTATGTACAGATTACAGGTAAGATCAACCTGACTCTTCATTCTTTGGTGTTACAGCAAGGAGAGTAAAAAAAAAAAGTTTCCATCATAAAGTCTGCTCTAGCACATGATATGTCAGCCTAAAAAGAAAAGGCTAAGGCAACACTCATTTAACTAGAGAGTTTATTTGGGCCAAGACTGAGGATTGAACTCTGGGAGCATAGATTCAAGTTGCCTTGAATGTACACTTTAATTAGCAGCAGTTACAAGTGGATTTACAAAGGCAAAAGAGAGGGACAGGGAGTGGACTGAAACAAAGTTGTTTGTCAGAAATTCTTCTTGATCTACAGAAATAACATTGATGACTAATTGGCTATATATTTTTAAGCTGTGAGGTATTGCTTGTAACATCTAGTGTGGCATTATTAGGTTAATTTATATCTACTTGTAGGAATAGCAAACAGTTTCAAGAGGTAAACACGTAGCTCAAAGGAGGCAGTAGAACATAATTATGTTCTCATTTTTGTGTCCCTCCAGGCCTGATAAAACTAAAAGGACTTGCACTCCTCAGATCAAAGTTATTCTTTTTCCTCTAATCTCAAGACCGAGATTCAGAATTTGGTACTGTAGATTTAGGTCCTGGATGGATGGAGAAATGGCAGGTGTTAACTGCACATTCATGGGAATTTTGGGAGGAGGAGAAAGAGGAACTTTGAGATACTCATGTTTACTCAATGCACACATGTCACCCTAATTGTTCTTCTGGGCCTAATAGTCTCCAACTCAGTTTCAGGTCTCAAGACACTATGGTCACTGAAAGAGGTGAAATGGTTGATTACTGTCCTGTGAATTTTGTCAACCACTTGTAGAAAGGCTTAACCTCTCTATGAGTGGTTGTAGAGGACTATAGATGTGAAACAGGCAGAGACACAAGACTGCCTGCATACTCTGGGGGCAGTGTGCACTTTGAAGCACAACTGACTGGGTTGACTGGAAGCCTGAGGGGGAAAGCTTTCTCTAAAGTGAAGCTTGGTGGGCAATTTATACATATATACAATGTCTGGTAATTGTGAACAGTGTTTGAGAAATATAATTAAAAGGAAAATTATCTCCAATCCTAGAAAAACCCCACAATAACAGAACAGAAAGAAAAGTGTTTTATTGCACAATAAAACCAGAATGTTATGTGACATGAATCACAGACAATCTGCTCAAGAGATTGCAAAGACAGAAAGGTCTCCATAATTAGTCCTCAAGTGGAAGATTTCATGGCATCATTTTTCATACACAGTTTATCCTAAGTTCACCTGGTAATTGGGGAGGCCATCTGTGTATGTTAATTAGTTATATTGAAAGGAAAAATAAACTTCTCACATCTTCACGATAGGAGGTAGTTTTGCAACTTACAGCCAGGTGCCTGCTGAAAGTAGGCTCTGGTTCTTTTACAGACACTGTGAGATAGGATACTATTCTTTTGGCTATTTACATTTCAAAGCAAAGGGTCCCTACTCCCTAGGCCATGGGCTGCAGCAATCCTGCTTGCCCTGTCCTGGTGGCCTGTGTCCCATCTCTTCCCCTTCCATCTACCATTGAGGCACAGCTCACAGCACACAGCTGGCAGCCCACATTCCACATGGACTCCAACCACCACAGCTGCACTCCAGTGTCACATTATGGAGCAGGGTCCCTGAACTGCAGGAGGAGAACCTGCAGGACTCCTGGGTAGGATTGCACTTTTGCAATAATGGAAATGGGAGCAATGTTTCAGCTACGTTTCTATTTATGATGGTGACAAAAAAATACTGCTGGATTCCCAGCATGGGTCTGGATAGAGTGCAAAAGAGTTCTCATTGTGACAGCCCAACTCACTCAGAAACACCATGAGACACTTTTGGGTGTCCCTTCTGAAGACAGACACCGAAAGCATTGAAGAGAAAAACAGCCCTCAGTCTGAATAAAATTGTATTAAGAGGTTAAAAGCATCTGAAAGAAAAATTCAGATTACATATAATATTAGCCAAGTCGACCAGAAAATACTCACTCCCCTGAGACAGTTTCTCTCTAAACACCCAAAATGCACAGCCGCTCTCAACACAAGAAACACAGTGTTATGATGAAAGGGGGCATATTCTCAGCAGAATTTCTTAAGATTTTTCTTCCATATCTGCTGCTCTCTCATCTGCTGGCCATTGGATTGAGGATCTACACTGGAACACATCAGGCAACCTTCACCAGCACTTTTTGATAAAGAATTGGAATTTGACTCTGTTTACATAGTAGAACTATATCTGAGATTGCAACATATCTAACTGAAGACTATTATGATTCATGATTTTTGGGTAGTCACGTCACTTGCATTGATTTGTTCTGTAAGAGTGGCATTCCTAATTTAGTAAAACATAAGAATAGACTGTAAGGCAGGACGCGGTGGCTCACACCTGTAATCCCAGCACTTTAGGAGGCTGAGGCAGGTGGATCACCTAGGTCGAGAGTTGAAGACCAGCCTGGCCAACAGGGTGAAACCCCGTCTCTACTAAAATACAAAAACTAGCCAGGCGTGGTGGCAGACAACTGTAATCCCAGCTACTTAGGGGTTGAGACAAGAGAATCGCTTGAACCCAGGAGGTAGAGGTTGCAGTGAGCTGAGATCACGCCACTGCACTCTAGCCTGGGTGACAGAGCCAGACTCCATCTCAAAAACAACAACAACAAAAAGATAGAATGTAAAATTTTTCTAACCTACTACTCTATCTTTTTTTGTTGTTTTGTTTTTTGAGACAGAGTTTTGATCTTGTTGCCCAGGCTGGAGTGCAATGTTGCAATCTCAGCTCACTGCAGCCTCCACCTCCCGGGTTCAAGTGATTCTCCTGCTTCAGTCTCCTGATTAGCTAGGATTACAAGCATGCACCACCATCCCCTGCTAATTGTGCATTTTTTTTTAGTAGAGACGGGGTTTCTCCATGTTGGTCAGGGTGGTCTCAAACTCCTGACCTCAGGTGATCCGCCTGCCTTGGCCTCCCAAAGTGCTGTGATTATAGGTGTGAGCCACCATGCCCAGCTGACCTATTATTATATCTATGGGATGAATTAATAAGCATGTCAGATTAATATCTACTGTAACAATTAGTAAATTTTCTTTGGATATTAGATATAAATATCTAAGTATAAATAATCTTAATATACTAGTAATGACATACATTTTTAAAATTATCTGTAACCTTCACTCAGTTATAATACTTTATATTTCAAAAGAATAAATAACGATATTAAAATTACTATTTAAGGGATTTATTCATAGTAAATATTGTGGCCTTATATTCACATGATTGTAGAAAATACTGTTTAATTTACATGGATGAATGTTGTCTACTGAAGACTACATAAAACTATGTTAATTCTTTTTTTATTTTTTATTTTTTTTAATTTATTATTATACTTTAAGTTTTAGGGTACATGTGCAAAATGTGCAGGTTTGTTACATATGTATACATGTGCCATGTTGGTGTGCTGCACCCATTAATTTGTCATTTAGCATTAGGTATATCTCCTAATGCTCTCCCTCCCCCATCCCCCCACACTGACCTCACATAGGATTCCAGAACACTGCTGGGTTCTGAGTGTTTGTCCCTCACATAGGATTCCAGAACTGTTCTGTAGTCCTTTGTAAGGGATAAACATTCAGACCCTCGTAGCAGTGTTCCAGAATCCTATATGAGGGACAAAAACTCAGAACCCAGGAGCAGTGTTCTGGAATCCTCTGTGAGGGACAAACACTCAGAACACAACAGCAGTGTTCTGAAACCTTATGTGAGGGACAAACACTCAGAACCCAGCAGCAGTGTTCTGGAATCCTATGTGATGGACAAATACCCAGAACCCATCCACTGTCTTCTGGAATCCTATCTGAGGGACAAACATTCAGACACTTGCAGAAGTGTTCTGGAATCCTATGTGAGGGACAAACAGTCAGCAACCAGGAGCAGTGCTCTGAAATCCTTTGTAAGGGACAAACAAACAGAATCCAGTAGCAGGGTTCTGGAATCCTTTCTGAGGGAAAAACATTCAGACCCTCTTAGCAGTGTTCTGGAATCCTATGTGCGGGACATTCAGACCCTCGTAGCAGTGTTCTGGAAACCAATGTGAGTGCCAAACACTCAGAACCCAGCAGCAGTGTTGTGGAATACTTGTTAAGGAACAAACATTCAGACAATCGTAGCATTGTTCTGGAATCCTAAGTGAGGGACAAACACTCAGAAATGAGCTGCAGAGTTCTAGAATTCTATGTAAGGGACAAACCCTCAGTACCGAGTGGCAGTGTTCTGGAATTCTATGTGAGGGACAAACACTCAGAACAAAGCAGCAGTGTTCTGGAATCCTCTGTGAAAGACAAACACTCAGATCCCAGCAGCAGTGTTCTGATACCCTATGTGAGGGACAAACACTCAGAACCCAGCCACTGTGTTCTGAAATCCTATCTGAAGGACAAACATTCGGAGCCCCGTAGAATTGTCCTGGAATCCTATGTGAGGGACAAACACTCAGAAACCTATAGCAGTGTTCTGGAATCCTTTGTGATGGACAAACAAACAGAGCCCAGCAGCCGTGTACTGGAATCCTATTTGACAGACAAACACTCAGAACTCAGAAGCAGTGTTCTGGAATCGTATGTGAGGGACAAACACTTTGAATCTAGCAGTTATGTACTGGAATCCCATGTGAGGGACAAACACTCAGAACCCATCAGCAGTGTTCTGGAATCCTATGTGAGTGACAAACACTAAGAAACCAGCAGCAGTGTTCTAGAATCCTTTGTGAGGGACAAACATTCAGACCATCGAAGCAGTGTTCTGGAATCCTGTGTGAGGGACAAACACTCAGATCCAGCAACAGTCTTCTAAAATCCTTTGTGATGGACAAAAATTCAGACTGTCGTAGCCGTTTTCTGGAATCCAAGGTGAGGGACAAACACTCAGAACCCAGCAGCAGTGTTCTGGAATCCTATGTGAGGGACAAACACTCAGATCCAGCAGCAGTGTTCTGGAATACTCTGTGAGGGAAAAACATTCAGACACTCTTAGCAATGTTCTGGAATCCTATGTGAGGGAAAAACATTCAGATACTCATAGCATTGTTCTGGAATTCTATATGAGGGGCAAACACTCAGAACCCAGCAAAAGTGTTCTGGAGTCCTTTGTGAGGGAAAAACATTCAGACCCTCGAAGCAGTGTTCTGGAATCCTATGTGAGGGACAAACAATCAGAACCCAGAAGCAGTTTTCTGGAATCCTATGTGAGGGAGAAACACTTAGAACCCAGCAGCAGTGTTCTGGAATCCCGTGTGAGTGTCAAACATTCAGAACCCAGCAGCATTGTTCTGGAATCCTATTTGAGTGACAAACATTCAGAACTTCGTACCTGTGTTCTGGAATGCTATGTGAGGGACAAACACTCAGAACCGAGCAGCAGTGCTCTGGAATCCTATGTGAGGGTCAAACACTAAGAACCCAGCAGCAGTGTTCTGGAATCCTTTGTGAGGGACAAACATTCAGAACCTTGTAGCAGTGTTCTGGAATTTTATGTGAGGGAAAACACTCTGAACCCAGCAGGAGTGTTTTCAAATCCCATGTGAGGGACAAACACACAGAACCCTGCAGCAGTGCTCTGGAATACTTTGTGAGGGACAAACATTGAGACTCTCAAAGCAGTTTTCTGGAATCCATTGTGAGGGACAGTCAGAACCCATAGCAGTGTTATGAATCCTTTGTGACGGACAAACATTCAGACCATTGTAGCAGTGTTCTGGAATCCTATGTGAGGGAAAAACATTCAGACCGTCGTAGCATTGTTCTGGAATTCTATATATGGGACAAACACTCAGAACTCAGCAGCAGTGCTCTGGAACCCTATGTGAGGGGAAAACACTCAGAACCCAGCAGGATTGTTCTGGAATGCTATGTGTGGGACAAACACTCAGAACCCAGCAGCAGAGTTCTGGAATCCTATGTGAGGGACAAACACTCAGAACACAGCAGCTGTGTTCTGGAATCCTTTGTGACGGACAAAGTTTCAGAACCTCACAGCAGTGTTCTGGAATCCTATGTGAGGGACAAACACTTAGAACCCAGCAGCAGTGTTCTAGAATCCTTTGAGAGGGAAAAACATTCAGACTCTTGAAGCAGTGTTCTGGAATCCTATGTGATGGACAAACACTCAGAACCCAGGAGCAATATTCCGGAGTCCTTTGTGATGGACAAGCATTCCGACCCTCGTAGCAGTGTTCTGCAATCCTATGTGAGGGACAAACACTCAGAAGCCAGCAGCTGTGTTCTGGAATCCCATGTGAGGGATAAACTCTCAGAACCCAGCAGCAGTGTTCTGTAATCCTATATGAGTGAGAAACACTCAGAACCCTGCAGCAGTTTTGTAGATTCCACTGTGAGATACAAACATTCAGACCCTCGTAGAAGTGTTCTGGAATCCTATGTGAGGGAAAAACTCTCAGAAACCTGCAGCAGTGCACTGGAGTCCCTTGTGAGGGACAAACAAACACAACTGAGCAGCAGTGTTCTGGAATCCTTTGAGAGGCAAAAATATTCAGACCCTCATAGCAGTGTTCTGGAATCCTACGTGAGGGACAAACACTCAGAACCCAGCAGCAGTATTCTGGAATCCTATGTGGGGGGCAAACACAACCCAGCCACAGTGTTCTGGAATCCTCTGTGAGCGACAAACGTTCAGAAATTTGTAGCAGTGTTCTGAAATTCTATATGAGGGACAAACACTCAGAACCCAGCCACTGTGTTCTGGAATCCTATGTGAGGGACAATCATACAGACCCTCGTAGATGTGTTCTGTAATCTTATCTGAGGGACAAACATTCAGACCTTAGTATCAGTGTTCTGGAATCCTATGTGAGGGACAAACGCTCATAACCCAGCAGCACTGTTCTGGAATCCTATGTGAGGGACAAACACTCAGAACCCAGCAGCAGTACTCTGGAATAATTTGTGAGGGACAAACATTCAGACAATCGTAGCAGTGTTCTGGAATCCTATGTGAGGGACAAACACTCAGAATGCAGCAGCAGTGTTCTGGAATCCTATGTGAGGGACAAACACTTAGAACCCAGCAGCACTGTTCTGGAATCCTATGTGAGGGACAAACACTCGGAAAGCCACAGCAGTGTTCTGGAATCCTATGTGAGGGTCAAACACTCAGAAACCTGCAGCAGTGCTCTGGATCCCTTTGTGAGGGACAAACAAACAGAACCCAGCAACAGAGTTCTGGAATCCTATGTGAGGGACAAACACTCAGAACCCAGCAGCAACATTCTGGAAACCTTTGTGAGGGACAAACATTCAGATCCTCATAGCAGTGTTCTGGAATCCTATGTGAGAGACAAACACTAAGAAAGCTGCAGCAGTGTTCTAGAATCCTATGTGAGGGACAAACACTCAGAGCCCAGCAGCAGTGTTCTGGAATCCTATGTGAGGGACAAACACTCAGAACCCAGCAGCAGTGTTCTGGAATCCTTTGTGAGGGACAAACATTCAGAACCTCGTAGCAGTGTTCTGGAATCATATGTGAGGGATAACACTCTGAACCCAGCAGGACTGTTTTCGAATCCCATGTGAGGGACAATCACTTAGGACCCTGCAGCAGTGTTCTGGAATCCTATGTTAGTGACAAACTCTCAGAACCAGAAGCAGAGGGAAAAGAAACTACCAAGGGTAGCCAAGATGACCAAATAGGAACAGCTCCGGTCTACAGCTCCAAGCATCAGCAACGCAGAAGATGGGTGATTTCTGCATTTCCATCTCAGGTACCAGGTTCATCTCACTAGGGAGTGCCAGACAGAGGATGCAGGACAGTGGGTGCAGTGCACAGTGCGTGAGCTGAACCAGGGTGAGGCATTGCCTCACTCGGGAAGCACAAGAGGTCAGGGAGTTCCCTTTCCTAGTCAAAGAAAGGGGTGAGAGACGGCACCTGGAAAATCGGGTCACTCCCACCCTAATACTGCACTTTTCCAAGGGTCCTAACAAATGGTGCACCAGGAGATTATATCCCGCACATGGCTCAGAGGGTGCTACGCCCATGGAGTCTCACTGATTGCTAGCACAGCAGTCTGAGATCAAACTGCAAGGTGGCAGAGAGGCTTGGAGAGGGTCGCTTGCCATTGCCCAGGCTTGCATAAGTAAACAAAGCAGCCAGGAACTCGAACTGGGTGGAGCCCACCACAGCTCAAGGAGGCCTGCCTGCCTCTTTAGGCTCCACCTCTGGGGGCAGGGCACAGACAAACAAAAAGACAGCAGTAACCTCTGCAGACTTAAATGTCCCTGTCTGACAGTTTTGAAGAGAGCAGTGGTTCTTCCAGCACGCAGCTGGAGACCTGAGAATGGGCAGACTGCCTCCTCAAGTGGGTCCCTGACCCCTGACCCCCAAGCAGCCTAACTGGGAGGCAATCCCCAGTACGGGCAGAATGACACCTCACACGGCTGGGTACTCCTCTGAGACAAAACTTCCAGAGGAATGATCAGACAGCAACATTTGCGGTTCATGAAAATCTGCTGTTCTGCAGCCACTGCTGCTGATACCCAGGCAAACAGGGTCTGCAGTGGACGTCTAGCAAACTCCAACAGACCTGCAGCTGAGGTTCCTGTCTGTTAGAAGGAAAACTTACAAAGAGAAAGGACATCCACACCAAAAACCCATCTGTACATCACCATCATCAAAGACCAAAACTAGATACAACCACAAAGATGGGGAAAAAACAGAGCAGAAAACCTGGAAATTCTAAAAAGTAGAGCACCTCTCCTCCTAAAAAGGAACACAGTTCCTCACCAGCAATGGAAAAAAGCTGGGCAGAGAATGACTTTGATGAGTTGAGAGAAAAAGGCTTCAGACGATCAAACTGCTCCAAGCTACAGGAGGAAATTCAAACCAAAGGCAAAGAAGTTAAAAACTTTGAAAAAAATTTAGAAGAATGTATATCTAGAATAACCAATAAAGAGAAGTACTGAAAGGAGCTGATGGAGCTGAAAGCCAAGGCTCGAGAACTACATGAAGAATGTGGAAGCCTCAGGAGCCAATGCGATCAACTGGAAGAAAGGGTATAAGTGATGGAAGAAGAAATGAATGAAATGAAGTGAGAAGGGAAGTTTAGAGAAAAAATAATAAAATGAAATGAACAAACCTCCAAGAAATATGGGACTATGTGAAAAGACCAACTCTCCATCTGATGGGTGTACCTGAAAGTGATGGGGAGAATGGAACCAAGTTGGAAAACACTCTGCAGGATATTATCCAGGAGAACTTCCCCAATCTAGCAAGGCAGGCCAACATTCAGATTCAGGAAATACAGACAACACCACAAAGATACTCCTCGAGAAGAGCAACTCCAAGACACATAATTGTCAGATTCACCAAAGTTGAAAGGAAGGAAAAAATGTTAAGGGCAGCCAGAGAGAAAGGTCGGATTACCCACAAAGGGAAGACCATCAGACTAACAGCAGATCTCTTGGCAGAAACTCTAGAAGCCAGAAGAGAGTGGGGGCCAATATTCAACATTCTTAAAGAAAAGAATTTTCAGCCCAGAATTTCATATCCAGCCAAACTAAGCTTCATAAGTGAAGGAGAAATAAAATCCTTTACAGACAAGCAAATGCTGAGAGATTTTGTCACCACCAGGCCTGCCCTAAAAGAGCTCCTGAAGGAAGTACTAAACATGGAAAGGAACAACCGGTATCAGCCTCTGCAAAATCATGCCAAAATGTAAAGATCATCGAGACTAGGAAGAAACTGCATCAACTAACGAGCAAAATAACCAGCTAGCATCATAATGACAGGATCAAATTCACACATAACAATATTAACTTTAAGCGTAAATGGACTGAATGCTCCAATTAAAAGACACAGACTGGCAAATTGGATAAAGAGTCATGACTTATCAATGTGCTGTATTCAGGAACCCATCTCATGTGCAGAGACACACATAGGCTCAAAATAGAAGGATGGAAGAAGATCTACTAAGCAAATGGAAAACAAAAAAAGACAGGGGTTGCAATCCTAGTCTCTGATAAAACACACTTTAAACCAACAAAGATCTAAAGAGACAAAGAAGGCCACTACATAATGGTAAAGGGACCAATTCAACAAGAAGAGCTAACTATCTTAAATATATATGCACCCAATATAGGAGCACCCAGATTCATAAAGCAAGTCCTGAGTGACCTACAAAGAGACTTAGACTCCCACACAATAATAATGAGAGATTTTAACAACCCACTGTCAACATTAGACAGATAAATGAAACAGAAAGTTAACAAGGGTACACAGGAATTGAACTCAGCTCTGCACTAAGCGGATCTAATAGACATCTACAGAACTCTCCACCCCAAATCCAACAGAATATACATTCTTCTCAGCACCACAACACACCTATTCCAAAATTGACCACATACTTGGAAGTAAATCTCTACTCAGCAAATGTAAAAGAAAAGAAATCATAACAAACTGTCTCTCAGACCACAGTGCAATCAAACTAGAATCCAGGATTAACAAACTCACTCAAGACCGCTCAACTACATGGAAAACGAACAACCTGCTCCGGAATGACTACTGGGTACATAACGAAATGAAGGCAGAAATAAAGATGTTCTTTGAAACCAACGAGAACAAAGACACAACATACCAGAATCTCTGGGACACATTCAAAGCAGTGTTTAGAGGGAAATTTATAGCACTAAATGCCAACAAGAGAAAGCAGGAAAGATCCAAAATTGACACCCTAACATGACAATTAAAGGAACTAGAAAAGCAAGAGCAAACACATTCAAAAGCTAGCAGAAGGCAAGAAATAACTAAAATCGAGCAGAATTGAAGGAAATACAGGAGCTGGTTTTTTGAAAAGATCAACAAAATTGATAGATCACTAGCAAGACTAATAAAGAAGATAAGAGAGAAGAATCAAATAGACGCAATAAAAAATGATAAAGGGGTTATCAGCACTGATCCCACAGAAATACAATCTACCATCAGAGAATACTACAAACACCTCTACGCAAATAAACTAGAAAATCTAGAAGAAATGGATAAATTCCTCAACACATACACTGTCCCAAGGCTAAACCAGGAAGAAGTTGAATCTCTGAATAGACCAATAACAGGATCTGAAATTGTGGCAATAATCAATAGCTTACCAACAAAAAGAGTCCAGGACCAGATGGATTCA
Source organism: Homo sapiens (assembly GCF_000001405.40). NCBI lineage: Eukaryota > Metazoa > Chordata > Mammalia > Primates > Hominidae > Homo > Homo sapiens. The sequence goes on along the minus strand of NC_000009.12, from coordinate 64,801,878 downwards.
CAGCCGAATTCTACCAGAGGTACAAGGAGGAACTGGTACCATTCCTTCTGAAACTATTCCAATCAATAGAAAAAGAGGGAGTCCTCCCTAACTCATTTTATGAGGCCAGCATCATCCTGATACCAAAGCCGGGCAGAGACACAACCAAAAAAGAGAATTTTAGACCAATATCCTTGATGAACATTGATGCAAAAATCCTCAATAAAATACTGGCAAACCGAATCCAACAGCACATCAAAAAGCTTATCCACCATGATCAAGTGGGTTTCATCCCTGGGATGCAAGGCTGGTTCAATATACGCAAATCAATAAATGTAATCCAGCATATAAACAGAGCCAAAGACAAAAACCACATGATTATCTCAATAGATGCAGAAAAGGCCTTTGACAAAATTCAACAACCCTTCATGCTAAAAACTCTCAATAAATTAGGTATTGATGGGATGTATTTCAAAATAATAAGAGCTATCTATGACAAACCCACAGCCAATATCATACTGAATGGGCAAAAACTGGAAGCATTCCCTTTGAAAACTGGCACAAGACAGGGTTGCCCTCTCTCACCACTCCTATTCCACATAGTGTTGGAAGTTCTGGCCAGGGCAATCAGGCAGGAGAAGGAAACAAAGGGTATTCAATTAGGAAAAGAGGAAGTCAAATTGTCCCTGTTTGCAGATGACTTGATTGTATATCTAGAAAACCCCATTGTCTCAGCCCAAAATCTCCTTAAGCTGATGAGCAACTTCAGCAGTCTCAGGATAAAAAATCAATTTACAAACATCACAAGCATTCTTATACACCAACAACAAATAGAGTGCCAAATCATGAGCGAACTCCCATTCACAATTGCTTCAAAGAGAGAAAAATACCTAGGAATCCAACTTACAAGGGACGTGAAATACCTCTTCATTGAGAACAACAAACCACTGCTCAATGAAATAAAAGAGGATACAAACAAATGGAAGAACATTCCATGCTCATGGGTTGGAAGAATCAATATCATGAAAATGGCCATACTGCCCAAGGTAATTTATAGATTCAGTGCCATCCCCATCAAGCTACCAATGACTTTCTTCACAGAATTGAAAAAAACAACTTTAAAGTTCATATGGAACCAAAAAACAGCCTGCATCGCCAAGTCAATCCTAAGCCAAAAGAACAAAGCTGGAGGCATCACGCTACCTGACTTCAAACTATACTACAAGGCTACAGTAATCAAAACAACATGGTACTGGTACCAAAATGGAGACATAGATCAATGGAACCGAACAGAGCCCTCAGAAATAATGCCACATAACTACAACTATCTGATCTTTGACAAACCTGAGAAAAACAAGCAATGAGGAAAGATTCCCTATTTAATAAATGGTGCTGGGAAAACTGGCTAGCCATATGTAGAAAGCTGAAACTGGATCCCTTCCTTACACCTTATACAAAAATTAATTCAAGATGGATGAAATACTTACATGTTAGACCTAAAACCATAAAAACCCTAGAAGAAAACCTAGGCAATACTACTCAGGACATAGGCATGGGAAAGTACTTCATGTCTAAAACACCAAAAGCAATGGCAACAAAAGCCAAAATTGACAAATGGGATCTAATTAAACTAAAGAGCTTCTGCACAGCAAAAGAAACTACCACCAGAGTGAACAGGCAACCTACAAAATGGGAGAAAATTTTTGCAACCTACTCATCTGACAAAGGGCTAATATCCAGAATCTACAATGAACTCAAACAAATTTACAAGAAAAAAACAAACAATCCCATGAAAAAGTGGGTGAAAGACAGGAACAGACACTTCTCAAAAGAAGACATTTATGCAGCCAAAAAACACATGAAAAAATACTCATCATCACTGGCCATCAGAGAAATGCAAATCAAAACCACAATGAGATACCATCTCACACCAGTTAGAAAGTCGATTATTAAAAAGTCAGGAAACAACAGGTGCTGGAGAGGATGTGGAGAAACAGGAACACTTTTACACTGTTGGTGGGACTGTAAACTAGTTCAACCATTGTGGAAGTCAGTGTGGCGATTCCTCAGGGATCTAGAACTAGAAATACCATTTGACCCAGCCATCCCATTACTGGGTATATACCCAAAAGACTATAAATCATGCTGCTATAAAGACACATGCACAAGTATGTTTATTGCGGCAGTATTCACAATAGCAAAGACTTGGAACCAACCCAAATGTCCAACAACGATAGACTGGATTAAGAAAATGTGGCACATATAAACCATGGAATACTATGCAGCCATAAAAAATGATGAGTTCATGTCCTTTGTAGGGACATGGATGAAACTGGAAATCATCATTCTCAGTAAACTATCACAAGGACAAAAAAGCAAACACCGCATATTCTCACTCATAGTTGGGAATTGAACAATGAGAACACATGGACACAGGAAGGGGAACATCACACTTCGGGGACTGTTGTGTGGTGGGGGGAGGGGGAGGGATAACATTAGGAGATATTCCTAATGCTAAATGACGAGTTAATGGGTGCAGCACACCAACATGGCACATGAATACTTACGTTACAAACCTGCACATTATGCACATGTATCCTAAAACTTTAAGTATAATAATAAAATAAAATAAAATAAAAAAGCAAAATATACACTAATACAGATTAACCAACTAAAAAAAAGTAGAGAAAGGTCATTTAAAAAATATAAAGCATACAGTAATAATCTAACACGTTGAAATCTAAGAAGGAGAAAACAGCTGGTCTGAACAGCATTTTAAGTGGCAATGTTAGAGGTTTTATCAAAATTGACCAATAATATTAAACCACAGGTTCAGGAGGCTTTGCAAACCAAAAGAAAACACACACAGAGGACACACCTAGAAACATAATGGGACAATTTCTGAAAAGTAAAAGAAAAATGTCAAGAGCACTTGATAAAAAAATTGGGCTAACTATAAACAGAAAGAGTTGACTGATAACAACCGTGTCAAATGAAACAATGAAAGCCAACAAGTGAGGTATTGATACCTTTCAAGTCCTGAAATAAAATAAGTGCTGACCTAGAACTGTCTACTTGGTGGACATGTCCATCAAAAACAAAGATACAATAAAGAATTTCTCCCAAGCAGACCCACAGGAAAGGAAATAGTAAAGATTATTCTTCAGGTAGAAGAGCCATGATCCCTGATGAAAGTTTGCAGTTAGAAGAACGCTTTTTTTTTAATGAAAGAAGTAAACACAGAGAGAAATTTAATTGGATATCGACGGTATAACAGAATGCTATCTCATAAAGTTTAAAATGTATCTTCCATACAACAGCAGAAGCATATAAGTTGTGAGTTGGATAAATTAATTTAAAAATATTGTCAAGTTTTTTTGCAAATAGATAAACGTACCAATTATATTAGACCCTGAATTCGAGAATGCACGTTATAATAAACCAGTTAAAACATACTCAGACCAGATTTTTCAATGGACTCTCTTAAAGTTTTTATAATTTATATTTATATTTCACATATGTTGAAACTAAATAATGGAAAAGCATGCAATGCAAATATTAACCAAAATATAGCTTTAGTTGTACTTATATTCACATTTTAAAAGTTGGACACAGTTAAGTCTCAGTGATTTTTTTACACAACGGAAGCAAGCTGTGCAGTTATAACTAACTAGTATTATATTATGCTCTTGGCCTGATTACAGAAGGGAAAGGGGCGATCATACCAGACAATGGCAGAATGAAGCAACAAGGAGTAGAGTTACAGAACATGATACTGTAACTGGGACTGGAGGTACTCTTTTAGAGTTAAAGAATAGTAAACTGGACAAAATATATGAAACTTTTTTTGAAGTACTGAACATCAGGCAGCACAGTACTGTGCTCCGCAAGAGAAGAGAAGGAGCCAGAATGAGTCCTGCTTTATTCCCAGGTTCTCCGTGACAGCAGTAGAGAGGAATCCCAGAGAGAGCAGACATTGTCATTGCACTGAGGAACCAGATAAAAATCAAAAAAGGTTAAGCAGCTGGAATGTGTAGTAGAAGAGAACGTTTACAGAAAAAGGAACCAATAATCAGCCTAAGGTTTCTCCCAAGTCCCTAAGTCAAAGGTACATAGGATGAAATTCTAAGGAGCTCAGCAAAAGACTCTACCACGGAGTTGGAAGAACACTTCCCTGGCATCACATGAAAGGAAGACATGTTAGCTCTGACCAGCCAGAGATGGGAATCCCCTCTGTACCTCCAGGATATTCAGTAAAGACCACTGGAGGTTCATGCCCCAGTGACAGTGCTCATTTAGCTCCAAATTACAGATGGCTCTAGACTAACTCCACAAAGTTTAAAGAGAAGATTTAAAACAACAACAGAAAAATACTCATCCTGAAGTTACTGAACTGCCTGCCACAACATTGTTCAAAGGTAGCCAATAAAATCTAGATATTCAATAGCATAACATCAAAATACCCCCCCCCCAAAAAAACTCTGACATGCAAAGAAGCCGGAAGATATATATTATTAAGATATATATTAACAGGATAAAAATAAGTCGTTTATAAATGACAGAGAAGAAGGAATTTTCAAGGCCCTTAAAGTAAATATATTTTATAAATACATATAGATAAATACATATATATGTCAAAGTACTTAAATGAAAATTGATCATAGGAGAAAAATAGAAGTTATAAAATGAAAAATGTGACATGTATAGATGAAAAATAAACATTTGAAATAAAAATTCCATGAGATAGAATAAGTTATGGATTTTACCCTAACATCAGAAAATTTATAGAAAAAAATAGAAGCTTTCCAAACTAAAGGACAAAGGGTAAACTAAAATAAGAAAGCCAGAAACTCACTGATACGTGAGACAATATGCAGCAGTGTAACATACATGTAATTAATATCTCAAAAAGGATGGGTGGGGGAATTATAGTTGAATAAAGAATGGTACACTCATTCCTGAGGGCACCGAGGAGGGAGGATAGCTTGAGATTCCTAAGGGAGGGTATTATCCATTCATGAAAGTCCATCCCCATGACACAACACCTCCCAGTAAGCCCCACTTCCAACATTGGGGATCAAATTTTAACGTGAGATTTGGAAGGGGCAATCATTCAAACCATAGCAAGAGTTAAATTTCCTTTTAAAGAAAATCACTGATATGATTCCATTTCGCCATAGATAAAAACTAGTATTTCAGCCTACCATTGAGTGTACTTATAGCTAACGGAAAGGGCACTCTGTTTCGGGAATACAGATTTGCCTAGAGGTATCCTATTGCAGTCAAAGAAAGAGCAATGAGGGATAGAAAAGGTTAGTGATGGAGACACCAACGCTGCATTTTACAACAAACAATGTAAAAACTTTACGGATTGCTTCTTCTAACTTACTACAGTATACATTCCTCTCAGGTGGGAAAATTGTTGAGTTTTTTCTTAAGATAGAAAAGCAATTCAGACAATCTGAAATCTCCACAAGAAGGATAAGAAGCACAGCAGAAGCTATTCTAGGCAGGAAGTCAATCCATTCAACTGTCTGTGCTCCATAGAAACAATTGTCTGCACTGGGAGTCGTACGAGGTACAGACAACAGCCAGACCTCTGATCCTCTCATTAGTGATTTCAGAAGAAATTACCAGTCAGCTGAGTAATTCACTGAGTAAACATTTGGCACTGACAGAGGTTAGACGGATAACTATTTGTATCACCATATTCATGAAGCTGGAATATTTTCCATTACTTGTATCATATATGAATGGAAGATGTTAAAAGGCCTCTCATCTTGTAAGATGGATATGAAAGAACACTTTCTGAGAAATGAAATTATTCACACACCAGCGAGGTGGATGGAAGAGAAAAAAAAGAATAATCAGCTTGAGTTCTTCTCCTTGATAAGACAACTTACTAAAAACATAAAGAGAAAAATACAAGTTTAAAATAATTAACCAGAAGAAGACGACTCTAGAGTTTTTAAATTGCTGATAAGATTTTAATTTGCTCCAAGTTGAAAATAACTATATTGCTTGTGTTTTAAGGTACATAATGAGCAATTATATCACACATGATAGATTCAGCAGTAAAATATTATCTGTTAACAGCTGGAACTCATAAAAGCATAGCACAATGTGAAGATGGAATTTGCTAAAATAAACCATCTGCTGGAAAAATACTATTCTGCAAATTTAAAAATAAAGTTTAAATGTTATTTGTCTTATTTAATAGGTCTGTGAAAAAATGCGATATTTGAAAAGTAGGTGCTACCTTAATTAGTTCTTTATACTAGACAGCTGGTTACAGTAATGCACAGTAAGGTGCTACATACAAATATTGCTAAATTTTCTGCATATACTATGTATTTAGCTTAAATTATTTGAAATTTTACAGTTAAAGTAACAAATGTATATTTAAATGTTTTGACACAAATTGCAAATATACCTTTAAAAAGCGTCTTACACTCTAAATATTATTTTTCACATATATATATGTCTTTTCTCTATAGGAAAGTTTAAATTTTTCCCTTGAAGCTTTAATTATTTGAGTCTATAAAACAAACCAAAAATGTACAAATTAACAGGAAAAAAAGGTTTACAGATATGTGCACAAGTATGCACTTGGAGTTTACATAATATATATGAATATATCTATACACATATTTGTATATTATAAATAGATATACAAATATATACTATATATATAAAAACTCCAGGAAAGGCAAGGTAGTCAACACGCCTATGCCATCTTGAGGTTACAGAAAAACACAGAGCTGTAGGTTGGTAAATCAGGCTTTGTGGAAGACAGGTGATGACAAGGAAGAAAGAGGAGCCTGGTAGCAGAGGTGGTCTTGTTCCATGGATGAAACCTCACAGGGAGCAGCCCTCCTCTTGGGAAGTATAGATAGGAAATGGTTTTTAGAAATGTAAACGTGCCAGGCTCAGTTAATCTTTCCTAAACCCACACAAGGGAGTATCTCAGGAAAAGACTGTCTATATCAACGCAGATATTCTCTACAAATGCAAATCTCCCCAACAAACACAGCTTTTCAGCTATTCTTGTAGAAGAAGCTATCTCCAGTCTTCCGAGTAGCCATCTTGAAATATGTCAAAAAGCTGCCCAGGCGCACGCCTGTAATCCCAGCACTTTGGGAGGCTGAAGTGGGTAGATCACCTGAAGTCAGGAGTTGGAGACCAGCCTGACCAACGTGGTGAAACCCCGTCTCTACTAAATACAAAAAATTAGCCGAGTGTGGTGGTGCATGCCTGTAATCTCAGCTACTTGGGAGGCTGAGCTAGGAGAATAACTTGATCCTGGGAGGCTGAGGTTGCAGTGAGCCAAGATTGTGCCATTGCACTCTAGCCTGGGCAATAAAAGCAAAACTCCATCTCAAAAAACAATGTATTTTAGGGTAATATTTTCAGTATCTTTACCTCCATATGTACAATAAATATTATTGTGATTTTTAATCTTTTTTGTGGAGGAAACACAGGTGTGATTTCTAGTGTAACTGAACATCGTTTATTTGACAATATTGCACTTGTGTGTGGGTGTGTGCGTGTGTAGCTACTCTTTAATTTTGTTCTCACATAATGATTAGATATTAACAATTAATTCAGTAAAATGTATGTTTTGCAATATTTCTCCATGTTATCATGCTTTAAATTAGTTTAATCATGGCCCTATAATGTGTACATTTTAACCTTTGACTATAGGTCTCAATCTTACTTTGGTTCCTGTATTTGAATTTATGCTAATAAAGTCCTACAGCTAAAAAAGATTATATAAACTTATCTACATTTTTACTAGTATTCTGGTGTCATTTTAAATTATGTAATGAAATCAAATTTTAATTTGGATTATTGTTATCTGAGTTAAGGATGTAAATTTTTAATATTCTTATAAATATTACATAATTATTTCTGAACCATATATTGACTAATCTGCCCTTTATATGATGTGCATTATAAGAGCTTGGGATTGTTTCATTTGCAAAGATGAATGCTTGAGAAGTAGATATTTAATCATAACGTTTCAAAATCTATTGGATAACCTAGAATTGAAAAATAGCCTATAGGTTGAAAAACTCCTGTAGTGAAGGAAGAAAATAACTAATATACAGTGACAATATAAATATTATAAGTATTTATTTTATTATCGCCCTGAAATTTGATAATACAAACATGTAATATCTACATATCATCCATATATCATGTCATAAAAAAATCAATACATTCTTCAAAAATTTAGCATAACAGAAAATGAACTCTCTCTCCTTGATGGAATTAAGTTACAAATAAAAGTAAAAAATAAATAGATAAGTAGATGGAAGTAGATGTTTGAAAACAAAGAAAAATACTTGTTTTGGATAACATAAAATCTCAATTGACAATTCCAATATTTCCAGAACTTTCCCTGTCAACTGGTGGAGAGTTTTCCCCAGGAGACATTTGTCAATGTCTAGTGTTATTGTGGGGATGTCAAGACTGGTGGAGGTGTGAAATTTAGAGGTCAAACGAAACACCTAGCATTGCTAGGGCAGCCTCCCACAGCAAAGAATCCTCTGGTCCTAAAGGTAAGTAGCACCAAGGTTGAGAAACCATAATCTAGACAGTAAACACTACGTAGCTATTCCAAGTGCTCAGGAAAACACATCAGTGCCCTTGGGGGGAAAAGTGTGAACATTTTAATTGCCGTACATGGTGACACAAATCCATGTTGTTAATCTAAGTGGAAGGGGCTGAAGCACAAAATGTAATTCAAAGAGTTTACTTGAGCCAAAATGAGGACAGCTGCCTGGAAGAAACAGACCCAAGTATCCTTGGATATGAACTCCCTTTGGAGCTTTGCAACAAGCAGTTTCTTAAAGGCAAAAAAGCGTCCAGAAGTGGGATGATGCAAATAGGTTTGTCACAAATTCTCATTGGCTTATGGAAATAGCATTTATTAGTGACTGGCTATACACTGTTACACTATTATTGGGTGTGGATTATACTATCTGGTGTGGCGTTATTGGTTAATTAATAGCTACTGTGGCAACAGCAAGCAGCCTAGATGAACACACAGCTCAAAGAGGAGCAGGACAGAACTGCTGTCTCATTTGAATATCTCTCTGGGCCTGATTATTTAAAAGGACTTGCATTTCTCACATGAAAGTTATTTTCTTTTCTCAATGTCCATAAATGAGAATAAATAGACGTAAAAGAGATCTTTTCGAGGATGAAGTAAATGGAATGAAAAACAAAACCCAAGCTGAACAGAAATCATAGAGGGAAGAAAAGGTTATAAATATATGGATTTGTCAGAGTGATTTTAAGCTATTAGGAATCAGTTAAATGTTTTGGGATTTTGTCTGAGAATGGGCTAAAGGAGAATGTCCCTTTTGCCTTCTGAAGTTTCCCTGAAAATCACTAATAGGAGGCAGATAAATAGTAGAAAAGGCATAAAGGTTTCTGCAATGTGTGTACACTGGAGCCCTTAGAACGAAGACCCAGACACACGATGCGTGCAGAAGCTTATCTACCACATGAAGTTTACAGAAAGAATGGGGTCTTGGATCACAGGAAAAAAAAAAAGGTTATGTGAGAAAACGACCCTGGCTAGCAACAGTGGACTTATTACATAGGTGAAACCTCACTGGGAGCAGTCCTCAGAGAGAATAGACAGAAAATGTTTCTTTCAGACCTTTGGAGACCTCAGATGCTCAGTTAACCTTTCCTAGATCCAGACAAGGGGGCAGACCTCAGAGAAAGCCTGGCTGCATCAAGGCAGATTCTCTACCGATGCAAATCTCCCCAAGACAGCTTTGCAGCTAAGTTTGCATTCCCAGCCCTTCTCAATAGCCATTTTGAAATATATCAAGGAAATATATTTAGGGGTAAAATATATTAGTTTCCTTCATACAGCTATGAAACATACAGGAACAATTTTTGTCAATGTCTACTACAAATCCAATGTAGCAGTAATTATAAAACCCACCAGATATTGAAGAAAAAATATGTAGAGTACATCAATTACAAATGTTGATACTAAAATGCCAAATAAAATAAAAATAATATCCAACAATGTTTGAAACAGTAAGACAAGAAATTGGCAAAAAAAATAAAACAAATATCCACCTTGGGGATGAAAGTGTGTTTCCAAATTTGGTAATCCAATAATATTAATAATAATATTGATTAGCCCAAATTAAAAATAAATAGGGGATTCTCAGTACATGCTAAAATATATTTGTTAAAAGGCAATATTCATGTCTGTAAAGATTTTAAATGCTGTAAAGAGTCTGATATTCTATATGCAAACATGTGTATGTCCATTAGAAGAGAGGCCTGATTTTCATATGTTACTACATAGAGATAGAGAAGTGGATAGATTAATTTGCATATGCATAGAGAAAGCATAAAATAGAAATTTACTGTCATATTAAAGGAATTTTAATTCAACAATAAAATAATTCAAAGGTAAAATTTTAAATATTTTTAACAGGTACATTATTAATATTAGATAATATTTATGATAATTGTGAAAATATTCAATGCTAAAATAAGATACAATGTCTAAACATCAGTATTAAAACTAGTATAAATATTTGCTTGTTTATACAAGGAAAATTCAAGCTCGACCTAAAATTATATAGGAAATAAAAGAAAAATTTTAAGGGAGCTCTTTAATAACATAAACATATATATATACACACACACATATATAGCATGTATATATGTTATATGGGATAGATATAGATTTAACATGTTATATCTATATTTGTATCTATAACTACAGCTGTATGTATCTACATTTCTATATATTTACTCAGTGATATAAATATAGACTGGAATAAATATAAAGACACATATTATTCTTGGATAAAAAGGATTTAGTATCATAAAGACAAATTATTTCCAAATTCACTTATGAATTCACAACAATATACAGTTTCATTAGTATAATTTAAAATTTTTAAATAAATTCCAAGATTCATTTAAAGGAATATACATGTATACAAGCAGTCAAGAAAGAAGCAAGAGTGCACTAAAGTAACTTGCTATTGAAATACATTTTTAAACTTAGTAACTAAAACTGAGCAGTACTGATTTGGAGTACTGGAATTTAGGTATATGGGATCTCAAAAGCACAGAGCTCAAAGGAGACCCCTGTATGCACGAGAGCTTAGGATGTGCTTTGGAAGGCATTACCAAACCACGGGCAAAGTTACTTTAGTTTCTTAGTCTTACTAGGTTTGAAAAGCCAGAGAAAAGACTCAAGACCACCATATAAGAGCAAAACAAAAGGACAGGGAGAGAATGTGAAGATACTGAAACTTTTACATAAAGTTGTATAAAATATCCTTTAAAGAAAATGTAAAGTTTAGGATATACATCAAAATCAGCAGAGCCACTAAATAAATAAATAGGCATTGTAAAATAGCAAGAGAAAATTTAAATGGATTTCTAAAAAATATTGACACCTATGATTTTTAAAATATGTTTAAGATATCCCGTATTTCACAGGGCAGCCTTTCACAACACAGATATGTTAGGACATAAAGGTTCTTCTGTTTTTAATTTACTAGTGTTTATAGGGTTACAAATGTCTTCTACCCTTGTCTTTTGTCTGATGGTGCAAAAAATTTTCATAAGCATGTATTTCTGAATGCCTGATGGATTGACATATATAATATGCTGCTAGTATTAAAATATGTGACGGAAAACGCATCCAATCTTCTCACTGTTTACATAAATTCTAGGTTTCTCCTATTTACCTCAAGCACGTATGGAGCGAATTCTTACCTTTTAATATTGCCATGGCATTCACATTGAACATAAGTTGAACTCTCTCATATGGTAGCTGGGTTCAGATTCCCTTGACAATTTCCAATTCTAACCCTCACAGTTCCTCAGTGTGGCTGGCCTAGATATTGACCCTACACAGTTGCCTCCTCCTGGTGACTACCAGCTATGGAACCGTTGGATACAACCTACCTGACTCACCCCACAGACCTCACAGCACACATGGACAGACCCCACACGCCAGAGTGACCTGCTCGGTTGCAGCGGGAGTCAAGAAATGTGCCTGCTGGCACTCACCCCACAGACTAGTGCCCCGTGGAAAACTTATTTGGGTAATGTTCTGGGCCGAATAAAGGCTGGAGTCCCACAGACCCCTTTTCTCTCTCCTGCTCCCCACTCATCTTCCCCATTTTGTTCAGCCCTATGAGGTGTGCTACTGTATTAGTCCGTTTTCACACTGCTGGTAAAGACATGCCCAAGACTGTGTAATTTCCAGAAGACAGAGTTTTAATAGACGCACAGTTCCACATGGCTGGGTAGGCCTCACAATCATGGTGCAAGGTGAAAGGCAAGTCTCACATGGCAGCAGACAAGACAAGAGAGCTTGTGCAGGGAAACTCCCCTTTATAAAACCATCAGATCTTGTGAGACTTATTCACTATCAGAAGAACAGCATGGGAAAGACCTGCCCCCATGATTCAATTACCTCCCACCTGTTCCCTCCCACAACATGTGGGAATTCAAGATGAGATTTGGCTGGGGACACAGCTAAACCCTCTTCTCAGCTACCCTCTTCTCTCTGGATCTGTGAGTAATAAACCTACTTCTGTGATTTCCCATGTTTGGTTCTGTGGCCTCCATGGGTCTGAGCTGACCTACACTGGAACCTAACTCTCCTCCTGGCCAGGGTCTCTGAGAGTGGCTCTTGTCAGAAATACACAGGACACAGGTCAGGCAACAGTCACCAGGCATCTCCTAGTCTCAACAGATGTTCTGTGAGAGGGAGGCCTGGTCGTGGGATGCACATCTGGCCACTGCTGGTGTAAGGAAGTGTCCTGTGAAAGGCACATGTTAAGCATCCACAACCCCCTGACCAGAACCCCAGAAAGGCAGGGCTCCAATTGACAGTCACTCTCCAGAGACAAACCTCAAGCCCTAACTGGAGGAAAAGAAAACAATGTAAAAAGTTGAATTTATCTTACTATTTCAATGATCCAGTAAAGACATTCTATGCCTGTACACCACATATTTTCTTCGATTGTGGATTTATTTTAGATAGAATTTTATGTCTGGCTTTCACTTTAGCCTGGTCCCTACCTCAAGCATAAGGTAAAGATTTTCCATGGGTTCTTCTCTGGTACTACTATCTGCCAGTGTGGGGTCATGTCCTAGTCTATCTTGAGGGAATCCCCCTGTTCATTATTGTCAGAGTGAGACTGTTAAGTCTTGATTTCCCTGGACAACTTCACTGCATAACTTTTAATATGATTTTTTAATATTCCCTTTACTGGACAATAAATTATATAGTTATCTGAGTAAGAGATATGGTCAGGAAGAGGCATTGCCTCATTCAGCTTTTCTCTTTGGTGAACTCGCATATGTTCTCCTCACCCGCCAGTCACCTCTAAACCGTATTGTTCCAAGACAACAAAGAGAACTCGAGTGTGTATCTTTCACCACTGGATTTGTGTTTGCTCCATAAAGCTTCATGCTTAATAGGGTTTCTGTTAGCATTTTCTCTGTTTATTTTCCCATAAAATATCACAGGCCTTTTTCATATGGAATTATGGGTGATTTCCTTCAATTTGCATCATATCAAGTTGAGGTTCATGTTGATGAAAAGTAAAACATACATTGAAAATATCAGTAATGATGTTTTCCCCTCCTTTTTAGCACACGTGCTTGTGATACAAGCACATTTTAATACAACTGTAGTCTCATGCTTTGATCATTCCTATGATGAAAATAACATTTTTAGATAAAATATCTGAGTTTTATGAGGCCTTTAGTATGTGATGTGATAGAATATCAGAAGACCATACTTTTTTCTAGTTTTCTGTGCAATTCTATCATTGTTTCATCTTTACTCCTACCAGAGTAATTTTCCAAAATAGATATCTTGTCATTCTTCCTCTTGTTATCAGTAAATAAGTGAAATGAAAAGCTAGATTATATAATTTATCTAGAACAAGAAAGTAGAATTGAATCTATATTCATTAATGAGACTAACCAGTCAATTACACAGATAAGCATTTTACATGTTGAAGATCATATGGAACCATTGTCAGAAATATTATTATTTATGTCTATATGGACATCACCTGTACATATTTACATAGAAATCAATGAGAGCTGATTTTTATTTTTATTATATATATTTTTTGAGATAGGGTCTTGGTTTTTTGCCCAGGCTGGAGTGCAGTGGTGCAATCACTGCTCACTGCAGCCTCAACCTCCCAAGCTCAAGCAATCCTTCCACCTTGGCCTCCCAAATAGCTAGGACAACAGGTGCACACCACCATGCCCACTTTTTATTTTTTTAACTTTTGATAGAGACTGGGTCTTGCTATGTTGCCCAGGTTGCTTTTGAACTCCTGGGCTCAAGGAATCCTCTCATTTCAGCCTCTTCAACTGCTGGTATTACAAGCATGAACCACCATATGGGCCGGAAGCTGATTTTTAAAATACTGAGATCATATACATGACAACACCTGAAAAATAGACAACACCAAGCTTTATGTTAAAAGGTGTGAGGGTATCAATATTGTTGTGGCTATTGGGGAGGAAAACATTAGTAAAACCAGTGAGTTAAAGCTGTTGCTTTAAACTTTGGCTTTAATTTAACAAATGTTCTATGGAGTGACAGTATGTATGTAACCATGCTATGCCCATTCACAGATGCAGTAGAGGGAAGAATTTCTCAAAGACAACTGTTCTAAGACTCAAATTAAACTGTACTGGGTTTGAAAAGAGAAATTCCAGGAATTACCAAATATTTTAGATATCAGATAAAAGAGAATGCCAGATATGCGATGATAATCAGCAATGGTTGTTCACACAATACATCAAATCAGTATTTGAATTAGCTTTTGAATTACAAGGACAAATGGACCAAGTCTAGACTCCTTAGTAGATAAATCTTATTAGGCTGAGATGTGTTTTCCCCTGTTTTTCCACAAGGAGATTACAAATTTGCAAACCTCAGCTGCTCTCATTTTATGCTCTCACCAAGCTAAAGCTGAAGTTCATCAATCAGTGTGTCTAAGTGTTCACTGGTTATATACCATTTTGTAGTTTCAGCTATCTTTCCAACTTCCTAAATCGTCACCTTCATTTGATCTTGTTTTTTTCCACTATCACTTCTTTATTGACCATATAAAGAATATAAGTGAGTTCTTATTTTGTTATTGTTCATTTTAGTCTAATTTCATCAAAATATCACAATCTTTTAATTTCATTTTAATTTCAAAGATTAAATGAAACCTACATAGAAATGTGTGTAAGATTTGCATTTGCATTATTTTGGCATCAATTTGCTATCCTCCCTCATGCACACAGAAATCATTTCCACGTATGTGATTTCAAACATCCAAGTGCAGTATTAAAAGCAGTTGTAAATTATGGTTCTCATTTTCATGATACAATTATAATATAAACTTCCTCTTGCTGCTGTAACCAATTACCACAAACTTCATATCTTACAATAAAGTGACCGTTAATCCTACAGTTCTGTAGTTCAGAAGACTTGAATGAAATTCACAGGGCTAACATCAAGTTTTGGGCAGGGCTGCAGTCTTTCTGAGGGCTATGTGGCAGACTCTATTACTTGATTTTTTTCAGCATCCAGAGGCCACCTTTATTCCTTGGAACATGACCTCATTCTTATATCCTATTTTTCTTTTTTTTTTTTTTTTGAGATAGAGTCTCCTTCTGTCACCCAGGCTGGAGTGCGGTGGCATGATCTCAGCTCACTGCAACCTCTGCCTCCCAGGTTCAAGTGATTCTTCTGCCTCAGCTTCATGAGTAGCTTGGACTACAGGCACTTGCCACCATGCCCAGTTAATTTTTTGTATTTTTAGTAGGGATGGGGTTTCACCATGTTACCCAGGATGGTCTCGATCTCCTGACCTCGTGATCCACCCACCCCAGCCTCCCAAAGTGCTGGGATTAGGCGTGAGCCACCGCGCTGGGTCCTCATTCTTGTATCTTAAAAGTCAGTGATGTTGAGTAATTTCTCATGCCACCACCTCCAAGGTTGCATTTCTTCTGTCTTCTTCTTTCACTTATAAGGAAGTTTGTGATTTCATTGATCCCACCCATTTAAGACAATCTCTCTATCATTTTTCCGCAACCTTAATTTCACTTGAAATCTAATTTCACACTGCCGTGCAACCTAACATATTTGTATGTTAGACTCTGGGAATTAGGACATGAAAATTTTTGGGAGGCCATTCTTTTGCCTGCAGCAGACATAATCTATTTACCTGCAGATTAAAGCGTTCTTTATTTTTCTGTCTCCCTCTCTTAATTTTTTAAAAATAATATGAATTGTAGTAAAGAGAAAGAAAAGAAAACAAAGAAAGAAAAAGAAGGAAGGAAATAAAGAAGAAAGAAAAGAAGGAGGAGATGAGGGAAGGAAGGGAGGGAGGGAGGAAGGGAGAAAGGCAGGAAGGGAGAAAAAAGAAAACATGAACACAAGAAAGAAAGAGGGAAGGAAAGAAAAGAAAGAAAGAAACAGAAAGAAAGAGAGAAAGAGAGAAAGAAAGAAAGGAGGAAGGGAGGAAGAAAAGGAGGAAGAGAGAATGGTAAAAGGGAGGAAGGCAAAGAAACAAAGAAAATAAAGAGGCGAAGGAAGGAAGGAAAAAGAGGAAAGGAAGGGAGGGAGGAAGGAAGAAAAGGAGGGCGGGAGGAAGGGAGAAAAAAGGAAAGAAAGCAAGAACGTGAGAAAGAAAGAAAGAATACGAGAAAAGAAGGAAGAAAAGGGAGGGAGAAAGGAAGGGAGGGAGGAGGGAAGGAAGAATAAGAGGAAAGAAAGAAAGAAGGAAAGAAGGAAGGAGAAAAAAGAAAAGAAAGAAAGGAAAAGAAAAAAGAAAAGAAAAGGAAGAGGAAAAGAAGAAAGGAAGGAAGAAGGCAAGGGAAGGGAAGAGAAGACAAAGGAAGATGGAAAGAAGGAAGACCGCAAACATTAGAAATTCTGTGTTTGTTAGAGAATATGCCATACTGTTTTTTTTTCACTTGAAAGGAAAGAGTAGCTGCCATTGAAGATTGGATGTCTTGTTGGTGATATTGTTGTTCTTATCTTCCACATGATTACTGAGTTTGTGCCTAGTCTTTCCATTACTAAGACAAAAGTGTTGAAGTCTGCAAATATAATTTTGGATTTTTCTAGTTCACCTTTGATTTCTTTCATGTTTTACCTCACGTATTTGGAGGCTCTGTTGTTAGCTGCGTATCCTAATTAGTAGGATGTTTACATCTTCTTGAGTATTGATTATTCTATTATCTATTATCTCTCATCTCTGATACTATTTCTTGTTCCGAACTCTGTTGTGTCTAATATCAATGTAGTCCTTCCACAGCCTTATTTTAGTGTTTCCATGATATGGCTTTCTCCATATCTTGATGATAACCTATTTATATCTCTATATATTTGGAGCAAGATATAAAATTTAGACTTGATTTTTTAAAGATTTTTCAAGATGGAATTCTTATTTCTTTTTGTTCTATTTGACATTCTCTGAGTTTCCTATATCTGAAGTTTGATTTTCTGTCACTTCTTTTAGAATATTTTTGGCAGTTATTTTGAAATATATTTCTTTTGCTCCATTATTTTTTCCTCTTTTCTTTTTGGGATTTCAATCATAACTAGAGTAGGCAATTTCATCTCAGTCTTATGCAGGTACATTTTCTCAGGGTCTCAGGAATGTAGCCTTCTCACACTTCTGTTCTTTTCCTGGCTGTGTTGGTGAGCTCAGTGATATTCCTCCTTCACCTTTAAGAGCAGTTTTGTTTTGTTTTTCCTGTTTTCATACTCCCAGCATCAGGAGTATTCTAAGTGTGGCAGTTTTTGTTGCCTTCCCCTACATATTAAGTGGAATATCTTGTTCTATTTGGACCCTTATAACAAAATAACATAAACTGGGTGACTCAAAAACAACAGATATTTCTTTTTTCACACTTCTTGAGGCTGTAAGATCTCAGGTCAAGATGCTCACAAATTCAGTGTTGATGAGAGCCCATTTCATGGATCATAGATGGTGCCTTCTTTCTATGTCCTCACACAGTGGAAGGCACAAAAGAACTCCATTGAGCTTCTTTTATAAAGGCACTAATCCCATTCATAAGGGCTCGGCCCCCAAGACCTGGTCACCTCCCAAGTGTTCTGCTCTCCCTGATCTGTGTCATATACAGACTCTCTTGGATTCCTTACCAATTGCTTGAGAGATCACAGTGGGTTTGTGGGGAAAAAGTTTTCAAGATGATGGATCTTTCCCAACTTCTGCAACTGTCAGCGGTCTCCCAATCTCACCAGCCCCACTTTGTCTTTAGGAATTTATTGATTATTCCAGCTTTACTTGTCATAGTGGTGTCTATTTGCATCTGTCCTCTGTAAGTGCATCTGTCCTCTTTCTCCTTGCAGGTGCTTGTTTTCCCTCACATTTTGACTCAGTTCTTGGCAACCTCGTTGCTATAAAAATAAAGTCATGACTTTGAAGTTAGTTTGGTTCTTTCATTGTTGTCAGGTTAGGAACCCTATTCCATCCCAGATCTCAAAAACCCAGACTTTTTGGGGGGTTGAAATGTTAGGTTTTCTCTTTGAATTGTAGTTTTATCTTCTTTCAGTTACCATTTGCATTTTCATAATGATTAATGAGACTAAGCTTTTTTGGTGTAGTTGACTGTACCTTTGGATTTTTTTTCCCAAATACCTTTTTATTTCTTATTTTCTTTATGGTTTTAGAAAATGTAGTTTACATAATTGCAGCTTGATTTTTTACTCAGTTAATGGCATGCTTAATGGAGAGAAAAAATATTAAATATATTTCCCTTTTTAATTACTGTGCTTTTTTCTTTTTTAAGGAAATGTTTCATTATGTTAAATTTCAGTGTTATTCTACTTAGCTATTCCTTAAATATTATAGTATTTTGGATTTCACATGTACATTTGTAACATATCTTGAGTTTATTATGTATAGAGTAAGGCTATTTTCTAAGGTAAAAATCACATAATATAAAATTAATAACAACCATTTTAAAGCATACAATGCACTTGCTTTTAGTATATTCACAATGTTCCAGGGCAATTTCATCATGTCCCTTCTAAAAACTCATTATGCATAAAGTTGTTACACCCTATTCTGCTTCCCTGAGCCCTAACGACCACTAATCTAATTTATATCCCAATTGATTTGCCAATTCCTGATGTTTCATGTGAATAAAATCAAGTAATATTTGTCCTTTTGTGCACTTAACATAATGCTTTCAAATTTCACCCATATTATAACATATATAAGTACTTCATTCTTTGTTATAGCTGAAAATTGGGTGTCCATTTATGAGTCAACAAGCGTATGGATTGTTCCCACTTTTTGACTGTATGAATATTACTGTTGTAAATATTCATGCACATGTTTATTTTTTGAGCACCTATGTTTTGTAAGATTAACAGCTGACTTAAGAGAAACAATGGAAGGCAAGAGGCAGTAGAATAATATATTCAAAAGATGCAAAGGAAAAAAAAAACTCTCGGCCACGAATTCCTTATCCAGCAATTATTTTTCAAAAATGAAGATAACACAAAGACTTACCCAGATAAACAGAAATATTAACTGAAGTTGTTGCTGGCAGACCTACCACATTAAAAAAAACTCTAAAATAAATTCCTAAGGCTAAAAGCAAGTTACAGAAGACAGTCACTTGAATCCACATTTTTAAAAAAGCACTGGTATAGGTAATATTGACATTATAAAAGACAGTAAAAATGCATTTTTTCTCTTTATCATAAATTGTTTATTAAATAACATGTGTATAATGGCCGGGCACGATGGCTCACACCTGTAATCTGAGCACTTTGGGAGGCCAAGGTGGGCAGATCACCTGAGGTTGGGAGTTCGAGACCAGCCTGGCTAACACAGTGAAACCCTGTTTCTACTAAAAATACAAAAAATGAGCCGGGCGTGATGGCGGGCGCCTGTAGTCCCAGCTACTCAGGAGGCTGAAGCAGAAAAATGGCATGAAGCCGGGAAATGGAGCTTGCAGTGAGCGGAGATTGTGCCACTTCTCTCCAGCCTGGGTGACAGAGGGAGACTCCGTCTCAATGATGATAATAATAATATGTGCATAATGTATTGCTGAGTTTTTGACATGTAGAAATGTAATACGTCTATAACATATTTTCCAGTAACATCAAAAAGGAGGTAGTTGGAAGAAAAATGTATTGTGATAAGGTAATCACTCTAGATGGTAAAGTAATAATTACTAAAATGTATTGTTGGCTTTGTAACTTTAATAGATGTAATGTGTAAAGTGATAATACTTTAAAATGGAGGAAATAAAAGAGATTTATATAGGAATGATGTTTCTATGTATTACCAGAAGTTTACTAGTATAAATTGGAAGATGATTTGAATAATTAATTTTCCATATACCTATATGGTAAACTTACAACAACAACAAAAATTCTCAAAAATATATAATAAAATAATTCATTAGTAATCTAAAGTTCCCTATTTTAGAAAATATTCTTTCATTGCAAAATAAAGCAATAAAGAAAAATATTTGAGAAATATAAAAAACAAACGGTAAATAGATAAAATATATAAAACAGACATAAATAGAATTATACCAATTATAATCTTAAATGTGAGCAGATTAAAATCCATTCCAGAGGCAGAGATAGTCAGACTGGATTAAAACAAGTGATCCCAATATACGCTGAGATGCAAGGATACTAATGGATTGAAAGTAAAAAGATGACAAAAAATATCATGCAAAGAGCAATCATAAGAACACTGAACTCATTATACTCATAACACACAACATAGACTATTAAAAATGTGAATAGGATTTTAAAAATTTATATTGTAGTAAAAAGGGGGTCAACGCTTTAGGAAGACATAGCTATTACAATCATGTATGCACAGATATGAGCTAAATTGTTTCCTTTATATAGATGCTGAAATTCTAACCACTGAATATGACCTCATTAGAAAATAGGTTCTTTGCAGCTGATCAAGTTAAGATACAATCAGATGAGCCTGAATTCAATATGACTGATGTCCTTATTAAAAGAAGAAATTTGAGTAGAGGGAGACATACACACAGGGAGAGTACCATGTGATTATGAGGACAGAGATTAGCCAAGGAATGCCAAAGACTGCCACTAAACCATCAGAAGCGAGAAACAAGGCACAGAACAGGCTTTCTCTCATAGCCCTTGAAGGGATCATCCCTGCTGACCCCTCAATCTCAGACTTTTAGCTTCCAGGACTATAAGACTATAAATGTATTTTGTTCATGGCACCCAGTTTGTGTTACTTGGTTATGGCAGCCCTAGGAAACTAATACATGAACTAATAACAAAGCATAATAACATGAAGCAAAAATTGACAAAAGAGGAGCATCAGCAAAATGGCAGTGGAGACAGCTGCAATCTTTCATTTCCCCACAGAAACATCACACAACTAAGAGAAACTGTCCAAATAAACTTTGCCAAAACTCTGGAAAACAGTCAAAAGATTACAACAACCGAGTGAAAGCAGACTCAAGAAAAAGACAACTTGAAAACTTTATGACATTTTTAGCTTGCCTTTGCCCCAGCAAATTGGCAGTTTTGAAGTGTCAGAAGCCCACGTTCCCAGTGAGGAACACTGGTCCATGGTCCAAAGGAACAAGAGAAGATCTTACCCGCAAATTACTATGTGTCTGTTCTGACTGGTCTGGGGGATACCTAAAGGACTCATGAAAGGCTTTTGTTTTTCTGTGTTGCTAGAATACAGAACAGATAAGGAATGGACATTATCAAGGAACTCTGCAAGGAGACCTAACAAACCACAGATGCTTAGGGCAAAAATTAGAGTTTACACATATAGTAGATCACCTTCAGCACAGGAAGAAAAGTTGGAGAAGAGTATTTGGAAAACTAAGACATTCAAAATTATTCACGTACATGGGAGAGGCTAGAAAGTCACATGTATGCATAGGTTAAGCCACATGCTGACAAATGTCATAAGAAGACCCTACACTTTTACCTTGGCTGATCCCTCCCCTCAGTGCAAGCTCTGTGCAAGAGTGAACTTGAACTTCACTCAGTGCAAGAGTGAACACACACTTTGTGCCAGCTTTAAAGAACCCAGCACAAAGCCAGTCTGCATGGCCTAGAGGCATATTTTGCTGGACAATGATTACTTGTTTTTCTTTTTGTTTTTGTTGTATTTGCCTGTTTGCTTACTTCCTGACATACAAGAAAATCACTGTCAAAACATTAGCTTAACATTTGTTAAGGAAACAAAAAGACTTCGGTGACCACACCTTATAAAGCAAACAGTTTTGTAAATCACTTTGGAAAATTTCACTAAAAAAAAAATCCTTAACAATATAATAAGTAAAGAAAATTTAAAACCCCAAAACATTACTGTGTTTGTGGGGGAGGGTCTGATTTACAGAGTAACCACATAGTAATTATAATTATTATAATGCCCAGTTTTCAAAAAAAGTTACAAGGCATACAAAGAACGGGAAAGTATGGCTCATTCAAAGGAACAAAACAAACTGACAGAAAATATCTCTAAGGAAACCCAGACTTCAAACTTACTAGACAAAGACTTTAAAACAACTCTCTTAATTATACTCAAATGTCACAAGGAAAACATAAACAAAGAAATAAAGGATTCAGAAAAAATATTAAAAAGTAGGAATATCAACAGAGATAGCAGAAATTCTGGAGTGGAAAACTACAATGATAAAAATTTAAAAATCACCAGAGGGATTTAAGAGTATATTTGCACACACAGAGGAAGTCATGAGCTTGAAGATAAGAAAATGGAAAATATTGACTCTGAGAAACAGATAAAAAATGAGCAGAGACTAAGGAATCTGTGGGACATCATCAAATAGACCAACGTTCATATTCTAGAAGGATAAATTATGTTGTTGAAAACTTTAGCATTCTTTCTTTTCACCTTTCTTTCTTCCTCCCTCTTCCTCCTCCTCCTACTTTTCTTCCTCTTCCTTTCTCTTCTTCTTTCTCTCCATTATCCCTTTCGCTCTGTTTCTCTTTCTCCCTTTCTCTTTTTTCTTTTCTTTCAATTTTCTCCATTACTAAGAGATGTTTGAATACCCTTACCATGTGAGTTGATATGGTTATTTCTCCGTTTAATCCTCTTTTGAGATTTATAGTCTCTCTAAGTAAAGAGATAACCCAAACATAAGCCTCACAAACAGGCTTCCATACCATTCTTAATTTGGTCCTGTAATTCTTCATTGCTGTATTAACTTTCTGATGCTTTTAAGGATGTTTTACAACAAATTGTTTAGTTTTTTCCACTGGAATGTTTATTCTCAATTATCTAATTCATACTGTAAGTATAGAGGGAGTTTAATATAAAATTATTAAACTAATATTTGTGAAAGAACGTATTTGTGCATTTAACAAATATGTTAATCCTCAGACTGTTATTGGGCAGCTGAGCATACAGCAATAAAAATAACATAATTTTTATGTGTACAATATTTATGGAATACGTTACTGGAACAAATAATTTAGTTAATAACATGACAAAGAACAGAAATTGTATACACTATAGAGCATAGTAATGGAATAATGAATGATTAAAGTTATTAATATTAGGTAGAAAATGAAGGGTATCTTTGAGAGCAGAACTCAAGGAAGCAAGCAATTCGCCTTATGAGGAAAGAGTTACCTGTGGATAAAGGAGAAACTGAAAAATTTACAAGTCAAGACTTTTTGTGCAAAAACAAAAATATGATTATTAGTCACCAATTCAGTACAGTGAAAAAAAAGTTGAAGAGATATCTTGGAAGTAAACCATATTGTGGAAGAGCATGTAGGGTTTTGATAATCAGGGGATTATTCTGAATTAATTTTAAATGCGATAGGAATATATGAGATAACTTAACCAGAGAATAACATGATTGTGTTTGCATTTCAAAGGGGTGTATCTTGTGCACCGTGTAGAATAAATAGGTTTTGTGAGCAAATAAATTGGGAGGCTACTCTAATCCAGAGAAAAAAGGTAGTGACTTAGGTGAGAATGCTGTCAGGATGAGTGGTAGTAGTGGTGAGAAGTCATTAGGCCATGGATGTATTTCATAGGACTAGCCAAGAGAACTGCAGCTAAATTGGAGTGTAGGGAGTGAAATGGAGAACTCAAAGATGACTCTCAGCACTGGAAAGTGACACTGAAGCATGCTGATGCCTCTTATTAAGAGAGTTACTTGGGAATGGCAAGATCAAAACTTCTCACTTTCAAATTTATGAAAAATATTGTTTTCAGAACGAATGACTTTGGGATCAGGAAGCCATCATTCTAATTGATGGTTCCAAGACTACACGGGCTCACACTCCCAAGAACAAAAGTAAATCATCACAAAGGTGCTTCCTGATAATTCTAGAGAATGGAGAATTACTGTAACATCTTTCTGATTTTAGGAGAGGTAGCAGTTCCCCGTTTAGCCTAAACGCTATTTTTTTTAAAGCTCAGCCAAGAGACTCCATTATAATTTTCAAATGTGTGTAACTTAAATTCTCATATGAAATACCACTATGCTTAAATTAGTCAAAACATTTTCCCCATCTACAACTCTATCTTTTCATTGCAATCATTTTCACAAAAGTGACTGCAGCTCACAGACCCTAAAAGGAGAAAATCCAGGGTAGGTTACCTGATCTAGTTAGTTTTGAAGACAGGATCTAGAGATTATTTAATATGAAATAGGTCACCTGAAATGAAGTGTTTACTGAAAACAGCTTGGATCAGCCCAGTTTTCTACCACTGAACCATGCATTTGATTTAAAAAACACAACTCTGGGGAATATCGGCTGCTTCCAACTGTGTTGAAGGTGTTAAAGAAAAGAGCATAAAAGTAAAAATGATCATCTGAGGCCTTTATAGTCTCTGCTCAAGAGACTAGAGTCTTCCATTCTTAACGAAACACCCAAATATCTTAATAATTGGGCAAAATCTAAATATCAGAGAGATAATTTTATCTTGAAGATTGTTAAATTATAATGGTGATTCACTACCTTGCCACATCTCTGAGTCAAAAATTAGGTCTTTGTTTAGGAATCAATGGTACTCTGCAACTTGGAAATAGGAAGATTTTAGAAGACTCAAACACTGACTTTCTTGTGTGCAAAAAAAAGACGTATTGAGTTAAGACAAGTCTTTCCTTGCAAGGATACCTCTAATGCTCATACACCACCTCCCCTAACGTTAATATAGCTTCCAGGTCAGTAACCAGTGTCAGAGAGCAGCCCATGCAACTACAAATTCAATAGATGTCGAACACAGGGTCAAGCCTAGAATAAGAAGTCTTAGCTAATTAAGTATGCTTTGTTCCCCAAATTCATATTAACAAAAACTTGGATATGTCAGAGAATGCATTCTAAGTTCATTCAACCTAGGAGGGAGAAACATAATTTTAAATTAAGAGCTGAAGCATTCTTGTCCTAACAAAAAGCAAGGAAAACGAAATATCACACCACAGGAGGGATTTCACAAATTAGTGTCAACATCAAAACCTTAAAATAGTCAAGGAAAATGCAGATTTACAATGAACTCTTGTACTTGTTTTGTTCAGAGAAGAGATGGTTCTGAGAGAATGACAGTGAACTAACCCCAGCTGGTTTAGTTGGTGCTTTCAATTGCTGCTTCTGATCAACTCCTTTAGCTAGAATAAATTGATGAGGATTTTGGCATGTGGTATTAGAGATGGTTATTAATTTTTTCCTCTTATTTGCATTGTTCAATGTAGTAAATACTAGCTGTATATGGCTACTTCAATTCAAATTAATTACAATGAAATATACTTAAATATTGAATTTTTTAGTCACTGTTGGTTCATTATTGAATATCTTCAGCTAAGATTTCCCATCTAAATACACTAAGAGGTGGCTTAGTTAACTGGTCGTCCACAAATATTGACGCTGATGTTAACTCCTGATATATTCTCTGCAAATAGAATATTCATGAGCCTCCTCCTGAAATCAGCAGCCTAGAGATAGTTTTATAAATTGGATACAAGTTGGAAATCTATATACTCTTTCAGTGTTTGAAATATTAGCTTCCCAGGGAAGAAAATCAAATTCATAAGCTATGTTAGGACGATTTAACTCAAGATGTTCAAAACTGAAATGACGTATTCTACAATATGTGATAAAACCACCCCCTAACAACTTAAAGCAAAACAGGGATTGACCTTAAAGACCTGCCTTTTCCTCATCCCCCAGTCAATCAGTTTTCAAATCTCGCATTTTATTTCAAAAGGTCCTTATCCCCCTAGTCTCTTGTTTCTAGATTCGGCACATATTTAAGTTTGTTACCTCTATCTACTGACATTTTTCTCTTCGAACGGTATCTATGCCTGCCAAATGTGAATATACAAAAAACAAATCAGAATGTGCCATTCTGATTTAAACTGCTTATTAGTTAAAACCCTCAAGATAACATCTGGGTTCTTGGCTGCAATGAGTCAAGCCTACTTACATCTTTTTTTGTCTTTGGCTGCACATTTCCTATCACATCACACTCCAGCAAAGCCAAGCTGTGCCGGCCTTCTACCCCATCTCCACTATTTTGCCCCGCGTCGCCGCAGCTTTTTGACCCTCATCACAGCGGCTCTTTTGCCCTTCGCCGCCGCGGCTTTTTGTTCTCCGCCGCCGCGGCTTTTTCCCCGCCGCCGCGGCTTTTTCCCCACCGCGGTTTTTTGCCCCCACCCGCCGCCTCGGGTTTATGCCCGCCACGGCTTTTAATTCCCTACCGCCGCGGCTTTTTGCCCCCCACCCCCCCCCCGCCGCAGCGGCTTTTTGCCCGACCTGGCTTTTTGCCCACCCCCGCTGCCGCCACGGCTTTCTGCCCGCCGCGGCTTTTTGCTCGACCCGGCTTTTTACCCCCCCACCGCCGCGGCTTTTTGCCCCTCACGGCTTTTTACCCCCCGCCGCCGCCGAGGCTTTTTGTCGCCGCGGCTTTTTCACCCCCGCCGCCGTGGCTTTCTGCCCGCCGCGGCTTTTTACCCCCCGCCGCCGCCGCAGCCGCCGCGGCTTTTTGCTCCCCCACCGCCGCAGCTTTTTCACCCCCGCCGCCGTGGCTTTTTGTCGCCGCGACTTTTTGCTCGACCCGGCTTTTTGCCCCCCCACCGCCGCGGCTTTTTGCCCCCCCGCCCCCGCGGCTGTTTGCCCCCCCGCCCCCGCGGCTGTTTGCCCGACCCGGCTTTTTGCCCACCCCCGCTGCCGAGGCTTTTTCCCCCCTGCCGCCGCGGCTTTTTGCTCCCCTACCGCGGCGGCTTTTTCACCCCCACTGCCGTGGCTTTTTGTCGCCGCGGCTTTTTCCGCCCCGCGGCTTTTTCACCCCCGCCGCCGCGGCTTTTTGCTCCCCTACCGCGGCGGCTTTTTCACCCCCACTGCCGTGGCTTTTTGTCGCCGCGGCTTTTCCCCCCCCCCGCCGCCGCGGCTTTTTGCCCCCCGCGTCTTTTTCACCCCCGCCGCCGCGGCTTTTTACCCCCCCGCCGCCGCGGCTTTTTGCTCCCCTACCGCGGCGGCTTTCTGCCCCCCGCCGTCGTGGCTTTCTGCCCCCCGCCGCTTTTTACCCCCGCCGCCGCCGCGGCTTTTTGCTCGACCCAGCTTTTTGCTCCCCCCTCCGCCGCGGCTTTTTGCCCCCCGCCGCCGCCGCAGCTTTTTGCTCCCCCACCGCCGCGGCTTTTTCACCCCCGCCGCCGTGGCTTTTTGCTCGACCCGGCTTTTTGCCCCCACCGCCGCCGCGGCTTTCTGCCCGCCACAGCTTTTTACCCCCCGCCGCCGCCGCGGCTTTTTGCTCCCCCGCCGCCGTGGCTTTTTGCCCGGCCGCAGCTTTTTATCCCCCGCCGCCGCGGCTTTTTGCTCGACCCGGCTTTTTGCCCCCCCCACCGCCGCGGCTTTTTCACCCCCGCCGCCGTGGCTTTTTGTCGCCGCGGCTTTTTGCCCCCCCCCCATCGCCACGGCTTTTTCACCCCCGCCGCCGCGGCCCCCGCCTGGTGCCGCGATTATTTGCCCGCCGCAGCTTTTTACACCTCCCGGTGCCGCGGTTATTTGACCGCCGCGGCTTTTTGCACCCCCCCCCCCACCCCCCTCCCCGGTGCCGCGGTTATTTGCACGTCGCGACTTTTTGCACCCCCGCCGCCGCGGCTTTTTCCGCGCCGCGGGTTTTTGTCCCCCGCCGCCGCGGCTTTTTGCGCGCCTCGGCTTTTCGCCCCCTGCCGCTGCGGCTTTTTCCCCACTGCGGTTTTTTGCGCCCCCCCCGCC
The DNA here is from genome assembly GCF_000001405.40 of Homo sapiens. Lineage (NCBI taxonomy): Eukaryota > Metazoa > Chordata > Mammalia > Primates > Hominidae > Homo > Homo sapiens. Next base: position 64,773,608 of record NC_000009.12, on the reverse strand, counting down.
GCCTCGGGTTTTTGCCCGCCGCGGCTTTTTGCCTCCGCAGCTTTTTGTTCCCCCGCCGCCTCGGCTTTTTGCACCCCCGCCGCCGTGGCTTTTTACCCTCCACGGCTTTTTGTCGTCGCGGCTTTTTGCCCCCCCCCCCCCCCCCCCGCCGCCAAAAGCCGCAGCTTTTTGCCCGCCACGGCTTTTTGCCCCTCGCTGCCACGGCTTTTTGACCCCCTGCCGCCGCGGCTTTTTGCCCCCCCGCTACCACGGCTTTTTGCCCCCCCCCCCCCCCCCGCCGACGCGGCTTTTTGCCTCCGCGGCTTTTTGCCACCCCCCGCCGCCGCGGCTTTTTGCCCATCGCGGTTTTTTGTCCCCCCGCCGCCTCGGGTTTATGCCTGCCCCGGGTTTTGCCCTCCGCAACTTTTTGGCGCCCCGGGTGCCGCGGTTATTTGCCTGCCGCGGTTATTTGCCTGCCGCGGCTTTTTGCACCCCCGCTGCCACGACTTTTTGCCGCCCGCCGCCGCGGCTTTTTGCCCCGCCGCCGCGCCTTTCTGCCCGCCGCGGCTTTTTACCCCCCGCCGCCGCGGCTTTTTGCCCGACCCGGCTTTTTGCCCACCCCCGCTGCCGCGGCTTTTTGCCCCCCGCCGCCGCGGCTTTTTGCTCCCCCGCTATGGCGGCTTTTTGCGCCCCACCCCCCCTCGTGCCGCGGTTATTTGCCCGCGGCGGCTTTTTGCACCCCAGGCGCCGCGGCTTTTTGCCCCCCGCCCCCGTGGCTTTTTGCCCCATGGCCATCCTCAGAAGCGTGAGTGGAACAGAGTGAAGGGAAAGCTGTTTTCTTCGAAAGCTCAAAAATCTTGAACTTTCAAATAGGGATAAGTGTTATTTTTGCTCCAAGCACACATTTGAGAAATCTTCCATTTAGCGGATATGATGATAAACCCACATTTTTTGTTTTAATCTGAAAATGTATTTGTATGGTTCTTGGAAATATTTTTTTTGCATATAAAATTATAGTTTATCATCTTATTTCAAGTTTTATTTACCATTTGATAGTTACTCCTAAAATGTCATTGATTAAATAATCATCTATTGCTCCAACTGCTCTTTACTAAAGATAATTTGTCTTTTTAACCTCATCAGGCTCCTTTTAAGCTCTCAAACTGACCTTATATTTTTTTACAGATTGAATGCATTAAGTCCATTTATTATTTATGATGAATTTATTTATGTATTTATTTTTGCTATCACAAGTAGAAAAAGCCTATAAGTTGCTATGCCAAAAACCTGCCTCTAGATGGCAAACAAACCCCGCGATACACAAAAGAGAGCCAAATTCTTAGAAACCCTGGGAAAGGAAGAGGGCTACTGTCCCATTAACAACTTGGAGCCCTTAAGGCAAGAATGAGGTGGAACATCTGGGGGGAGACACCAGGGTGCGGAGTAGTGGGGAACCTGCTCTGTGCTCTGAGACTGAAAGCCCAGCCTTGCCTCTCACCACTGCCTTGACTGTGTCCCCATCTGCTGTGAAGTGAATCGTGTCTTCTAAATTCATGCTGAGCCCTAATTGCTGAAAAGTGTAAGACATGCAATGGGGGGATTATGTGCATCTTCCCGACACCAACATGATGCTCAGGAAGGAGACTTCTTGTTTTCTCTTAGGATTCTTTTACTAACCAAGATTTTGCCTCTACTGCATATTTCCCTTTGCTGATTGTCCCTCCCTTTTGACAGAAGATGGCCCAGGGCATTCACTACTAAGTCTCAACCTCTTACCCAAAGCCCTCAGTCTAGTGTTGCTCTTTCCTTCATGCTATTTTTGTTTGTTTCTTTTCTTGTCATCGTCTTGGCAATAAAATAATCACTTTTTTCTTTCTACCTATTAAAGATGTTACCTTAGTTAATTACAGTGGTTTCCTTCAGAATGATAAATGGTATTTCAAAATGATGTAAAGAGATCTAAATCCGTGTGCTCCAGAAGTTGAATGAAGCTCTGTCTAGCACGGGTGCCAGTGACTCTCCCAGAGTGCTCCATGCAGCTGGACCCACGGAGTCCCTCTGTGCTGTCATATCACCCACTGCCTTCTGTGAATGAGATATTCTGATTGGAATCCTGGTGGATGCTATTTGAGCCATGCCCCCACAACTCCTATGAAAGCCAAGGACCACAGGCCCCTGAAGACAATCACAGGTCTCTAGACTCACAGCTCATGACCGTCCTCTGCAGACACAGCTTCTCCCCGGATGGCTGAGTTTTGTCATTGGCTGTGTCCTTCCTTGTGCATGACAACAGGAGACATAGAAGGTCTGTAAGCAGCCCTGCAAGCCAGGTTCTGAGCAAGCCCTCCTGTGTGGGGCCCTCTTACCTGGACATAGGTGTGTAAACCAAAAATGAAACTCTAAGCTCCCTAACCAACTGAATGAACTCCTCCTCTCAGCCAAGGACACACCAAAATCAACCTGAAATACAATACAGTCCATGATCGGAACGGATGATTGGACATGCCTTAACTTACCCTCTTCCCTTTAAAATTCAGGCAGAACTGACCAGCTTTTAATATGAAGACAGAGACCTTGAGACTGACAAAGAAAACTCTTTATAGCAATAAGATACCAATGTGACAGATACCACGTCCTAAGAGAAATCAAAGTATTTTCCCCAAGATATTGTTATTTAATGTATTTAAAAATGCCTCTGCAAAGCTGGTTCTTGTGGGAAAAATCTAAATTCTGTAGAGATTCCTTTTTAAGTCTCTTTCCTGACCCAGAGAGATTTAACTAAGAGTTTGGCACCTTTTAAGTCTACTAAGAAACAATTACAATCTATTCTCTCTGAAGCCTGCTACCTGGAGGCTTCATCTGCATGATGCAACCTTGGCTCCAAAACCCTTTTTCTAAACCCAGGAACTCCCTTGTGTTGATTACAGGTCATTAGATAAACTCTTTCAACCACCTATGAAATCTCTGAATCCACCTATGACCTGGAAGTCCCCAATATCCCCCCTCCTTCGGGCTGTCCTGCCTTTCAATATCAAAGCAATGTACAGCTTACACGTATTGATTGATATCTTATGTCTCCTTAAAACGTGTAAAACCAACCTGTAGCCCGACGACCTTTGACACACGTTCTCAAGACCTCCTGAGGCTGTTTCACTGATATTTCTTTAACTTTGACCAAATAAATTTCTAAACTGATTGAGACTTTTCTCAGATACTTATTTGTTTATAGGTATCACTGGATACACTTAAGGAATTGAAGAGATTTATGACATTGAGAAAAGGAGGAAGCCAGGGTGTGTGGAGAGAGATGGGGAGAGAGAGAGAGATTGTGATGTATGTACAGGACTAACACTGAGACCTGGTTATGTAATGGTGTAGTAATGAGTATCATACCCAAATAGTGAGGTTTCATTCCAAGAAGACTATGCATGTATCTCATTTGGGAAAACAGCTTTTGCAGGTGTAAATTAAGGAGCTTGAAACAGGGAGATGGTCTTAGATTAATCAACTGGGACTTAAATGCAAACTCAAGTGTCCTAATAAAAACAAGAGGTAGAGAGACATTTAGCTTAGACTGAAGTGGAGAAGGCAGTGTGAACACAGAGACAGAGATTGCAGTGATGTGTCCACATCCCGGGAGAGAGAAGCCACCAGAAGCTGGAAGAGCTAAATCAGACTGCTCCCTAGAGCTTCAGAAGGAGCCAGAACTGATGACTCCAAGTTCTTAGCCCAGTGAAACTGATCTGGACTTCTGAACTATGAGAGATTCCATTCCTGTTGTTTGAAGCTACCACATTTTTGAGAACTTGTTACAGTAGCCCGAGGACACTAACACAAATGGGGCTCCGGGAAAATCCAGACTAAAGGTGTTGTGTTGGTTTGCAATCTCCTTGCTTAACTTTCTGATACTAGACGTAAATAGATTGGTGAAAAATTTTGTGATTGAAGAAATGTACATGAAACCTACAGTGTACAGAGAAGCATCTGTTAGTTATAAGATAAATATTGATAATTTTAGTTGAAAATGACATATGACTGTTAATATCTCACATAACATTCTGAGTTACTCAAGAATGCATAAAAGGGACACTAGATACTCTTCTCATGTATGTGTGTGTGTCTGTCTATACATGTAGGTACACTTCATGGTGCATCAGCTGGCAGAACCCTCAGGACACCCCTTCACATCCTCAGTGCCCCATTTCACACATGAGGAAACTGTTCATGACAGCACATGGCTGATTTGCATAAAAGTCACTTGGTCAGCAGTTGTTGAAGCTGAACTTGGAATCTAGGTCTGTCTGACCTTAACTATGTTCCTTCCACAGAGCCACGTTCATTCCATAGAGGAACCCACCACCTATAAAACCAGAAAAGAGACAAAGCCAGAAGTGCAGGGTGGATTTCTTAACACAAGCTCACTGCGACCTCTACTCCTCATCACGCTGACACTAAGCTTAAACCCAGACCCTTCTACAGTTTTGTCTACAAAGCACAATTTGCCCAAAGCCTTTACAAACACCAATAGCCTTTCTTTCAGATATGGCAGCAGGGTCACATCTTACATGGCCCTGACCACATTTTGTCTCCTCTGCCATCCCCATCTCTCTGACTCAGTCCTCGCTTGCAGCCATAAAAAAGGATGAGTTCATGTCCTTTGTAGGGACATGGATGAAGCTGGAAACCATCATTCTCATCAAACTATCGCAAGGACAAAGAAACCAATCACTGCATGTTCTCACTCACAGGTGGGAATTGAACAATGAGAACACATGGACACAGGAAGGGGAACATCACACACCAGGGCCTATCGTGGGGTGGGGGGAGGGGGGAGGGGGGAGGGATAGGATTAGGAGGTACACCTAATGTAAATGATGAGTTAATGGGTGCAGCACACCAACATGGCTCATGTATACATATGTAACAAACCTGCACGTTGTGCACATGTACCCTAGAACTTAAAGAACAATAATAATAATAATAATAATAATAATAATAATAATAGGTCTTGTACATCTAATTTGCCCTACAAATGTTAAAACAGCAAACCCGCATCCCCTTCCTCTTCTCATGTGCTGTGAGGGATGACCTCCAGGCTCTCAGATACCAAGATTGTACAAGACCTAACCCAGAGAATTACTCAAGACACTTTCTACGTAAGAGAATTGTGGTGTTAGCTCTCCTCATAGAAAAATGTTTTCTGTCTCTTGTTGAAATTGACAGCAAACACAAAAACACAGAACTATTTGGGAGAACAGAGGACAGTGATACACTAGGGAAGTAAAACACACCCCTTCCCCTTGCATTGGTTTCCTGTTGCTGCCGTAACAAATTACCACAACCTTACTGCTCCCCATAACACAAGTGTATTATCTTACATTTCTGGAGGTCAGAAGTCTCAATGAAGTAAAATCAAGGAGTAATAGGGCTCTATTCATTCTAGGCTTCAAGAGAGAGAATCCAATATCGAGCATTCCATCTTTCTGATGTTCCCACATTCCTAGCAGCATGGCCCCTTCCTCCATCACTCCAGTTTCCCTGTCCGTTGTCCCAGGTCCTCTCTGGCTGTTACCTTCCTCCCTCCCTATTATAAGGACCCTTGTGATTATGATGGTCTCACCCAGATCATTCAGGATACTCTCCTGACCCCCAAATTCTCAACCATGTCTGCCAAGTTATTTTTGACATATTCATAAGTAATGATCATAGATTCCAGATATTAGGACAATGATGTCTTTAGTGGGTGTATTATTCATTCCACAAACAACCCTCATCATCCACACAATGGTCTTCCCCTAAGGTAGAATAAAAATATCACAAGGCAGATTTACGAGGCGATCGACCTAGAAAAAACCTGAGAATCTAGGACTGTCTGATGTGTGGATGTCAAATCCTGGGAGATTCTGAGTCTCTGCTCTATGTGGACTCTATGTTGTGTAGCCATTTGTGGAAGGCTTCTGTGATTTTGTGACCTAGAGAAAATGAATCTCTGCTAAAATCAAATCTAAGAAAGATTGGCAAAGGGAATTTAAAGATTTCCTAAATTTTTGGAATTTCCCTATGCATTAAAGCATGAGAAGTGGCAATAATTCAAACCAACGATGCCCTCCAAGAATGAGGATTTTTCCAATGCATTAGGTTGGGTCCCCTCAGTGAGAAGGATGCCAAAGATTCGCATGCAGGCAGTATATTTACAAAGTGCGGGAAACAAGCAAGTGAGCAAGGGAGAGGAGGAGGGAAAGGGAAAGTGAAAGGTGCCTCACAAGGAGCCACCTCTGAGGATGACGAGAGCTCAAGCCCACATAGAAACACAGGAAAAATGCCTCTGTTATTCCACCTGAGAGGTGAGGGAGCTGCGGGATGTGTACACCTCCCTTGTCATCACTGATTGACAGCCGTCCTAGGGGATGCTAATTCCAGGCCATGAGGTCTGCCTCATTTGCAGCCTGAGCTGCTTCCCCAGGTTCAGACAGAGCAGTGAAGGGGAGAAAGGGCCATAGAGAGTCAGCTGAAGTATAATGACTAGAATCCCCAAGGCGTAGTAACAATGACTGCTAAAATTATGCACAAAGAAAAAGCGCATTTGAATCCAGAGATGTATCTCTCTGAATCTGGATATATGGATCCTGGCAGCCTGTTCAGTAGCCATTTCCCAGAAATCCAGTTCTCTGGAAAAGCAGCAGGAGGTTTGTGCACAGGCTGCACTACCTTGGTCTGGCCACTGGTAGTCGTGCATGAGAACTACTCCCTGGAGTATTTCTCAGTCCACTGACACTGATGTAATTGGCTCCACTTCCCCTGCTGTTGAGCCAGGCCGACACGCCCTGGACAAAGGCATCTGTGTGAAGTATTGAGGTTCAAATCAGTGCTTAAGATATGTTTGGAGGCAAAATACTTTTTCATCTACATGGGCAGTGTCTTGGCAGAAGATGGAGATTCTCTCTAAATGGATGTGAAACAGGGTGGCTGGCATCTGGGTCAGGATGATGCCCTGGTGCATGGCAAGAACATGCATTGGGCAGCAGCTGTCCTTGCTAAGCAGAGAGGTTCACTGACCTGGCTTTTCCCCCCTCACCTGCTCTCCAGAAAGCCAGACTCTAGGGCAGATGCTCCTGAGACCCCAGGAACAGGCTGGTGGGGAGCGCAGCTCAGAGCATTACTCAGGGGATGCGGCCTTTGTCATCCTACTTTGAAACAATTGATTATTTGAGCCTAGATTGATAGAGGGCTTCAAGTTGATTTTAATCCTGGCTCCTATAGTCCGCGAGTGAAACAGAGATTTTGAAATAATGAGACCTGGTATTACTAGTCAGCTCTCCATGCTGGAGAACCATAAGAAATTATACCAAAGGCAGGAAAGGGGATAGAATATGGGGATCATCACGCCAAGAATAAGGTGCAGCCCATTTAGCCCCTAGGTCTTAAAGAGACCCATAGCTCTGGATAATGGCAGATCTATGCGTGACACATTATCATCTTTGTGCATCTTCAGAGAATTGTTTTTCCTTTTACTCCTAGGAACAATGTCTTAAGTTTGTTAGTAAATTCTATTGAATTTATTAAAGATGCTTCTGATAAATTCTTTTTATATTCATTTCAAAAAAGAAGCAATTTCACACTGACAGAGACATTGTTATTATAGCACTAAATACTTTTACACTCATCAAATTCCTTTGAGACTAACTGAAGTTTCTGACAGCCCCACACTCTATAACTTTATTGTAAATTTTCTGCCAAAAATGATGCTTTCCTATACACTCTTAATACAAGTATAAATATATTATTTAATCTAGTCTTAGGTTGATTTAAAATTTTGAAAATTCACTCCAAAAATATGTTCTGTAACCATATGGCCACCAATGAGAAGTGTACTCTTTCAAGGTAAATCTGTGCTGCCCTGGTCTGACCTGGGACTCTGGGGATACTGCGCCCATGTGCTGAGTTACTGAGATGAGCCAGCCGTGCAGCTGTGCTCAGCCTGCCCCATCCCCTGCTGATTTGCCTATTCCTAGAGCACAGCCCCCTGCCCTGAAGACTTCTTATAGGCTGGCCACACCTGGTGCAGGAGTCAGCCCCAGTCAGGACACAGCACGGACGTGAGGGCCCCCACTCAGCTCCTGGGGCTCCTGGGGCTCCTGGGGCTCTGGCTGCCAGGTAAGGAAGGAGAACACTAGGATTATACTCGGTCAGTGTGCTCAGTACTGTCTGGAACTTCAGGGAAGTCCTCTGATAACATGATTAATTGCAAGAATATTTGTTTTTATGTTTCTAACTTCAGGTGCCAGATGTGACATCCAGATGACCCAGTCTCCATCCTCCCTGTCTGCATCTGTAGGAGGCAGAGTCACCATCACTTGCCGGGCGAGTCAGGGCATTAGCAATAATTTAAATTGGTATCAGCAGAAACCAAGGAAAACTCCTAAGCTCCTGATCTATGCTGCATCCAGTCTGCAAAGTGGGATTCCCTCTCGGTTCAGTGACAGTGGATCTGGGACAGATTACACTCTCACCATCAGCAGCCTGCAGCCTGAAGATTTTGCAACTTATTACTGTCAACAGAGTGACAGTAACCCTCCCACAGTGTTACAAGTCATAACATAAACCCCAAGGAAGTAGATGTGTGAGGCTGGGCTGCCCCAATGCTCCTTCTGGTGCCTCTATCTGCTGAGGGAAGTTCTCAAACTCAGTCAGGTTTGGAAAGTCATCGGGAGATTTTCCTAGAGGAGGCCAGGGAGGTTCCTCTGAACGCTAAGCCTCTTTCGCCCTCATCCCCAGCAGAAAAGACGTGACAATGCCTGTCCTGACTGAATAAAGAAGAGAGATAAGTCCAGCTGAGGAGTCTGTGTTATGGGATAATTGGAATTTGTACAGCAAAAGAGAAGCTATTCTCAGTATTTCAAGGAGAAATTATTCAAGTTGAATAAATTAGAGTCTAAACCACAGTCTTTCCGAAGCCTATGGAGTGTTATTCATGAAGCAGGTACTAGACACAGGGGATTCTCAGGTGCTACTTCAGAAGCCAGGATGCACCTGCCCCTGGTGGTATGTGCTGAACACCGTGTGATGATCCTCAGTCCTGTCTGGGAAGCCCAGGGCTGGGGGTGCTGATGCTCTCAGCTGCCTGCAGCACATCTCCAGGTGATTCTCCAGTCCACACCTAACTGCATGTGTTTTACTTCAGGTGTCAGTGTACATGAATCCACCACTCTGACTTCCCAATCTCATGACAGTAATTAGTTGTAACTTATTGTAACCTCATGGAGCAACTCTAAAGAAACCATAGAGAGAAAAGGAGTTTTGGAAAATGTGCTCCCGGAAGTGATAGTAATGATGGGGAATTGACAGCTGACGGGGAAGTAAGGTGACTCTTTCCACAAGGCTCAACATTTTGCCAGTTATGAATTGTTGCAAAATACATTTGAATGTGCTTTCAAGTATTACCAGTTTGGGGTCATAGCTGAAAAACTTTATTAAGTCACAGATAAAATGGGAAAATCAGGAATATTTTATATTGTATGAAATATACAATAACACTGTGTGTGATGGCTCAGGTCTGTAATCCTGTGATAGTTAATACTGATTGTCAACTTGATTACATTGAAGGATGTAAGCATTGCTCCTGGGTGTGTCTGTGAGGGTGTTGCCAAAGGAGATTAATATTTGAGTCAGTAGTCTGGGGAAGGCAGACCCCCTACTTAATCTATGGGCACCATTTAATCAGCTGCCAGTGAATATAAAGCAGGCAGAAAAAAGTGAAAAATTGAGTCTGGCCCAGCCTCCCAGCCTACATCTCTCTCCCGTGCTGGATGCTTCCTACCCTTGAACATCGGACTCCAAGTTCTTTAGTTTTGAGGCTCGAGCTAGCTCTCCTTACTCCTCACTCCTCATGCCTGCAGACAGCCTACTGTGGGACCTTGTGATCCTGTAAGTTAATATGTAATAAACCCATATATATATATATATATATATATATATATATTGAACTTATTAGTTCTGTCCCTCTAGAGAACCCTCATTAATACAGATTTTGGTACCAGGAATGGTTCTGCAGGATCAGAATATTAAGGCTGGAGTTCTTTTGTTGGTTTTGGGGTTTCTGGATTTGGCTGCTAAATATGATTAGATCCCAAAATGCTAAGGACTCTACTTTTAATAGTGTAGAGAATATTGACAGTTCTTGGCATGAAAGGTTTAAAGAGCTATGCAAAACAAATTCATTTGACACTAATGAATCATCGCTCATGAGAGGCAAGGAGTTTAGTGACTCTGTACCTAATACCCTTGACAAACACCTTGCAAAATAGATTTGTGAGGACAGCACCTGCATCTTTGAAGAGCCCTGTAAAGGCTCTTCTCTGTATGTCAGATCTAATGGTGAGAACTGCAGTCACTCAGTTACAAAAGTTAAATACAATTTGGAATAATTGGATCCTGAAGTGGCAGGGGCCAAGTGGTAGCACTCAACCCTCAAAGGCACGGTGGGCGTAGCTACCGTAATGGGCAGAAAAGACAAAGCAGCAATCTGAACAGTCTGACTCATGTAGAGCTCTGGCATTGGCTAACTAATCACAGTGTTCCTGGAAGTGAAACTGACAGGAAGACTAATGCATTCCTACTTAATTTATGTAAGGAGGAAACTTAAGGTCAAACAGATAAAAGACTAACTGGAATCATAAAAACAGAGATTCATGGCCCCTCAATCAATTTCCAGCCTTGAGCCAGTTTACAGACCCAGAACCCCTTGAATGAAGGGGAGGCTGGGTCCCCCTGAGGTGTCCATGGCAGATAGGAATGCTGCTTTGAGGCTTTGGCAAGCCTCCATAGGTGAATCATGGTGGAGGCCTCTAGTATTTTGCAGCAAGGACCGGTCATCTTCTCCAGTTAACTACTCTCCTTTTGAGAGACAGCTCTTGTCCTATACTGGGCTTTTGTGGAAACTGAACATTTGACTATGAGTCAACAAGTCACCATGCGACCTGAACTGCCTATCGTGAACTGGGTGCTTTCTGACTCATGTAGCCATAAAGTGGGTCATGCACAGCAGCATTCCATCATCAAATGGAAATGGTGTATAAGTGATTGGGCTCAAGCAGGTCCTGGGGGGCACAAGTAAGTTACATGAGGAAGTGGCTCAAATGCCCACGGTCTCTACTCTTGCCACCCTGCCTTCTCTCCCATGGCCTGCACTGATGGCCTCATGGGGACTTGCCTTTGAGCAATTGACACAGGAAGGGAGGACTAGGGCCTGGTTCACAGATGGTTTTCCACAATAGGCAGGTACTGCCCAAAAGTGGACAGCTGAAGCACTACAGCCCCTTTCTAGGACATCCCTGAAGGACAGTGGTGAAGGACAATCTTCCCAGTGGGCAGAACATTGAGCAGTGCACCTGATTGTGCACTTTGCATGGAAGGAGAAATTTCCAGATGTGCGGTTATATACTGATTCATGGGCTGTAGCCAATGGTTTGGCTGGATGGTCAGGGACTTGGAAGAAGCATGATTGGAAAATTGGTGACAAAGAAACTTGGAGAAAGAGTATGTAGATGGACCTCTCTGAGTGGTCAAAAACTGAAGATATTTGTACCCTGTGTGAGTGTTGACCAACAAGTGACTTCAGCAGAGGAGGATTTTGATAATCAAGTGGATAAGATGACCCGTTCTGTGGATACCACTCAGCCTCTTTCCTCAGACACCCCTGTCATTGTCCAATAAGCCCATGAACATAGTGGCCATGGTGGCAGGGATGGAGGTTATGCATGGATTCAGCAATGTGGACTTCCACTCACCAAGGCTGAACTGTCTGTGGCCACTGCTGAGTGCCCAATTTGCCAGCAGCAGCAGCAGAGACTAACAGTGAACCCTTTGTATGGCATCATTTCCTGGGGTGATCGACCAGCTACCCGGTAGCAGGTTGATCATATTGGAACTCTTCCACCATGGAAAGGAGAGAGGTTTGTCCTCATTGGAACAGGCACTTACTCAGGATATGGGTTTGCCTACCTGCAAGCAATGCTTCTGCCAAGACTACCATTTATGGACTCAAGGAATGCCTTATCCACTATCACGGTATTCCACACAGCATTACCTTTGACCAAGCACTCACTTTACAGGTAAAGAAGTGAGGCAGTGGGCTCATGCTCACGGAATTCACTGGTCTTACCATATTCCCCATCTTCCTGAAGCAGCTGGATTGATAGAATGGTGGGACGGCCTTTTGAGGTCGCGATTACAACATCAACTAGGTTGCAATACTTTGCCGGGCCGGGGCACCATACTCCAGAAGACCATGTGTGCTCTGAATCAGCGCCCAATGTATGGTATTGTTTCTCCCATAGCCAGGATTCACAGATCCAGGATTCAAGGGGTGGATGTGAAAGTGGAACCACTCACTATGATGCACTAGCAAAATGTTTGCTTTCTGTTCCCACGACATTAGGTTCTGCTTTACTAGTCATCTTAACTCCAGAGGGAAGAACGCTGCTACCAGGAGACACAATAACGATTCCATTAAACTGGAAGTTAAGATGGCCACTTGGATGCTTTGGGGTCCTCCTACCTTTAAGTCAACAAGCTAAGAATGGAGTTACAGTGTTGGTGGCAGTGATTGACCCAGACTATCAAGATGAAGTCAGTCCGCTACTCCACAATGGAAGTGAGGAAGAGTATGCATGGAATATAGGAGATCCATTAGGGCGTCTCTTGGTATTATCATGCACTCTGATTAAGGTAAATGGGAAACTATACCCAATCCAGGTAGGACTACAAACGGTCCAGATCCTCTCCGGGTCACGACCTTCTGAGGTGCTTGCTGAAGGCAAAGGGAATACAGAATGAATAGTGGAAGAAAGTAGTTATCAATACCAGCTACAACCACCTGACCAGCTGCAGAAATGAGGACTGGAACTATCATGAGTATTTCCTTCTTTTGTTAGAAACATGTTTGTGCATGTATGCACTTGTACTAAGAAAATATCTTCATTTCATTTCCCTTTTCTTTATCAGGTGACATAGATTTGCTGACCTCATATCAGCATTTAAGTATTGTTTACTTTATGTAAGAGTATTTGGGTTGGGGATGGGTGCATTTCCAGTTGTAGGAAGGATAGTTTATTATGTTAGGGGTAATTATGACCTTACTATTGTCTGTATTTTAAGATTATGTATGATCTCAGGAGATGTGTGTGGGTTCAAGTTCACAAGGGGTGGGCTTGTGATGGTTAATAACGAGTGTCAACTTGATTGGATTGAAGGATGTAAAGTATTCATCCTGGGTGTGTCTGTGAGGGTGTTGCCAAAAAAAATTAACATGTGAGTCAGTGGGCTGGGAAAGGCAGACCCACCCTTAATCTTTGTGGGCACAATCCAATCAGCTGCCAACCCAGCCATACTATAAGCAGGCAGAAAAATGTGAAAAGAGACGGGCCTCACCTCCCAGCCTACATCTTTCTCCCATGCTGGATGCTTCTTGCCCTCGAACATGGACTCCAAGTTCTTCAGTTTTGGAACTCTGGCTGGCTCTTTTTGCTCCTCATCCAGCAGATGGCCTATTGTGAGACTTGGTGATTGTGTGAGTTAATACTTAATAAACTTCCTGTATTAGCCAGTGACATCTAGAGGGACAGAACTAACAGGATATATACATATATATATACATACGCACACACATACATATATATGCACACACACACACACATATATATATTTATTTATAAAGGGGAGTTTATTAACTTACAGGATCATAAGTTACACAATGGGCTGTCTGCAAACTGATGAGAAAGGAGAGCCATGGAGTCCAATGTTTGAGGGCAGGAAGAAACCAGCATGGGAGAAAGATGTAGGCTGGGAAGCTAGGCCAGTCTCTCCTTTTCAAATTTTTCTGCCTGCTTTATATTTGCTGGCAGCAGATTAGATTGTGCCCACCAGATTAAGGGTGGGTCTGCCTTCCCCAGCCCACTGACTCAAATGTTAATCTCTTTTGGCAACACTCTCACAGACACACCCTGGATCAATACTTCATATCCCTCAATCCTATCAAGTTGACACTCATTATTAACCATCTCACTCCCCTTCATATATATATGTATATAGTCCTTTAATTCTGTCAGTCTAGAGAACCCTGACTAATACATCTACACTTCTGATGATCTATTTCTTTTATTTTAGGTCATTTATTTCCCCTGGGTTGCCTACACTCGCTTCTTCCCACTCCCCTATGAAGGACAATATAAGCCTCTGGACCTCACTAGGTCAGGGCATGTCCCTGCTTGCACTATCCATGACACTTTTCTCTTTTACTCTTTAGCAATGAGGGAATGTCATCCTTACCCAGATGCCAGACACCTGTCTCACATCCAGGACAGAGAGTCTCCATCTCCTCTCCAGCAAATACCTATGTATGTGGGCATGGTGGCATGCCCCTGTGATCCCAGCTACTCCATAGGCTTAGAGGGGAGAATCACTTGTGCTTGAGAATTCAAGGTTGCAAGGAGCCATGATCACACCACTGCACTTCATGCTGGGCAACTGAGTGAGACCCTGTGATTTTTCCCCTACATTTTACAGAATTTTTTTTTGCCTCTTTCTTCTATTAATTTATGTTTTGTCCATTCATTTTCTGCAAACCTTCAGAGGGCAAATAGGAAGTTTCCCTTTTTAACGTGGTGGCTCACGCCTGTAATCCCAGCACTTTGGGAGGCCGAGGTGAGCAGATCACCTGAGGTTGGGAGTTCGAGACTAGCCTGACCAACATAGAGAAACCCCGCCTCCACTAAAAAAAATACAAAATTAGCAGGGTGTGGTGGTGTGCACCTGTGATCCCAGCTACTCAGGAGGCTGAGGCAAGAGAATTGCTTGGACCTGGGAGGCGAAGGTTGCAGTGAGCCCAGATTGTGCCACTACACTCCAGCCTGGGTGACAAGAGCGAAACTCCATCTCAAAAAAAAAAAGAAACAAAAACAAACAAAGAAAAAAACACCTACTGCCTCACTGAATTAAAGGTGTGTTCAGCAGTTTCTTTGTTATTTCGAAGAGTGTCATCTGCTTCAGCAGGGTCAGTTTTTAATGTATTTGTTTTGTTTCTTTTTTCTCTGTCTGGTGTTGTTTTCTATTTTATTATAATTTTTTAAATTTGAGGGATGAGGTTTTCATAGCACTGAATATCAAACAATGAATCCGCATGAATGATTCACCTAATTTCCTTGGTTTTAGTCCTCTATACAGGTTTTATATAGCAAAAGAACCATTTAAAGACTTGGGTTACAAATGTATTTTATTTTACCTCTGGCATGCCTTGGGCTGAGAAAGCATTATATGGTGACACAGTATTTGTAACATTCTCATAGCCATCTGGCGGTGGTTCAAGGTATGACATTTTGAAAATCTAGCAAGAATTAAAATATGTCAAGTTAGAGATAAAAATTCCAGATTATTATTAAGATATAATTCATTTTGCCCCAAGTATATACTTCAGATTAAGCATCCTGGAACTAGGTTCTATAATTAAATAGATAAATTACACTGACAACAATGAGAAAGAGCCTTATCATTATTATTGTCTTCCTAATAATAGAAACTTTTATAAATGCATGCAATCCCAGGTAACCAAAAGTTTCCTTATAAAGTGTAACAGCAGAGCTTCAAAGGTGGCATTTGGCAAGCCTCTTTTTTTGACTATGCCTTTTCAGCTTCCTTTGTGGGCTCCTTTTCTTTCATCTTTATTTAAATAATATTTCCCTATGTTTTATCCCCAGCCCATTGCTTGCCTCTGTACTGCCTCCCTGTGAGACTTCATTAAGTATCAGAATTTTACCAATAGCTCATATGCTTATGATGCTTACCTTTTCAGATTCGTATATTTAAATGTTTTGTGATTATTTCATCCTGGATGTCCAAACTCAACATGTTAAAATTCAAATTTATCATCTCTCACCCCGGGCCTGCTTTTGGTCTGCATTTCCTACCTCTATTAATAGCTTCAGTTATTAGCCACCGACACCAGACAGTCTCGGAGTCATCCTGAACTCTATCTTCCCCTCCTTCCCCAAGTCAATCACTAATCAAGTCCTGCTAATACATTTCCTTACTATTTCTGAAATCCATCCCTCTTCCTCATTCCTACTAACATCCTAATTTAAAACTTTATTATCTTTTACCTGGACTATTGTCTTAAGACAACAACTTTAACCCGTTGCTTAGCCTAGGTGTAATCCACAGAGGATCTTGTCTGTCTAAGATGCCCCTCTAGCCACATCCTTCCCCTGCTCAGATCTTGTCATTGGCTCCCATGAACTGAAGTTGAAGTTTAAGCTCCTTAGGACAGCATACACGCCCTTCTATGATCTGTTCCCAGAACATATTTACTGGTTTATCTCATATCATGGCCCACTTTGTATTTTACACTTTTGAAATACAGAAAATCATTACATTCTCCCAATAATACTAAGCTAGTATATGCCTAAAAGCCTTTGCCAATATTTTGTCTTTTGTTGAGAATTCTCTTAGCTTATTTTGTCACGTGGTTAACTCCTTATGTCCTTTCACGACTCACATGTCAAGACTTCAGGAAACCTTCTCTAACTCCCAGGCTGGGCTGAGTGACCCTTTTCTGGGTAAATAATGAACTCTAATCATACTCTTCATAGGACTTACCATACTAATTTGAAGTCTGAAGTATTCCATTTTCTGCCTCAGTTTACTTAGGCAAAGGAACCATGTCCTAGTCTCATTCTGGCCTCAGGACTTCAGCCTGGGCGACAGTGGGAGACTGTGTGTCAAAAAAAAAAAATTGCCAATGATTGAAGCCTAATACTGAAGATTCTGGTTTATTAATAATTAGTCTGTTGCTGGGTGTTAATTGAGCTCCCCAAGTGATTACTCATGTAGGACTTCAAAACGATAATTTAGAACCTTGTGACTAAAAATCTGGGCAAAAATAAGCAGCATCAGTATCACCTGGGAGCAGCTTCAGGTCTCACTTTAGATTTACTCTGAATCTAAATATTATATTTTTATTAAAAAAATTAAGAACAGATGACAAGCTTCAACTACATCTAAATTCTTTAGATTTACTTTAAAAGAATCAACATTTTGACACAATACCAAAGTGAACTAAATTCGCTTTTTTTTTTTTTTTTTTGAGACAGAGTCTTTCTCTGTTGCCCAGGCTGGAGCGCAGTGGTGCAATCTCGGCTCACTGCAACTTCCACCTCTCCAGTTCAAGCGATTATCTTGCCTCGGCCTCCAAAGTAGCTGGGATTACAGGCACATGCCATCATGCCCGGCTAATTTTTGTATTTTTAGTAGAGACAGGGTTTCACAATGTTGGGTCAGCTGGTCTCGAACTCCTGACCTCAAGTGATCTGTCTGCCTCGGCCTTCCAAAGGCTGAGATTATAGACATGGGCCACCATGCCCAGCCTAAATTTGCTTTAATTTGGAGAAGTACTGGTCTAGAAAACACAAATTCCAAGGAGACTCAGGTTCTTAAGTTGATTTCTTGAGTACAAGTTCTTCAAATGCATTCTCCAAGATTAATTTTTTTTTTTACTTTTTAAATTGACAAAGATTATACATATTCATGGCTATATGGGGATGTTTCAGTACATGTAGATGGTGATCAGATCAGGGTAATTAGCATATCTATCATCTCAAACATTTATTATTTCTTTGTGTTGGGAACATTCAAACTACTCCTAGGTATTTTAAACTACATAATATAGTATTGTTAACTATAGTCATCTACAGTACTATAGAACACTAGAACTTATTACTCCTACCTAGCTGTAATTTTGTATCCATTAACAAATCTCTTACCATTCCTCCTTTCTCCCTACCCTTTTCAGCCTGCAGTATCCTCTGTTCTACTTTTTACTTCTATGAGATCAACTTTTCTTTAGCTTCTGCGTGAGTGAGAACATGTGGTGTTGAAATTTCTATTCCTGGCTTATTTTGCTTAACATAATATCCTCCAGTTCCATCCATGTTGCTGAGAATGACAGGGTTTTATTTATTCTTTTTTATGGCTAAATAGCATTCCTTGGTGTATATATACCGTATTTTAAAAATCCATTCATCTGTTGTTGGAAACCTAGGTTGATTCCATATCTTGGCTATTGTGAACACTGTTGCAATAAACATGGGGATGCAGATGTCTCTGCAATATAATGCTTTTCTTTCCTTTGGATAAATTCCCAGTAGTGGGATTGCTTGAGGTGTTTCAATACTGTTCTCCATACTGGCTGCTCTAATTTACATTCCTACCAACAGTGCATAAGAGTTCCTTTTTCTCCAGCTACTCAGGAGGCTGAGGGAGGAGAACTATTTGAACCCTAGAAGCAGAGGGAGCCAGATTACACCACCACTGCACTCCAGCCTGGACGGAGAGTGAGATTCTGTCAAAAAAAAAAAAGTCCCTTTTCTTCACGTCTTTGTCAGCATTTGTTATTTTTGTCTCTTCTATAATAGCCATCCTAACTGAAGTAAGATGATGCCTCACTGTGGCTTTGATTAGCATTTCCTTGCTGATTAGTGGTGTTGAACATTTTTTCATATATTTGTTGGTCATTTGTATGTCTTCTTTTGAGAAATGTCTGTTCAGAGCATTTGTTTATATTTAATTAGATTGTTGTGCTTCTTTGCTGTTGATATGTTTGAATTCCTTGTATATTCTTGATATTAATTTCCTGCCAGATGAGTTTATACTTTCTCCCATTCTGTAAGTTGTCTTTTCACTCACTTTCTTATTTCCTTTGCTGTGCAGAAGATTTTTAGCTTGATGTGATCCTATTTGTTTATTTTTTCTTTTGTTGCCTGTGCTTTTGATGCCTTATTCATAAAATATTTTCCCAGAGCAATGTCCTGAAGGATCTCCCCTATGTTTTCTTCTAGTAGCTTTACCATTTTGGGTCTTATATTTGGGTATTTGAGATACTTTGAGTTGATCTTTGTATAGGGTGAGAGGCAGAGGTCTAGTTTCATTCTTCTGCATATGGATATCCAGTTTTTCCAGCACAATTTATTGAAGAGACTATCCTTTCCCCAATGAGTGTTCTTGGCATCTTTGTAAAAAATCCGTTGGCTGAGATATGTGGATTTTCTGGGTTCTTTATTCTATTCCATAGGTCTATGTGTCTGTTTTTATGCCAATACCATGATGTTTTGGTTACTACAGTTTTGTAGTGTATTCTGAGGTCTGGTAGCATGATACATCCAGCTTTGTTCTTTTTGCTTAGGATGGCTTTGGCTATTCAGGATACTTTTTGATTCCATAAAATCTCTTTGGATTTTTTTTTAATTTTGTGAAGAATGTTCATAGGTATTTTGATAGAGATTGCATTGAATCTGTAGGTTGCTTTTGAGTAGTACTGTCACTTTAACAACATTCATATTTCTGATCCATGAGTATGAATGTCTTTTCATTTGTTTGTATCCTCTTCAATTTCTTTCATTAGTGTTTTGTAGTTTTCATTTTACCTCCTTAGTTACATTTATGTCTGGGTTTTTTTTTTTGGTAACTATTGTAAATGGGTTTGCCTTCTTAATTTCTTTTTCAGCAAGTTTGTTGTTCATATATAAAAATGCAACCAATCTTCATGTATTAGTTTTGTGTCTTGCAACTTCACTGAATTTGTTTGTTCTAAAAGTTTTCTGGTAGTCTTCAGGTTTTCCTATATATAAGATCATGTCATCTGCAAATAGGAACAATTTGATGTCCTCCTTTCCGATTTGAATGCCCTTTATTTCTTTCTCTTGTCTAATTACTCTTGATAGGACTTCACATTTATATACTTTGAATATTTAAAATGTTTACATAAATGTCAGAATCAACTTTCATTTTTCATAGAAAAAGAAGATCCTACTTGTTTTGTAGTTTTAATATTAATCAATTATTATCTGAGACAAATTATTAACAAACCATCTATTAAAATATTTCACCACAAATAAATTCCATAAGGAAAATATCTACAACTGTTTTTATGAAAGAAAAAAAGGCTTCTCTACAGTTGCTTAGGCCTGGTGCCATGGCACACACCTATAAATCCCAGCGCTGTGGGAGGCCATGGCAAGAGGATCCTTTGAGCCCAGGAGTTTGAGACCAGCATGGACAACAAAGTGAGACCTCATCTCTACAAAAAATAAAAAAGAAATTAGCTGGCCATGGTGGTGCGTGCCTGTGGTCCTAGCTACTCGAGAGGCTGAGGAAGGAGGATCACTTGAGCCAGGGAGGTGGAGGTTTCACTGAACCATATTCACACCACTCCACTCCAGCCTGGGCAACAGAGCTAGACCTTGTCTCAAAAAATTAAGTTAGTTAAATTAAACATAAAGTTGCATTGTATTTAAGAAATTGGGAAATCAGAAAATGCTTCTGTTTTTCTTTTGAGTTGAACAATGAGAACACATGGACACAGGGAGGGGAACATCACATACCGGGGCTTGTCAGGGGGGTGGGAGGCTAGGGGAGTGATAGCATTAGGAGAAATACCTAATGTAGATGATGGGTTGACGGGTGCAGTAAACCACCATGGCATGTGTATACCTATGTAACAAACCTCCACGTTCTGTACATGTATCTCAGAACTTAAAATGTAATAATAACAATAATAAAAACCTCAAAAAAAGGAAATGCTTCTTCTTAGAACAGATTACATACCCTCATTGCTTTTTATAATAGCCTGTAATAACAGAATATCCACAAGGTGGCAGTAATATATCAGTTTCATCCTCTGAAATTAAAACTTTTGCCTATTCAGTAATGCAATGGATCTTTTGAACTCACTCTAACACGTAGAATACAGCAATTTGACTTAATAATTAGCCTTTAAATTTATAGTCTTGTATTATCACTTTAGTAGTTTGAATTATTTTGTATTTTAATATATTTAAATGAATTAGTCCTATAGAAATTGACTAATTTGACATGTGAAGGTGTTTTTATTCTATTTTCAGAAGTTTAGCTTTAAAAAAATTTCTAAACTTCGATATCTGGTGAGTGTCAATGTTTTTATCTTATTAAAAGCTGACAGACCACACTATATTCAACTGTTTTTTTTTAACAAGGATGCAAAATCAGTTTAAAGGAAGGATATCTTTTTCAACAAATGGTGCTACAGCAATTGGACATTCACAGGTACAAAAACTAAGACTGACCTAAATTTATACTTTATATAAAATTTAGCTCACATAAATCACAGGCTTAAATGTAAAATGTAATATTATAAAACTTAAAGTTGTGTATGGTAGCTCGTGCCTGTAATCCCAGCTACTACTCAAGTGGCTGAGGTGGAAGCATCACTTCAATCCAGCAGTTAGTGGCTGCAGTGAGCAATGATGGCACCACTGCACTACAGCTTGGGCGAAACCTCGTCTCAAAAATAATTAATAAATAAATAAATTCACTAAACTTTTTAAAATAGAAGAAAACTCTTGAGACCTTGGGCTAGGCAAAGAATTTTTAGGCTTGATATTAAAAACAAAATCTACAAAAGGAAAAAGTGATAAAACTGGACTTCATTAGAATAAATAAACACTTTTTTTTTTTTTTTTTTTTTTTTTTTTTTTTTACTTAGAAAGACCCTGTAAAGAGGTTGAAAAAATGAATTACAGACTGGGAGAAATAATTTGCATACCATATATCTGACAAAGAACTTACATCTAGCATATGTAAAAAATTCTCAAAACTCAATAGTAATAAGATACCAATTAGAAAATAGGCATATGTGACCTCTCTGTATTATAACTTAAACCTCATGTGACTACAATTATTTCAAATGAAATAAACAAAACAGTAATGCCTGTTTCTGGCATATAAAATAATCAGAGAACATAGAATTGTACGAAGTTAAATTATTGGGCCATTTACTTAATTTAAATATTTTTAAATGCGTGTACCCATTTTGCTTGAAGGTGTGTGCAAGTATGCTTGTATTTTTTTAACGATAATATGGTCACATGAGCATTAAATTTATTTTTTAAAAGTTTATAGTTACCCCACACAAGTTCTTATTGATTCCCTCATTCTTAACACCTGCATAGTATTTCATTTTATAATTAATGGATTGTAGGTTTATTCTTTTAAAATCACTTGTGTTGTTCTCATTTTTTTTTTCACTAAAAAGTGTTGCAATGCACAAAACTAAAAATATAAGGAGGGTCTTTTCTGGATCTCTGTTGAAAAACTTTGAATAAAAATTACAAGTTCAAATCACATGCAAAATAAACATTTTAATTAATCGGGCTTTTATGCAAGATGTTAGTAGCAGTAGCAGCACAGTTTTATTAAGATCCCTGAATCTCTCACAAAAACTGACTGAGCAACTGGGATAACAAGGTATTAACTACGACAAAACAATGTAACAGGGTGTCATCATGGACGTTTTGTGAGGTTAAACCACAGGGACCCAGGGGAATCACCAATTTTTTTGGAAGAAGGAAAGGAAAGGAAAAAAATGTTTAATGGCCCTGGGAACTGGAAAACCTAGAAATACAAGCGCTAACATCTATGTTCCTAAATTCAGAGATTCTTACTAGGCAAAAAGAACTCAGCAGATTAATCTGAGAACAGCAGCTGAGGCTGGCAGAAGGCTTCCTGGGCCTCAACTCATAGCTGAGAGTGAGGGTGGCAAAAAGCAGTGCTGTGAGTGGTCTGTTTCCTATGAACCCTACAAATTAACCACCCCCAAAACAAAGCCCTGTCCTAAGGAGAAACTGCAGGAAGTCAATTATAAATTGAGTTGGGAAGCACACTGAGGCTCAAGAAAAGGGAAGCTCCAGGTTAAGATGCAAGAGAAGAAGGGAAAAGGCAGTTTTCTGCAAGTTCAAGCACAAATAATTTCTTTACCTTCTAGTTCTGGAAATACCAGGTGCTGTGTATGTAAAGCAGGAATTTTGGTTGAATATTATATAATTTTCTGACCCACTGTTACTAATCCAGTTTCCCCTGTACTTAGATCTTCCATACTACAGACAGACCTGACAGATGCTCAGCAAATAGTAGCTAATATTTTCTAGGAAACTATGTGCTAAACGAGTTTTCTTAAATTTCTACCTCCAGGTCTGTAAGTTGATTTGAAGCATTACCAGTTTCTGGTTCTGCACAGGTTGTTGAGCGCAGGACTTCTCTCCTCCAGTGGAAAGTCCACCTGCTCACAATCAACCATCCTTTCCTGCAGCCTTGGAGACACTACTCAGTGTAGCACGCCTCCCAGTCTAGAATAGGCACACTCATCATCAGTCTCTCTCATTTTCTGTCTTATCTCCATTCCATCTACATACAGTTTTTGTTTTCGCCAATGTTTTTAAATAAACAATTGTACAAGCACGACGACAACAGAAACCTTCCTTCCCCCAGTGTTGTAGTGAGCAAGGAATATATTTAACTTCAAATAAAAGACAAGAACAAATGCTGGATAAAGCTGACAGAAAGAAATGCAACTGTAGGTGCTCTGGCAATATAGAAATGATACAACTAAGAAAAATGGAAGAAAAGGAAAGAGAAAGTATTCCTCAGAATGATTTTACTGACTGCTCATCTGTAATGCCTGGGAGTCAAAGGATATTGTTTATAGAAATGTAAGCATACTTAATGGCACCAGGGGAAACAAAGTTAATATGATTAAATCAAATTGTGGGATGAAAAATCACATAGGGAGGACAAGAAAGAGAATACAGCTAATACCATTGTTCTTAGTTTAGAGACATTAGCTACTGTCTAAAGAAAGAGATGATTTTATGAAATTACATAAGGTAGCCATCAGAATAAAAGTTTAACTCTTCCAAATATCACAACATCAAAACAAAAGCAATAAAACAAGACAGCAAAAGACAGATATGTGCATATAAATCATAGCATAATATACTGTAATCAAAATATAACCAAACACAATTTATCATTAAAAGTAAGTGGGCTTGACTCTTATTAGAGGAAAAAATATTGTCAGATTAAATCAAAAAGCAAATCTCAATTCTATGCTGGATATAAGATAAAGTGTTACAGAAAGTTTAGAAATAAAAGTATAGGCAATGAATAAAAGGATCTTCTCTTCATGCATTAGGAGTATAAAACAGTAAGTAAACACATCATATGTTTTCTGTTTTTACACTTAAATGGCTGGAGATGTTACACCACTAGTATGAATTTACTTCAGATATATAAAGGATACACTTTTATGTGGTTAGAAACAGCAATGATAATAGTTAAGGTGAAAATAACATCTGCATTGAGGCTAGGAAGAAAGAGCCATTGTTGGGTACATAGTGATCGTATTACCATGGAGCAATCTGTTCCCAACTGAAATGTCCTTGACCTTCTACTGAAATCATGAAAGATTCTGCAAAAGTAGTGTTTACTTCCCACAAATCAGCCATTTGTGGGAATGGCTGCTATTGTTGTCCACACGGAATGAGCATCAGACCTATATTTAGCTGTTGTTTCATTAAGAGTCGTATTTGGCCCTTTCCAGAGGCTGTTATTTCAATTATATTTTGGAGAATTAGTCTATTTCCAGACAAATAATTTTTCCAGAACTTTGATCCATATGAAATGTCCCTTTGGTAGGGATCCAGGGATTGAGTTTATTTTTAATTACTGTAGCATCCTGGTCAGGTTGAGAAACAGATTACCTTTATATTTCCCTGGCATGTAAGCAGGGCTAGATTTAGCGTGAGAATGCTTGAAAGTTTATAGTTTTTTAGAAATTTTATTTACTGTGTGTCTCTTTATCAAAATAAAATTAATGCTGAAAAGCTATATTAAATGAATTATTTTGAGATGGTCTCTTCCCCCTTCTTCCAGTGAGAGGATATCCACAGATATGTCAGGAGCTTGCTTTACCTAGAAATGTGTTGAGGGCCACAGGTTTGGGTTCACCTAGGAATGTTTAGGGACACCTCCCCAAGTTGTTGTTGAAGAGTGGGGTAAATGTAAGATAGAATTAGGCTCACGGAGGCCAGATGAGAGCATCATATCACCCCAGAAACATAGCATATACCTAGGAGATCTGTTCTCAGTATCAAAGTCTTAAGCACTGTAAGATTGCCTATAGACCAAGACAACAACTATATATATATATAGTTAATAAAATCAGTTAATATATAAACATATATTTATTAACTTATTTTTATTTTTATCTTCAGACAGCATCTTGCTCTGTCACCTAGGCTGGAGTGCAGTAGTGCAATTAAGGCTCACTGCAGCCTTGACCTCTGGGGCTGAAGCTATCCTCCTGCCTCAGTCTCCTAAAGTGCTAGGATGAGAGGTGTGAGTCACCTTGCCAGGCCCAGGGCAATAACTATGCAATGTTTATATAATTTGGAGCAAAAAATATTTGAAATATGTGTGCATTGCTTTTTAACCTTTTCTACTGATTTACTTTATTAAATACTGAATAGAAACAATATATTTATAAAATATTTATTTTATATATATAATAAGCACATAATGAACACCTGTGTCTCCAGTCTTGGTTTAAGAAATTAAGCCAAAAGTAATCATAAGTGCTTATGATTACTTTTGAAGTCACCTGTACAACTTTTGCTGACTACATCCCCTTCTTCAACACTCTAACGATGGCCACTGTGAGCACTGTGTATATTGAATTGTGTTGTATTTTAATACCGTGTGCACTACTTTGTTTTCCTAGCTGTATGCTATTGCATTTAGTGAGCATAATGAATTATATCAGTATAATTCACTTTTGTCATTTCATTGTTTCAGCTCTTCTGTACTAATTATTGCCAATATATTTCTACTGGCATAAAAACAGACACATAGGACAGTGGAACAGAATAGAGATCGCAGACAAATCTACACATTTACAAACAATTCATCTCTGACAAAGGCATCAAGAACATACACTGGGAAAACAACAGTCTTTTCAATAAATGATCCTGGGAAAACTGAATAACCATATGCAGAAGGATAAAATTAAACCCATCTCACCATACACAAAAATCAAATCAAATAAAAATGGATTAAAGACTTGAATCTGAGACCTGAAACTATGAAGCTAGTAAAAAAAAAAAAAAAATAGGAAAGGTCGGGCGCGGTGGCTCTTGTCTGTAATCTGAGCACTTTGGGTGGCCAAGGCGGGCGGATCACAAGGTCAGGAGATCGAGACCACCCTGGCTAACACGGTGAATCTCCGTCTCTACTAAAAATACAAAAAACAAAAAAAAAATTAGCGGGGCATGATGGTGGGCGCCTGTAGTCCCAGCTACTCGGGAGGCTGAGGCAGGAGAATGGCGTGAAAAAAAAAAAAAAGAAAGAAAGAAAGCATAGGAGAAATGCTCCAGGACATTAGTCTGGGCAAAGATTTTTTTGCGTAAGACCTCGGAAGCACAGGCAGCAAAAGCAAAAATAGACAATGGGATTATATCAAACTAAAAAGCCTCAAGCAAAGGAAACAATCAACAAAGTGAAGAGCCAAGCACAGAATGGGACAAAATATTTTCAAACTATCTATCTGACAAAGGATTAACAAGTAGAATATATAAGGAGCTCAAACAACTCAATAATAAACAAACAAAAAATCTGATTGAAAAATGGGCTACTGAAGAGGCTGAGGTAGGAGGATTTCTTTTTTTTTTTTTTTTTTTTTTTTTATGAGATGGAGTCTCGCTGTCGCCCAGGTTGGAGTGCAGTGGCGTGATCTCGGCTCACTGCAGGCTCTGCTCCCCCGGGGTTCACGCCATTCTCCTGCCTCAGCCTCCTGAGTAGCTGGGACTACAGGCGCCCGGCACCAAGCCCGGCTGATTTTTTGTATTTTTAGTAGAGACGGGGTTTCACCATGTTAGCCAGGATGGTCTCGATCTCCTGACCTCGTGATCCGCCCACCTCTGCCTCCCAAATTGCTGGGAATACAGGCGTGAGCCACCGCGCCCGGTCAGGAGGATTTCTTAATCCCAGGAGTTTGAGGTTACAGTGAGCTATGATTATGCTACTGCCCTTTAGCTTGGGTGACAAAGCAAGACCTTACTTCTCAAAAAAAATAGTTAAAAATATATAAATAAATACAATTTAAAAATGGGCTAAAGATCTGAACAGATATTTTCTCAAAAGAAGACAAACAAATGGCCAATAGGAAGACAAAAAATATTCAGTATCACTAATCGTCAAAGAAATGCAAATCAAAATCACAATGCAATATCATCTCACCTTGGTTGAAATGACTTGTTTCAAAAAGACAGGCAATAACAGATGCTGGCAAGGATGTGGAGAAAGGGAAATACTAGTACACTGTTGGTGGGAATCCACATTAATAAAGCCACTATGGAGAATAGTATGGAGGTTCCTCAAAAAAGTAAAAATAGAACTACCATGTGGTCCAGCAATTTCTTTACTGGATGTATATCCAAAATAAAGGAAATTAATGTATCAAAGACATATCTACATGCCGATGTGTACTGCAGCACTATTCACAATAGACAAAATATGGAATCAACGTAAGTGCTCATAAACAAATGAATAGATTTTAAAAGTCATATATATACATAATGCAATACTACTCAGAAACAAAGAAGAATGAAATTCTGTCATTCACAGCAACATAGGTGGCACTGGCCATTTGGTTTAACGTAATGAACATAGGCCATTATGTTAAGTGGAATGAGCCAAGCACAGAAAGGCAAATACCACATGTTGTCACTCATATGTGGGCAGTAAAAAAGTGGATCTCATGAAGATAGAAAGTAAATTGGTGGTTGCTAGAGGCCAGCAAGGGGAGTGGGAAGAGGAGATTAAGAGAAGAAAATATAAATGTATTTATCACCACTAAACTGTCCTCTAAAAATGTACAGATGGTAAATTATATATATATATTTTTTAACTCAATAAAAAGTTAAAAAAATTCTGCTGTGTGTTTATAGGGCACATGTACAAGACTTTCTCTAGGGTTGTATCAGTTTTCTATTCCTGCTGTAACAATTTACCACAAATTCAGTGGCTTAAAAGAACACATTTTTGTAAGATTTGAGTCAGTTTTAAAAAACACACACAGACTTATTGTCTTAGAATTGTTTTGGTTGGAAATCTGGCATGGCTCTCACTGAACTAACATCAAGATGTTGGCAGGCTGCATTTCTTTCTGAAGGCTCTAAAAGAGCATCTGGGTTGTTGGCAGAATTCAGTTCCTTGTGGTTGTAGATCCTCAGTTTCTTCCTGGTTGTAAACTTTGGGTCATTCCCAGCTTCTAAAGGTCACTGGCTTTTCTTGGCTTGTGGCCCCCTACCACTGTTTTAAAAGCCAGTAATAGCAGGCCACATCTTTCTCATACTGCCATCTGTCTGAATCTCAGCATCCAGAAAATATTCTCTGCTCTCAAGGAATTATGAGATTAGACTGGCTCACCAAGGTAATTCAAGGTAATTTCCCCATTTCAATGCCCTTAATGGTAATCACATCTGCCAAGTCTCTTTGAACATGCTAACTTACGTTAGCATGTTCACCTTATCTGAAGACTGGGATGTGGCTGTCTTTGGTGGGGGGCAATTATTCTGCCTAACCCAAAGATACACAACTTGCAGATATACAACTAGTTCATGGAGATGAAACATTTTCAAATCTACAAGAAAATGTTTTCTAAAATGAGCATTGCATATTAGACTTTCACGAGCACTGTATCAGACTTATATTTACTTCATAATATTGCCAATACTGATATCAGATATTTAATTTTCTAGCCAGTTCAGGATAATGTGAATTGTGAATAATATATTTGTTCATCCAGTCAACAAACATTTTTTATCAGATACCACCGATATGCTGGACAGTGTCATGGATCCTAAAAATATAGCTGTTATTATTATTTTTTTAAACAAAATCCCCACTGTGATAAAGCTTTTATTCTTTGGGACAGGCAGACAGTAATCCAGATAAATAAATGCAAGGGCAAATTGGGGGAAAAATTGGAATGGAGAGCTCAGAATCTGGCCCCAGAGAAGGGCAGAGGGAAAGGGGACCCAGTTCAGAATCTCGGTGCGTCCACACCAAACAATTCCATGAGGGCTGAAGAGACAGAGCTGAAAGGCTTGTCTGACATCACAAAAGACAGAAAAGTGAGCCCCATTTTCATCTCTATCCTGACAATGTTCCTGGCTTGATTTCCTCCTTCCAGCAGACACAAGAATCAGGGAGCGCACCCTGATGGTAACATTTTTTTCAGGGGCCTATTTTGGGGATCCTGGTGAGAACCTGAGTCCGTCACTGTCCACGGCAGCCCAGCATGGTCCCCAGTGCGTGGTCCAAGGCCAAGATTCTCTACCTCCATCCTGGAGGCAGAAGAAATGTCTGGGGGAAAATGAGAGGTTTTAGGTGGTTGGCACTGGGTGAGACCAAGGAGAAATTTTAAAGCTGTGTGTCCTGGGGCCGGGGGTGGTGGCTCACGCCTGTAATCCCAGCACTTTGAGAGGCCGAGGCGGGCAGATCACGAGGTCAGGAGATTGAGACCATCCTGGCTAACGGTGAAACCCCGTCTCTACTAAAAATACGAAAAATTAGCCGGGCTTGGTAGCGGGCGCCTGTAGTCCCAGCTATTCGGGAGACTGAGGCAGGAGAATGGCGTGAACCGGGAGGCGCAGCTTGCAGTGAACTAAGATCGCGCCACTGCACTCCAGCCTGGGTGACAGAAAGAGACTCCTTCTCAAAAAAATAAAAATAAAATAAAAATAAAAAATAGAAAAAGCTGTGTGTCCTTTGTTTCTTCATATTTTGCAGATTTTTGATGTCAAAATATTTTCATAGTCAAAAGAGTGTTAATAAAGAATGACTTCTCTGTTATAAAAACCCTAATAGTGAATGTATTTACCAAGAAATTAGATTCTATCTTTGGTTTTTTGTTTTTTGCCCCGTAGTTTTTAAAAAAATAGTTTTATTGTGTGGATATTCTACAGTTAGTGTATCTATTCACCTCTTGATGGACATTTGGTTTGCTTCCAGTTGTTTTTGCTATTTCAAATAAAGTTGCTACGAATGTTTGTCCAATCGTTTGGACATACACTTTCATTTGTCTTGGGCAAATAAGCAGGATTTGAATGACTAGGTGGTGTGATATGTTTAACTTTTTTTTTTTTTTTTTTTTTTTTGAGACGGAGTCTCGCTCTGTTGCCCAGGCTGGAGTGCAGTGGTGCATCGCGGCTCACTGCAAGCTCCACCTCCCGGGTTCACGCCATTCTCCTGCCTCAGCTTCCGGAGTAGCTGGGATTACAGGTGCTCGCCACCACGCCCGGCTAATTTTTTGTATGTTTAGTAGATATGGGGTTTCGCCGTGTTAGCTAGGATGGTCTCGATTTCCTGACCTCGTGATCCGCCCGCCTTGGCCTCCCAAAGTGCTGGGATTACAGGCGTGAGCCACCGCTCCCAGCCAGTTTAACTTTTAAAGAAACTGACAAAGTGGCTGTATTTCCAGCAGCAGTATATGAGCATTCCTGTTCCTTTGTGTTCTCACCAATGTTTAGTATGGTCAGTCTTTTAAATTTTAGCTATTCTAATAGGCAAGTAACAGTATCTCATTGTGGTTTTAATTTACATTTCCCTAATGATGAATGATGTGCTTATGTATCGTCCATCTGTATTCTATGGTGAAATGTCTGTTCAGATCTCTACATTTGTGTTAGACTATTTGTTTTCCTATTATTGAGTCCTGAGAGTTCTTTGCATATTTTGGATAACAAATGTATCTTCACCAGATATAGCTTTTGTAAATTTTTACTCCCAGTCTGTGATTTGTCTTTTTATTCTCTCGATAGTGTTTTTCTTTTTTCTTTTTTTTTTTTTTTTGACAGAGTCTGGCTCTGTCACCCAGGCTGGATTTCGGTGGCACGATCTCGGCTCACTGCAAGCTCCGCCTCCCGGGTTCACGCCATTCTCCTGCCTCAGCCTCTACGAGTGGCTGGGACTACAGGCGCCCGCCACTACGCCCCGCTAATTTTTTGTATTTTTGGTAGAGAGGGGTTTCATCGTGGTCTAGATCGCCTGACCTCGTGATCCACCCACCTCGGCCTCCCAAAGTGCTGGGATTACAAGCGTTAGCCACCGCACCTAGCCTCTGGACAGTGTTTTTCACAGGTCAGATTAATTTTTATATAAATCATTTATTTTATTTTTATTATGTAAAATTTTATAATTTTTAATTTTATTTTTAATTTCCTTTTTAAAAGTTAAATAAAATTTTAAGTGTAATGATGCAAAATTTTGTTTAAAAGTAAATGTATATAAAAATGTTGATATAGACTAAAAAATTGAATAAGTAAGAAGGTAGTTAGTTGTCACAGTAGGAGTGAAGTGAAAAGCTTCCCCTTTCACCCTCTGAAGATTACCGGAAATGAACTGACCATACACAGATTAATAAAAGAAAGGGTATACAAACTTACATAACCTGCAAAAACATGAGAGCTATACACAAAGTATAAGACTTGAAGATGGCTCAGATCTTAAACGCTCTCCTCATAGGCAATAGATATATAGACCCAGGATGCAGACATTATTTTGTAAATAATTTCCTTTGGAAGCTGGATGGGACAGACAAATTACAGGAAGGTGAGAGATGGAACTGCACAGGAAAAAAGTTTGTCTTTGTCACTTTAATCTTATCATTACTAGAGAATATTTATGAATATTTTAGAATAATATATTTTTAAGCCCAAATCTCACCAAATGTTTTTTCTAAAACAAATACTTTTTGTTGTTGTTTGTTTTTGTTACTGTGTCTCACTCTGTCACCCAGGTATGGAGTGCAGTGGTGCAACCATGGCTCACTGCAGCCTTCACCTCCTGGGCTCAAGTGATTCTCCTACCTCAGCCTTCCAAGTAGCTGGGCTACAGGCATGCACCCTCATGCCCTGGTAATTAAAGAAAAAAAAATTTCGTTAGAGACCAAGTCTCATTATGTCACCCTGGCTAGTCTTGAACTCCTGGAATCAACTGATCCTCATGCCTTGGCTTCCCAAATTATTGGGATTATAGGTGTGAGCCACAGTGACTGACCACATATTTCTATACTTCACTGAGGAAAGGAAGGTGCTAGGAAAATTGGTTAAGAACTATTTTTTAAAAAGCTATTAGTAGTGTTTTATTTTATTTTTTAATGATTGATTTTTGAGATTGGGATCTCACTATGTTGCCCAGGCTGGTTTCACATTCCCAAGTTTAAGCAATACCCCTGCCTCAGTCTCCCAAGTAGCTGGGATGACAGGTGTGTGTCACCATACCCAGCTCCATTAGTAGCGTTTTTAACAATTGTGGGCCACTGAGTAAGAATAATTTTTTTTAAATTAAAGGTTATTTTTTAAAAAGCACATTTGTAGAAAATTACTAGCATAATCTGCCTAAAATAAATATACATATTGAAAAAATCTTTGCTCCGAACAAAAAGAAATATATTCACCACACATACATACATATACACACACACACATGCACACACGCACGCGCACACACACACACACACACACACACACACACATTATGGAAGATTTCAAGACCAGGCAATAATTTCCACTCAATCCAAAAACAATGCAATCCCAGAGCTGAATATTTAGGTGAAAATATATCAGGAATGGGAGGCATTCAGGTTTAATTTTCATGTTTTGGTAGAGTTAGGATGTGAGTTTTCATTTAAAAATATTCTTTATTTTTTTTGCTACTATTGTGGTTTCTGTATTGTTACTATACAATCTGTAAACTAAATAGTAAAGGAGAGAAAAGTGATTTTCAAAGAAGCTGGCTTGGGAACAGGTACTATTCTGGGAAGATGAAAGGTTTCACTTAATGACTGGTACCTGTGCCACTCTGGTTATTTTAACTGTTAACCTTTTAGCAAGAGGTTTTTCTTTTAAAAGACATCCTTTAATATTTGGGAAGCTAGTGCAATAGTACACATTGAGGCCCACATACCACATGCCAAATATTTAAAAGGCACATTTCTAGCTAACCACTGTACATACATATATTTTTTCTTATTTTCTGATTTTAGTTTTTTTCCTTGTCAACAATTTATGTCCACACATATCTTCTATCATCCCACTTTGACAAGTAATATTATACCTTCAAAATGATGTGGAAGACTAGATTGGAATTTAGAACCGTAGAACCTTGTAATTGTACAGGCAAGTTTCTTCCTGGGAAAAAATAAAACAGGAAGAAAAGGCTGGGCAGCCTCTGGTTCAGGAAGGAAATTCAGGAGTCCCTTATAGCAGCATCTCTAGTACTTGGGAACTGAACAGACTTCTCGGCCTGTGAGGCTGGAATGGGCCCTTCTGGAGAACACGACAGAGAAGTTATCTACTGCCTTTGCCCCCAGGGCCCAGGCAACACTTTTACCCTCCATTGTTTCCGAAGTTAAGGGGAGGAGACAATGTTTTGTTTAGTGACCTCGACAGAAAAAGTGTCCTCCTGCAACCACTCATTTGTTACTTTCCTTCTTCCTGAATTGCCTGGA
Organism: Homo sapiens; assembly: GCF_000001405.40. NCBI lineage: Eukaryota > Metazoa > Chordata > Mammalia > Primates > Hominidae > Homo > Homo sapiens. The sequence continues at coordinate 64,740,202 of NC_000009.12, read as the reverse complement.
CCCACTCCTCCTCCATTTGACTGGCTCTGTGCACTGATCTTATAGTCAGGAGATTTTTGGGAATTGTGGCTTCTAAAAATGTACACCCGACTCTACCCATAGCTGGCCCTGTGAACCTACACACCTGCTCCACTGTGTATCCTTCTCAAAGAGACACTCTTCCTGCTGAGTCTCTGCCCTCTGCTCCTAGATCCAAATGGCATCTCCTACCCTATCCCTGTATGGTTTAACCTAGGGAAACTCTTTCCCAGAGGAGTCAGGTAAGGAGACAGTGGCTGAGCTTCTTACAGACTTAAAGGAGACATCCTGGAATTTAGGAGTCAGTCCTTCCTTTCTGTAATCCCTGGCAGCTCCTGCTGCTGCTCAAAGTTTAGCTTTGTCTCTCATCCAGCTCAGACTTTTGCTGGTCCTGATGGCCTCTGCTTAGCTGTATTAGTACGCTCTTGCATTCCTATAAAGAAATACATGAGAAATACCTTTAGTTGGCTCACAGTTCCATAGGCTATACAGGAAGCATGGTGGTTTCTGCTTCCGGGGAGGCCTCAGGAAACTTTTACTCAAGGTGCAGGGCAAAAAAAAAAAAAAAAAAACAAAAACAAAAAAAACTACCAGCACTGCACTGTGAGGCCCTGATCCCTGAGCTAACTTCATATTATTACCTCTACAGCAAGTGTCCGTGAGAACATAGATATATTTCTTATGTGAGTACACAATTTACAGAAGAGGAACTACCCTCCCAAACCAAAACGTCATAATTTTAATTTACCAGCAAACCTAGGTTGCTTCTGTGAAATGATCTCATTTGCTGAGTTTTAAAATTGACTAAATTTCCCAATTTCCAAATGAAAATATTTAGTTATCTTGTCTTGCTATGTGTTTTTGGTTAATATGATGATTAATTTTTGGTCTATTACTTAATATATTCCATGATTGTTGATATGGATTATAAGGACTCACAAAATAGTTTTCAGATGTCTTTAATTTTTTTACTTAGTGTAGATCCTATAAATGGATTAGAAGTATTCTATTAACTCCCATGTATTCAGAAATCGAATTGGAGTGGTAAATTCTGTTTGAAGTAACAAGGGATATCAAAGGAAAAAAATAATTTTGTGACTATGTCTTCTATACGTAAATTTTTCAGGCATCTTTATCAATGGCTTATACTAAAGACATTTTCTGGATCATGGGTGACACACAGAAGACCTGTGGATAAGTGGGATTGTGTACACTACTGCATTTTATCATCTGGTTCATTTTTCAACTTTTATTTCTCTTAAGGATGTTTTATTAACTGGTGCATCACCAGGTTACCAGTCTCTGGAACACTAAACTTACCAGAAAATACTTGTTGATTGAATTAACAAGAAAACAACATTAGAAAACAGTGGTGGCTTGTTTTTGTCCATTGCAGTATCTTGGAGAGTAAAGCCTAACTCTTTAATTTTGGCCAAAGATATAAAGAAATACCTGAGAAACACCTTTAGTTGGCTCATGGTTCCGTAGGCTATACAGGAAGCATGGTGGTTTCTGCTTCTGGGGAGTCCTCCAACACTTACTGGCAGGGTAATTTTGAAGAAGTCATAATAAGATGGTTGTTACAATTAAATGAAATAATCAAAGTGGAAGAGCTTAGTTAGCTGTCTTCCCTAAATGAATCACTGGCAAGTAAGAGTGTGATTGATTTTCCTACCAGTCAGGACTCACCCCTTGAAGCTATAGGAGGGTAAACCTCTGAAGACCATACAATTTAGGGAACACTAACACCTCAAAAAACTCTGTAAACTTCCTTCCTTCCTTTTCTTCCTTCCTTCCTTCCTTCCTTCCTTCCTTCCTCCTTCCCTCCCTCTCTCTCTCTCTTTTTCTTTCTTTGTTCATTTCTGAGACAGAGTCTTGCTCTGTCATTCAGGCTAGAGTGTAGTGGCTGGATTATGGCTCACTGCCGCCTTGACCTCCTAGGCTCAAGCAATCCTCTCACCTCAGCCTCCCTAGTAGCTGGGACTATTGGCATGCTCAGCTAATTTTTTTCTCCTTTTCTTTTTGTAGAGACAGGGTCTCATCATGTTGCCCAGGCTGGTCTTGGACTCCTTGGATCAAGCAATCCTGCTGCCTCAGCCTCCCAAAGTGCTGGATTACAAGCATGAGCCACTGTGCCCAGCCTTAAGTTTTTTTCATACAGGAGGAAAGAATTTGGAAAGTAGGGGTGTGTGTGTGTGTGTGTGTGTGTGTGTGTGTGTGTGTGTTGGTTAGGGAGCCAACACATTTTTCTGCAAAGCTTGAATTCTATGCCTCAGTTTTTCATTTTTGTTATGTGCAAAATAAAATCGTATCCTGCTATAGATTTAAACCTGTGAGCGAATCCTACTCAAAACCTGATTCAAACTTTGTGTAGATCTTTGCCTCTCTGTGGCATAAGAATAAATTCTTCTGGTTTTCTTCCCTCAGAAAAATGGACTTAGACTTCCCACAAGCCTTCCAGAAAGAACTCACCTGCCTCATCTGCCTGAATTACCTCATAGACCCCATCACTATAGGCTGCGGGCACAGTTTCTGTAGGCCCTGCCTCTGCCTTTGCTGGGAAGAAGCACACACTCCTGCCCTGCATGCAGGGAATTGTCACAGCAGGAAGATTTCAACCAATATTCTTCTGAAGAATCTAGTGTCCATTGCCACAAAAGCCAGTCTCTGGCAATTCCTGAGCTCTAATGAACAAATGTGCGGGATCCACAGGGAGACAAAGATGTTCTGTGATGTGGGCAAGAGCCTGCTCTGTTTTCTGTGTTCTAACTCTCAGGAACACTGGGGCACAGAAACACTGGCTCACTGAAGGGGCAGCTAAGGAACACTGTGTAAGTGATGACTCAGAGCACTTTGAAAGCTGGAGGGCAGCACAGGTAAAGAGATTAGGAGGAAGATGAAGAGCACGAGGATTAATCTATTCTTTACCGAGTGTCATGTACTGCCTAGGTATCAGTGATATAACTATTATCCTGCTATCAAATCTACTGATAAGTGGCTCATTTAACTTATAGGCACTCATCACAATGCAAGAAATCCTCTGACTGCTCCTACCATCATGGCCCCTAGCCATGATATGACTTGTCTCCACACTAGCAGAAACTAATCGAGTCCCTATATTAGGGATAAGTGGCATTTTTATATATATATATATATATATATATATATATAATTTTTATATATAAATTTTATATGATATATAAAACATAAATATTTATACAACATATATTATATACATATATACATACATATATATATATATATCACAATGCCAAAAATGTTTTGTCTTCGAAATAATCACAGTGCATTTGGAGAGACAAATGCATCTACAACCAGGCGACAACACTGAAAATAAAATTGTAGCAGTTTGAATAGGGGATTAAATGAGTTAATTTTTTCCTGGGGTTCAAAAAAAGAAACAGCAGCAAAAAATGGTACTTAAGATTGAAAGTTGGCCGGGTGCAGCTACTCATGCCTGTAATCTCAACACTTTGGGAGGCCAAGGTGGGCAGATAACCTGAGGTCAGGATTTCGAGACCAGCCTGGCCAACACGGCGAAACAACACCATTACTAAAAATACAAAAATTAGCTGGGCATGGTGGCAGGTGCCTGTAATCCCAGCTACTCGGGAGGCTGAGGCAGGAGAATCTCTTGAACCCAGGAGGCAGAGGTTGCAGTGAGCCAAGATCACGCCATTGCACTGCAGCCTGGGTGACAAAAGCAAAACTCCATCTCAAAAAAAAAAAAAAAAAGAAAGTTCTGGGTTATGACACAGAACAAATGCAACATGAATATGTCATGGTTATGAACATGTAGACTACTCAAGATTGTGTATTTTTAAAATAATAGAATACTAGGTTAAAAAATGAGCATTACAGAATGAAAAATAAGCCACAAATTAGCAGAAGATAATTGTAACACATAAAAACAAAGGATTAAATACAATGGTAATGTAATGATAGCTATTCTTACAAAGTTGTTTCTATGTCTCAGGTACTATGCTGAACAACATACGTGCATCTTGAATGCGTGAAGAATTCCTATATAAGAAAAACACAAACAACAACATTTAAAATGAGCAAAAAACCCGAATAGGAATTTCACAGAAGAGAAAACATAAATGGCCCATAAACATAATAAAAGATACTCAACTACAATTCTAATCAGGGAAATAAATATTAAAACCCCAAAGAGATACCACTTCATACTCTAGGAAAAACCTAAAAGGCTGTGAATATCTAGTTTCATTGAGGAAGAACAATGGGAAGACTATTCACTGCTGGTGAGGGTGTAGATTGGTACAACTGCCTTGGAGAACAGTATGATGCCACTCAATAGAGCTGAACACACACATGCCCAATGACCAAGCAATTCCACTCCAGGTACATACTGGAAAAATACTCCTGCACAAGTAGAATAGGAGACACTGCATAACAAAGTTCACTACAACATGAGGCTGAGGTGGGAAGATGGCTTGAGACCAGGAGTTCGAGGCTGCACCAGTAGCTGGGACTATAAGCATGTGTCACCGTGCCTGGCTAATTTTTTGCTGTTGTGGTTGTTGTTAGAGATGAGGTCTTCCTTTATTGAACAAGCTGGTCTCCAACTCCTGGCTTCAAGTGATCTTCCCACTTCTGCCTCCCAAAGTGCTGGGACTACAGGTGTGAGCCACCATGCCCAGCCAAGTTCTGCTTCTTAACCTGAGGTAGATACTTTGATGTTTCATTTTCCTTTATTGTACAGATATACTTTATATTCTCATATGTGACACAAGTCAAAATTTAAAAAAACAATTTAATGTTTATTCCCTTTAGATGAATGATGGGCAAATTTACATAATGAATTCATTACTGAAACAATGTATAGATTTCAGACTAGGAAAGTAACTATTTATAAAAGAAAAGCTTAAAACCTGAAACAGAAACAAAATCCTGAAACTGTAAAATTGAGTCAAACTAAAATTTAAAAAACAAAGCAATGATATAAAGTATCATTTGTCCAAATGTGTTCTACAAAACGCTTTTTTCTTAAATATGTCTGAGGAAAAACAGGTTCTAGGAGTAAAATATGTTTGAAAAATGCTGAGTTAAACAACTGAACCTATGAAGGAAGGAATAGAACTTCTCAAGCTCTTGACTCTGGAATCTTTTTTACATGGCAATTAACACCATGCTTCTTCTTGGATTTGTATTTCAGATAAACACAATCTGGGAAACATTTTATAATACAGAGGGCCACACCAGATTGAATATTGCCCCCAGGAATGAAATGAAAACAGGAATGGATTCTCCAGTAAGAGGTACCCAGATATCCTAATCTTCAGTAGCTGACCTAAACCCTGGACAAGTGGGATCAAATCCCATAACCAAACACAACTTTTTAGGAACTAAGTGGATAATCACTCTGTGTTGTATGAACATGTGGGCAGTGTGTTTCCTACACAGCTTAAAAGTGCAACAAAAAAAGATCTAGGTGTCATATAAAGAATTTCTACCACTATTAGGGTAATGGTGGACTGACAGGCAGAGGGGCTCAGATGTGACTTAAGTAAAGTTCAATAGAAGCTTCCAGCACAGATATTCATGTTTCAAATTGGACCGCTCAGTTAAAAAGTTTTCCCATTAGACTTCCCCTAATCAAATTAGAAATTATCTAATTTTCTAATAAAGTTTTCCCCAGGCACAAGGAATCTGTGAACTGGACCTAAAAAATTCTTCGTAATGTACTTTTATTACCATAAAAGATGCACATTTATTTTAAAAACTTCTCTACACCACTATCATAAACCTTTGCACACACTTATTTCTTTTGGAAGCTAACTTCTGAGTGGTAATGAAATATATTCTTAAGAAAAAAGTCCGACACAATGCCTTTGCGTCTTAAAATATGTTAAAATATTATTTGAAAAGAGTCAAACATCTGTCTTTTCAGGGTATCACAGGGCGTCAAACTGGAAAATGTGGCACTGCCTGGAGTTTCTACCTGGTGAAGGGTGGCAGACTTTTCTCTTCAGAGGACTCTTGACAGGGTAGCATCCATTATCTTGCCAATTTACTACAACCTAGGCCCAATCCTCAGTCTTATAGGTTCAGAAATTTATTTTTATCAGCATCAACAGGGTAGCTACATTGCTTAGAAGCAAACAAAATTAACCATGCTTCAATAGAAATCAGGATATAGATGTATTAATACAGAATGACAAATATAACTGTGACAGAAATAGGAATGCCTGTTTATGGTCATATACGGCCAATACTTTCATTACAGCCAAACTCATATATGCAGCCAAATAAGAGGCCCCTGGATACACAGGGAATCAGAATAAAAAAAGAAGAACTGAACATTTAATAGTCTTCTTTCATTCAATCAATAATTTTTTTTAATTAAGCAACTACTATGTCTGGGTAACCTTCTAGGTCCTGGGGATACAGAGGTCTCTGCTTACAGAAGTCATATGTAAGTAGCAGGTGAAGAGTATGTGTTTCACAGAAGTTTATTACAATATATTAACAAGAGCAAAAAATTTTGGAAGCAATCTAAATGTTCAATAATAAAGCTCCAATTAAATAACAATAAATCCAAATAATGAAAAATAATGCAGCCCTTTAAGAATAAGCACTTGCAAGCCGTAATTCATGACATGGGAAAATTATCATAATGGAAAAAGAAGCAAGCTATATACAGTGCATGATCCTATACACACACATACATACATACATATTTCCTATCCCTTTATATGAATAAGAAAACAAGCGGGAGGAAAGTCGTATCTTTAGTCAAGTCTTGTTTACTAACGTACTATTAATGATTATCTTTTCTTTTTCTTTATACCTTTTTGCATTTTTCAATTTCCTAAAATAGCCTTACATGCCTTTTATCACCAGGAGAAAAATTACTTCTAAAGTAATTTCAGTCAACATGCATACTAAGAACTCTTCAGATTTATCTGTTAGAAGCTGTGCATGAATGCCAGTCCTTGCATCTGTCTTGGAACTCACAGAGAGCTCTTTTCCCATGGCTTTAAGCAATACTCAAAAAGACTAGCATACCTGAATTTCCTAGTCCTATGTTTTTTTCATCCAACAGCCAGTCTTGTATTTCTAGCTGTTTTCTAAACATTTCAACCAAACCATTTTACAGATAACTCATACAGTCATCCTTTGATATGCATGGGGAATTGGTTCCAGGATCCCCCTTGTATACCAAAATCCATGGATGCTCAAGTTACTGGTATAAAATAGTGTAGTATTTGCATATAACCTACACACATCCTCCTATATACTTTAAATAATCTCTAGATTACTTAATAACAATTAATACGATGTAAATGCTACGTAAATAGTTGGTATACCATGTTGTTTTTTATTTGTATCATTTTTTATCGTTGTATTGTTTTTTCTGACAATTTTGTTCCACAGTTGTTTGAATCAGTGGATGCAGAACCCATGAATATGGAGAGTCAATTGCATTTTATTATGCCCAAAGGTAAATGCATAATTTTTCCACACAGCTAATCTTCTAGCAACCCCATTGCTGTCCATGGCAAACAGGCTTAGTTAATCTCGCCCTTTCCCGTTTCAGGTTCATTATACACCATGGAATACTATGCAGCCATAAAAAATGATGAGTTCATGTCCTTACTAGGGACATGGATGAAGCTGGAAACCATCATTCTCAGCAAACTATCGCAAGGACAAAAAACCAAACACCGCATGTTCTCACTCATAGGTGGGAATTGAACAATGAGAACACTTGGACACAGGAAGGGGAACATCACACACCAGGGCCTGTTGTGGGGGGGGCGGAGGGGGGAGAGATAGCATTAGGAGATATGCCTAACATAAATGATGAGTTAATGGGTGCAGCACACCAACATGGCACACGTATACATATGCAACAAACCTGCACATTGTTCATGTGTACCCTAGAATTTAAAGTATAAAAAAAATAAAAAAATAAAGAAAGAAATAGATGTTCTGTAAAAATATACACAATTTTTACAGACAAATACATTTATAAGTTGTTTTTATCTTAAAAATTGGGGATATTTCATATTTATAACTAAATATTGAGCCTTAAGTTTTCTTGGCCATTTCTAGGCTAATAAACTAAGAATCATGTAAACTAAGCCAAAGTAGAATAGACATAAAAGTCCTGAACACTTCAACTTCCTATCCTTCAAGAAGTATACCTCGCAAAGCTCATTTGAGAGAGGAAAAGCTTTCCTCCACCCTCGGTTTTACAGTGCTGAGGCTTCTCATCACATTTCTATGACTTGTAGCTTAAATCCATGTTACATGGTCACTGGCATTGTTAGTGCTTCTCTTTTAACACTGTAGGAATTAATCAATTTGGTGGCATATTTAATTAATTCTATCACTAGAGGATTGTAAAATTACATATATGAATACCTCACTTTAGAGGCCACTTAATTTTTTTCCAAGGGGATATTTGACTATATTTCACTTGTGTCTTATTTAATGATTTTATAATTTAAACCCTAAATTATAAATCTAGAATTTAGAAAGTATATTTCCCCACTGGATTACATTTTTGGAAATATTACTTTATATGTGCACAAATATTACAAAATCACTGTAGACACCTGAAAACTATATTATCTTTTAAAGACAATATTTACATTAAACTGGTATAACAAAATTGTTTGGTGCATTTTTTCCAGTACATTTTGTGTATATTACATGTTTAACCTTTTTTTATTCAGCAAATAATTTTTGAGTATCTACTAAGTGCTAGGTTCTGCATTACTAACTGAATTTAAAGAGTGAAATAACAGACATGGTCTCAGACAATAAAAATTAACATTAGGTCACTTATTTATATATTTTTAAATGGTAATTATGAAAACTTTTTGAGATTTTTAACTAGATAACATTATAATAACGCACTTGATGTTGTTAATAGTTGCCAGTGAGCAAAAAAGAAAATAAAAAGATGGTTTTATTCAATATACACTTTAAAATTGCAGAAAATAGTCAAGTTTCTCTGCTTTGCAGTTGAATGTCTATGTGTTTTTCTCTGCAACTTGGCTTTTGTGGAGTGAAACAATTATTCTTCCAGCCCAATGAAGGCAGACGAGTAACAATAAATCTAATATTTTAAATGCTTATCAAAAGATAGTAAACACATTATTTCAGAATACTGAGTTCAATAAGTTGACCTACAAAAAAAGCCAAACTGACAGTATTACTGAATAAGGAAAGGCCCAAAGAGACAAAATACTTTTTATTTTGTAACCTCGGTATGACACAACTTACCCTAACTATAAAGACCCTAAATTACCAAGATGGGTGCTTATAATATGGAGAGTTACAAAGTCATTTCACTTTTAGCTTTTTTATTTCTCTCAGAATAAAAAGTGTATAAGGAGTTGATAAAGAAGTTGATACTATAAGTTAGTACTACAATGACAGCACTTTTCAAGAAAAGACTTTTTTCTCTCTTACAAATATCATGTTAGCAGTATTTGTTTTCTCCAGAAATAATGAGTAAATAAAAACATAAGTATGTGGGTAATTAGTGTAGTTTCTTAAATAAATGAGTTAGGCAACAGGCTAATAATGTATATTTCACTGGCTTTTCAATGCCAACAATCATATTCTTTATAAGGCACAGAGAAGATTTTTCTAAAGAATAAGTATGTGAACCTGAAAAGTAATCACCACTTGGTAGTGACAATATGGATAGGGTGAAGGGCGTCACCAAGAAGCAATGAAAAGATACATTTGCAGTTAAATTTGAAAACCATGATGTTTAATACATATAGTAATAAAGAATACTTTCTCCTGTCTCAAAATTATTTTAGAATTTAAGATAGAAGCTAAAATACCTAGGGATAATGATATGACTATCAAAAATTAAAAATTAAAGGATATTTTGAGTATTATAAATTAAGAATGAGAACTTATTACCCAATGAACAGGGGATAATTCATTATGCTCCATATCCATTGAATTAAAAGACAGGCCCATTACCTGGATAATTTGAAAGTTTAATTTTATTTAAAAGTCTTGTTTCATTCATCAAGCTAAAGGATTAGCTCCCAGAAATATTCCAGGATTGCATACCCCCAACTCTGTAGGAAGTATAGAAAGAATGTTATAAGGGCCACCATCTAAACATTATTATATAAATAATTTAGTACCATTCCATTTGCCTTTGTAGATTTAAAAATGTAAATGGCTTTCTCATATTAGGAAACATCACTTTTCAAAACCCAGGTAAACATAGTATATTGCAAGAGAATAATTATTTTCTTTATTAAAAAAGAAATACTGGATGCTAAGTCCAAAACACATAAATTATTTTATACTAATAACTACTAATATTTTATTCATTAAAATATAAAGGTCAAAGATTTCAAAATGATCTTTAAATGATTAATAACATGTTGATCTTTTTCTTCTTTCTGTAAACCTTTTTGAGTCTTAACAATACTAAACTATACAAGCAATATTAAATAGTATATAAACTTGGATTAAAATATTCAAATTTACTAGAATGTGGACATTGGAAAGAATGAAAATAAACAGAAGCATAAAGCAGCAGATATAAAATTAAGAAAGCAACTAAGAGTGTTTAAAGTGCATATTCATCTGTAGTCTAATGTCTACCATAAACAATGACTCTTCTCAGTAAAACACAAATTGTTCATGAAGGGAAAAAGCATGTTGTATTAGAGCATATTCAACATAATTTTTTTAGTACTAACTTGTGCCTGGAGTATTATTGGTTTTTCTATTATGAACTTATGCACTTGATAATTTTTTTCATCAAAATTGTATGTACAACTCCATTCAAAAGCAGTTTTTGGTCGTTTTTTTTTTTTTTATTTTGAGACAGAGTTTTGCTCTTTTCACCCAGGCTGGAGGGCAATGATGCGAATTTGGCTCACAGCAACCTAGCAAATTTTGCCTCCCAGGTTCAGGTGATTCTCTTGCCTCAGCCTCTCGAGTGGTTAGGACTACAAGCATGCACCACCATGCCTGGCTAATTTTGTGTTTTTAGTAGAGACATGGTTTTGCCATGTTGACCAGGCTGGTCTTGAACTCCTGACCTGAGGTAATCCGCCCACCTTGGCCTCCCAGAGTGCTGGGTATGGGCAAGAGCCACCATACCTGGCCTCAAAAGCAGTTTTTAAAAGCAAACACAATATAACACCAAAGTTGAAAAATCCATGCTCACTCAAGGATGCCAGGTTTAATAAATTATTGATAGAATACTACATCAAAAATAAGACAATAAACCAAAATATACCATTAAAGATGTATCCACTCCTACAACTAGAGATAACTAATCTATCTGGTAGCAAATGATACTTCAATCAGTTTCAGCATGTCTGAAATCTTTAAGGACAAAAGTGATAAAACATGACTTCATTCTTCATTAGCCTCTTAGAACACTTGAAGGAAAATAATTTCTGAAGCACGAAGAGGTAAAGAGGTGTAATCTTTCAAAAAGATACTCAGTGTTCAAAATCCAAGAGTGCAATATCAGGCTGGGTGCGGTGGCTTATGCCTGTAATCCCAGCACTTTGGGAGGCCATGGTGGGTGGATCACCTGAGGTCAGGAGTTCGAGTCCGGCCTGGACAACAGGGTGAAACTCTGACTGTACTAAAAATACAAAAATTAGCCAGGCATGGTGGTGTGCACCTGTAGTCCTAGCTACTTGGGGGGCTGAGACAGGAGAATCGCTTGAACCTGGGAGGTGGAGGTTGCAGTGAACCGAGATCATGCCACCTCACTCCAGCATCAGTAACAGAATGAGATTCCATCTCAAAAAAAGAAAAGAGTGTAATATCGGTATACACAGATAATATACTGAATGAAACAAATAGAATAATTTGAAGAGGTATCTTGATGAACAAGGAGTCATTAGAAAGGTTGTATTTATGTCTTTGAAGGAAATTGCAATGTGAGAAATTAATACTTTGACTACTATAGTAAAAGTTTATTGCTAACATCTATTGAGTTATTAACGTGTGTTAGGCAGAGTACCATATAATTTACAAGTGTTATCTCATTTATTGTAGGTAAAATGTAATTTCAAACTCTGGGAGTATAAATGAATTAGATAGAATAAAATTCTATTTAAATGGCCATCAGTAAATCGGTATCTAGGAACAGGGTGATACAGTGCCCAAGTTTTCTATTCTTACTAAATGTTGTGTTTCCTTTTCAATGTTTTCTTGGATATTGCTCTTTTTTGGTGATTTTGATTTTTTTTATTTTAGAAAACTAATAAATTGACTCTTCTTGGTACTGACTCGGGTTTTATAGAAGAAAAAGTAATTAAATTCTGTACATTTACCTTTACCTCATTTTTTCTCTTTTAAATTTACTTTAATTGACATACAATAAATGTACATGTTATGGGGTACAGAGTGATATTTTGATATATTTATGCAATGCGTAAAGATCAAGTCAGAGTCATTATCATATCCATTACCTAAATCATGTATTATTTCTTTGCAGTGAGAATATTCAAAATCTTTTCTTTTAGTTATTTGAAAACACACAATAAATTCCCATTAACTACAGTCACCCAACAGTGCTGTAGAGAACTAGAACTTCTTCCTTCTCTCCAGCTGTAATTTTGTATGTATTAAGCACATTTTTCTTATACTCTTCTTTCTCCTACTCTTTCCAGGATATGGTAACCAAAACTCTACTATCTACTTCTACGAGATTAAAAATTTTAGCTTCCATACATAAGTGAGAACACGTAGTTATGTGGTGTTTATATTTCTATGCCAGGCTTATTTCACCTAACATAATGCCCTCCACTTGCATTCTTGTTGCCACAAACAACAGGATTTTGTTCTTTATTATGACTAAATAATATTCCATTATATATGTATGTCACATTTCTTTATCCATTCATCTGTTGATGGACACTTTTGTTGATTCCATATCTTGGCTATTGTGAATAGTGCTGTAATAAACATGGGGGTGCAGGTAACTCTTTGATATACTGATTTTCTTTCCTTTGGATATATACTGAAAACCATATGATTAAATTAATAAACACAATAAAAGCGTTTGGCAAAATTAAATATTCTTACATGACAAAAAACTTCTCAACAATTTAGTATAGAAAATATATGCCTTAACACAAAGGACATAAAGGACAAATCTACAGCTAAGATCATACTGAGTGTGGAAAAGGTGAAAGATTTTACTGTGAACAAGAAAAAGATTTTACTGGAACAAGAAAAGGATGCCTATTCTCACCAATCATATTTCACATAGTGAAAGTCTTAGCCAGGACAATTAGGTGAGAGAAAGAAATAAAGGACATCTGAATTGGAAAGGAGACAGTCAAATTGTCCTTGTTTAAAGACAATGTGATCTTATACATGGAAAAAAATAAGACTCTACCAAAAGCTTCTCAGGGTGATACATGAAATTAATAAAGTTGCAGGATATAAATCAACATACAAAAATCAGTAGCATTTCTATATATTGATAGTAAACTAGCTGAAACAAGAAATTAAGAAAGCAATTCCTTTTACAATAGCTACAAAAATGTACTTAGAAATAAATTTAACCAAGTAAAAGATTTCGACAACAAAAATGACAAATATTAATGAAAGAAATTAAAGAAAACATAAAAAAGCAAAGACATCCACGTTTATAGATTGAAATAATATTCTTAAAATGACCCACTATCCTATGTGATTTACAAATTTAGTACAATCACTAGCTTGTATTTTTAAAAGCACCTTTGCTGCATATTCTTAACATATTCAATGACAATGCCTGGATTTAAGTTTGAGGTATTATTATATCTATTTTATACTGGGCACAATATAATGTTATCAGAGGTAACGGTTTTGATTGGTCCTAGGTCATACAGTAATATATACATTGTCATTTATAGACATGCTATCTTTTAATACTCAGGCATTTAGAAAGTTCATTTAGACAAAGTTATAAAAACTTGCCTTCCTTTCTGCCTATATCACCTAAAAATCCTAATTTAAGAGGTAATAACATTTTTTATTTGATATACAATTTATCAACACAATAAAAATCTAACAATTATCATGTGCAGAGTGTGAAAATCTCATCAGATTAAGGAACACAAAGACATCTTTTTCATATTTTGAATGTAAAACTGTTTTGGAAACTGTTATTTTTAGAAACAGTTAAAAACATTGTTTCATTAGTTTTTCATGTAAAATTGTGACAACCAGCATGAAATAACTGTCATCACAGAAGCATGGTATATTCGATTCCGAAACATATTCTTTGTAAGTTTTAATATATTTATGTATTATTTATACTTAATTGTAACCCATAATGTACAGATATTATTTTTCCTTCAACTCTTAAGAATATTCTTAAATAATAAAATTAATGAATTATAATTTTTGTTGGTTGGGAAAAAGACACACACATGACAGTGCATCACTTCACCTCATCATTTCATCTCATTTCATCTTATCCCATCTCATCTCATCATTTCATATCATCTCATCATTTCATCTCATCATTTCATCAAATCTCATCTCATCTCATTTCCATTTCATTTTCATTATTTCATCATTTCATTTCACTATTTCATTTCATTTCATGTAATTTCATTTATTTCATTATGTCATTTCATATCATCTCATTTCATTTCATGTCATATTTTTTATATCATTTTTCGTATCATTTTTCATCTCATTTCATCTCATGTCATATTTTTTATATCATTTTTCGTATCATTTTTCATCTCATTTCATCTCAATTCATTTCATCTCATCATTTCATCTCACCTCATCATTTCCTCCTTTCTTTTCAACATTTCATCTCATTTCCTCTCATCTCATTTCAATTTTATTTCGTTATTTCATCTCATTTCATTATTTCACCTAATTTCATTATTTCATCTCATCTCATCTCAATTCATCTCATCTCATCTCATCATTTCATCTCATTTTTCATCTCATCATTTTTCATCTCATCATTTAATCTCATTTCATTTCATCTCATTTCAGCTCATTTCATGTCACATCTCTTCATCATTTCAACATTTCATTTCATCTCATCATTTCATCTCATCTTTCAATTTCATTTCAATATCATCAATTCATCATTTCATTTCACTTCATTATTTCATTATTTCATTTCATTTCAATTCATCTCATTTTTCATCTCATCATCTCATTTCATCATTTCATCTCATTTCTTCTCATTTCATCTCATTTTATCTCATTTCATCTCATCTCATTTCAATTTCATTTCATTATTTCATTTCACTTCATTTCATTTCATCTCATCACTTTATCTCATCTCATTGCATCAAATCATTTCTTCTCATCTCATCTCATTTCATCATTTCATCTCGTTTCATCTCATTTCATCTCATCTCACCTCATCATTTCATCTCATCCTTTCATTTCATCTCATCGTTTCATCTCACCTCAGCATTTCATCATTTCATCTCATCATTTATTTCATCTCATTTTATCTCATTTCATCTCATATCTCAATTCAATTTCATTATTTCATTTCATCTCATTCATTTCATCTCATTTCATTACATCTCATTTCCTCTCATCATTACATCTCATCTCATCATTTCATCTCATCATTGCATCTCATCATTTCATCTCATCATTCATCTCATTTCATCTCATCATTTCCATTTCATTATTTCATTTCATCATTTAATTTCATCATCTCATTTAATTTCACCTCATTTCATTATTTCATTTCATTTTTTCATTTCATTGTCATTTCATTTCATCTCATTACATTTCATCTAATTTCATTTCACCTCATTTCATCTCATCATTTCATCTCATCATTTCATCTTTTCATCTCATTTCATCTCATCATCTCATCAACTCTTTTCATCTTATCTCATCATTTCATTTCATCTCATCATTTCATCTCATCTCGTATCTTATCTCATTTCAATTTCGTTTCATTATTTCATGTCATCTCATCTCATCATTTCATCTCATCATTTCATCTCATCACCTCATCATTTCATCATTTTATTTCATCATCTCATCATTTCATCTCATCTCATTTCGATTTTATTTCAATTTCATTTCATCTCATCATTTCATCTCACCATTTCATTTCATCATCTCATCTCATCATTTCATTTCATCATTCATCTCATCATCTCATCATTCATCTCATCATTTCATATCATCATTTTATCTCATCTATCATTTCATCTCATTTCATCTCATCTCATTCCATCATTACATCTCATTTCATCTCATTTTATGTCATCATTTCATGTCATCATTTCATCACATCTCATCTCATCATTTCATCTCATCATTTCATCATTTCATCTCATTTCAACTCATTGCATCTCAGCTCATCATTTCCATTTCATTATTCCGTTTCATCATTTCATTCATTATGTCATTTCATCTCATATTTCATCTCATCTCATCATTTCATCTCATTTTATCTCATCTCATTTCATCATTTCATCTCATCATTTCTTATCTCATCATTTCCATTTCATTTTCATTTCATTATTTCATCATTTCATTATTTTATTTCATCTCATTTCATTATTTCATTTCATTATGTCATTTCATTTCATCTCATTACATTTCATCTAATTTCATTTCACCTCATTTCATCTCATCCTTTCATTTCATCTCATCATTTCATCTTTTCATCTCATTTCATCTCATCATCTCAACCCTTTTCATCTTATCTCATCATTTCATCATTTCATCTCATCATTTCATCTCATCTCGTATCTTATCTCATTTCAATTTCATTTCATTATTTCATGTCATCTCATCTCATCTCATCATTTCATCTCATCACATCTCATCATTTCATCATTTTATTTCATCATCTCATCATTTCATCTCATTTCGATTTTATTTCAATTTCATTTCACTATTTCATTTCATCTCATTTCATCTCACCATTTCATTTCATCATCTCATCTCATCATTTCATTTCATCATTCATCTCATCATCTCATCATTCATCTCATCATTTCATATCATTTTATCTCATCTATCATTTCATCTCATTTCATCTCATCTCATTCCATCATTACATCTCATTTCATCTCATTTTATGTCATCATTTCATGTCATCATTTCATCACATCTCATCTCATCATTTCATCTCATCATTTCATCATTTCATCTCATTTCAACTCATTGCATCTCAGCTCATCATTTCCATTTCATTATTCCATTTCATCATTTCATTCATTATGTCATTTCATCTCATCATATTTCATCTCATCTCACCATTTCATCTCATTTTATCTCATCTCATCATTTCATCATTTCATCTCATCATTTCTTCTCATCTCATCATTTCCATTTCATTTTCATTTCATTATTTCATCATTTCATTATTTTATTTCATCTCATTTCATTATTTCATTTCATTATGTCATTTCATTTCATCTCATTACATTTCATCTTTCATCTCATAATTTCATCCATCATTTCATTTCATTTCATCATTTCATCTCATGATTTCATCTCATCTCATTATCTCATTTCATCTCATTATTTCATCTCATTTCATCTCATCTCATTTCATCATTTCATTTCACCATTACATCTCATCATTTCAACTCATCTCATTTCAATTTCATCATTACATTTCATAATTTCCTTTCATTATTTCATTTCATTTCATCTCATTTCATTATTTCATTTCATCTCATTTTTCATCTCATCATTTTTCATCTCATTTCATTTCATCATTTCATCTCATCGTTCATCTCATCTCATCATTTTATCTCATTATTTCATCTCATATCATCTCATTACAATTTCATTATTTCATATCATTTCATTATTTCATTTCATCTCGTTTCATCTCATTTCATCCATCATCTCATTTCATCTCATTTTATCTCATCTCCTCTCCTTTCAATTTCTTTTCAATTTTGTCATTTCGTCTCATCATTTCATCTCATCATTTCTACTCACCATTTCATCTCAAAATTTCATCTCATCATCTCATCTCATCATTTCGTCATTTCATCTCATCATTTCATCTCATCATTTCATCTAAGTGAAATGATGTAATGGAATCATGAAATGAAATGGATAGGATGCCCTCAGTGATGTTAAATTTAAAAATTGTTTCTTTTCATGTATGCATTTTTATATTTATATTTACTTATAGTTATTTTTACTTTTTATTTATATTTTTACTTATTTCTTTATTTATAAACAAGGTCCTGTTCTGTGGCCTAGGCTGGAATGCAGTGGTGCATTCACAGTTCACTGAAGCCTCAAGCAAACCTCCCACCTTAGCCTCCCAGGTAGCTGGGACCCCAGGTGCGCACCACCACACCTGGTTAATATTTTATTATTTGCAGAGATGGAGTCTTGCTATTCTGCCCAGGCTGGTCTCAAACTCCTGGGCTCAAGCAATCCTCCTGCATTGGCAACCCAAAATGCTGGGAGGACAGATATGAGCCACAGTGCCCAACCTATTTATTTATTTATTTATTTAATAAAGACAAGGTCTCACTATGTTGCCCAGGCTGGTCAACTCCTGGACTCAAATGATTCTCCAAACTTGGCCTCTCAAAATGTTGGGATTACAGGTATGAGCCACCATG
Source organism: Homo sapiens (assembly GCF_000001405.40). Classification (NCBI taxonomy): domain Eukaryota; kingdom Metazoa; phylum Chordata; class Mammalia; order Primates; family Hominidae; genus Homo; species Homo sapiens. Next base: position 64,721,588 of record NC_000009.12, on the reverse strand, counting down.
CTTGGCCTAAAAATAGTATTATATTTTTGTATCATATAATTTTCAATTAGGTATTATGAATATTCTGTACAGGAAACACACCCTTAATTACATAGGAATAAACATTTGTTACACTGAGAAAAATCTAATAGAGCTAAAAATAAAAATTAATTTGGAAAGGTCATTAGATACTGATACATTCTTACGTTTATACATTCTTTCATATATTCATATATCCTTTTAACAGTATCAATGGTTTGGAGTTACGTGTACAAAGCCATGACCCATATGTAATACAACTAATAACAGGCACTTACAATTCAAGGCATATTATATACAAAGCTTTAACTTCTTATCAAAATATTTTACTTTTTTCTTTCTGTTTTGGCAGATACTATGAACACAACATTCAACTCACAGACACCATGGAGCCCTTACTAAGCATAAAGTACTGTGAAAGGCCAGGGCTAGGACAGAACTGAGACAGGGCCAGGGATAGGACAGAACTGGGGCAGGGTCATGGCCAGAGAAAAACCAGGGGCAGGGTCACAGCCAGGGACATGAGAGGACCAAGGCCAGGTCCAGAAGCAGGGAAGAACCAGGGCCAGGGCAGGGACATGGCAGGGCCAGGGCCATGGCAGGATCAGGGTCAGCAGAAGGCCAGGGCAGGGCTAGGGTGGCACAGGGCCAAGGCAGGGCAGGGTCAGTGTAGAGCAAGGAACGGGCCAGGGTATGGCAGGGCAGGGACAGGGAGGTCCAGGGCCAGAGTCAGGTCCAGGACATGGACAGGGCAGGGCCAGAAACATGGCAGGACCAGAAAGGGGACAGGGCAAGGGCAAGGCCAGAGAAGGACCATGGGAAAAACATGGCCAGGGAGGGTCCAGGGCAAGGGCAAGTCCAGGGCAGAACCAGAGCCAGAGCAGGCCAAAGGCAGGGCCAGGGCAGGGCAAGGCCAGGATAGGGCAGGGCCAGTGTAGGGTGAGGGTAGGACCAGGGCGAGTTCAGGGCCAGGGCAGGACTAAGATAGCACAGGGCTAAGGCAGGGCCAAAAGGAGGGGCCAGGGCCAAGCATGGCCAGTGTCAGACCTGGGGATTGTCAGGGTCAGGGTCAAGGCTGGTCCAGGGACAGGGCCAGAGCAAGGGCAGGGCCAGGGAGAAAGCAGAACCAGAGAGGATCCAGAGCAAGGCCAGGGTCAGGGCAGAACCAGGACCAGGATAAGGCAAAGCCAAGGCCAGGGCAGGGCAAGACCAGGGAAGGGCAAGGCCAGGGTAGAAAAGGCCAGGGTAGGGCCAGGCCAGGGTAAGAGAAGGCCATGGTAGGGCCAAGGCCAAGGCAGGGCAGGGCTAGGGTAGCACAGGGCACGGCCAAAAACAGAGCAGGGCCATAGCAGTGGCAGGACTAGCAACAGGGCTAGGGCAAGCGCTGGACCAGAGCATGGTGGGGACAATATAGGGCCAGGACAGAGGATGGCAAGGCAGGTCCAGGGCCATTTCATGGACTCAGTAGGCCTGGGGTCAGGCCAGGGCAGGGCAAAGGCAAGGCCAGGAAGAAGGCAGGGCCGGGGCCAAGGCAGTGCCAGGGCAGGGCAGGACCAGTGCAGGGCCAATGCAGGGTGAGGGCAAGGCCAGGGCATGGAAGGGCAGGGCAGGATCAAGGAAGGGCCAGGAGAGGGCCACGGCAGGGTCATGGCGAGAACAAGGGTATGGCTGGGGTCAGGAATATGGTAGGATGAGGGCTGGACCCAGGCTGGGGCACGCAGGGCAGAGCATGGTCTGTGCAAGGCATGGCCAGAGCCAGGCCATAGAGATGGGAGGGCAACACCAAGGCAGAGTCAGGGTAGATCCAGGGCTGAGCAGAGTCAGGGCAGGTCCAGAGTCGAGGCAGAGCTAGGGCCCAAGCAGGGCCATGGTAGCACCAGGGCAGAGGAGGGCAGGGCAATGCAGGACTGGGCCATGGCAGTGCCTGGTCAACTCCGGGGCAGGGCCAGAAGCAGGACAGGGCCAGGGCCAATGCTCAGGCCAGGGACAGGACATGACAGGACGTGCCAGAGCAGGGCTGGGCCAACGTTGGGGCAGGGCAAATCAGACCAGGACACCTCCAAGTCCAGCTCTGGCCCTGCCTTGGCCCTGGCCCCTTCCTGGCCTGACCTTGTCCCTGGCCCTGCCCTATCCATGCCCTGTGTGTTTGACCAGTGTTTTATAACCAGAATCCTACAAGAAACTTAAATTAGTTCTTTTTGTGCATTTTTAGTAGAGATGGGGTTTCACAATGTTGCCCAGGCTGGTTCCAAACTCCTGAGCTCAAGCCATCTGCCTGCCTTGGCCTCCCAAAGTGCTGGGATTACAGGAGTAATCTGGCCAAGTATTTACCTTCTTTTTGCCTGTTTCCTACATTTGGAAAATGGGGATGCTTTAAGTACCTAGCATATAGAATTATTATGAGAATCAATGCCTCACATATTTACATGTTGATAAAATTATACTCATAGAACACTACTGGAAGCAAAGATAGTATTAGTTAAAATTTAGTGATTACCGCAAGTATTATTACTATTACAAACAACATAGTATAGACATTACTACTACTATAGTTATCTTAAAAATCTAAAATAAAAATTTTAGTAATAGCCTAAAGTAATCTCTCCTGCTCTGCCCTGGCTCAGCCCTAGTGCCGGCTCTGCCCCTAGTCCTACTACATCCCTGGCCCTGACCCTTCCCTGGTCCAGCCGCTGCCCTGGCCCTTCCCATCTTCAGGCCTTAACATGGCCCTACCCTGGTCCTGACCCTGCCCTGGTCTGGTCCTGACCCTGGCCCTACCCCAGAGAAGGGGTATGGCAGAGCCAGGGAAGGGCCGGGGCAAATAAGGGACAGGACACATCCAAATCCAGGAACGGGCCAGGGCCATGACAGAGCCAGGGCGAGTCCTTGGCAGGGCCAGGTTCCAGGCCAGGACCAGGAAAATGTCATGGCAGGGTCACTGTATGGCCAAGGTCCAGGCCAAAGCCAAGGCAGTGGCAGGGTCAGGTCTGCATAAGGGCAGGACCAGAGCCAGTGATACGGCAGGGCCAGGGCCAGGGCCAGGGCTGTGCCAGGACAGAACAAGAGCAGAGCAGGGCAGGACCACAGCCAGGCCATAGAGAGAGTAGGGCAAATGCCAAGGCAATGCCAGGGTAGTGCCAGGGCTGAGGCAAGGTCAGGGAAGGTCCAGGGCTGAGTCAAGGCTAGAACCAAGATGGGGCAAAGGCCGGGGCAGATCTAGGGCACAAGCGGGGCAGATCTAGGGCACAAGCAGGGCAAGCTAGGGCAGGGCAATGGCAAGACCAGGCCATGGCAGGGCCAGCCCAGGATAGAACAGGGCACAGGCAGGGCAGGGCCAGGGCCACGGCTGGGGCAGGACAAGGACCAGGACCGGGGTCCAGGCCAGGGCAAGGGTATGGCCAGGGCAGAGGTAGGGCCAGAGCCAGGGTCTGGGCAGGACCAAGGCAGGTCTATTGCAGGGCCAGGGTTCAGACCAGGGCCAGAGCAGGGCTGGGACAGGGCCAGGGCCAGAACCAGGAAAGGGCAATGTCAGGACAAGGGCCATGGCAGGACCAGCAACGGGGCTAGGACCAGTACAGGGACAGGGACAGGGTCAGGGCTAGGGCCAGAATAGCATGCCAGGGTAGAGCCAGGCCAAATTAGGGCCAGGGCTGGGCCAGGGTATGGCCTTAAGTAGTGAAGGGCCAGGGCCAGGGTCCATGCCAGTGCCAGCGCCGGTCCAGGGCAGACGCAGGGCCATGGCCAGGTCTAGGACAAGGCTGTGGCAGGGCCAAGGTCTGGGTCAGGGTCAGCATAAGACCAGGACAGAGCCAGGGGAGGGACAGGGCCATGGTAAGACCAGGTTAAACCATGGACAAGACACCTGCAAATCCACTTCAGGGCCAGGGCAGGGCCAGTTCAGGGCCAGGGTAAGGGCTGCCAGGGTCATTGGCAGGGCCAGGGCCATGGCAGGACCAGGGTCAGGAGCAGGGGTCAATGCCAGGCCAAGGCCACAGATAGGACCAGGTCTGTGCTAGGGCCAGTGTGAGGGCCAAGACGGGGTCAGGGCAGGGCCAAAGGGAGGGCAGGGCCAGGGCAGGGTGGAGCAGGCCCAGGGTAGCACAGGGTTAAGGTAGGGCACGACCAACCAGGGCAGGTCTATGGCTGGGGCCGGGGCAGGGCCAGGGCCGGGGCAGGGCCAGAGCCAGGGCAGGGCCAAGACAGTGGCAGCTCCAGGGCAGGGCCAGGGTTAGGACCACGGACATGTCCAAGGCCAGTGCCAGGGCAAGGGCAAGGGCAGGGGCAGGGCCAGGGTCATCTAAGAATTAGGGACAAAGCCAGGCCCAGAGCTGGGCCAGGACCGGTACCTGCAGGGCTAGGGTCTGGGCCAGGGCCACAACCAGGTCTGTGCTATGGCCAGGTCCAACACAGTGCCCTGGTAAGGCTAGGGTGAAGGCCAAGGTAGGGCCAGGGCAGGGTCAAAGCCAGGCTAGGGCCAAGGCAGGGCCAGGAAAGCATAGGGCCAGGGCAGGGCAGGGCCAGGGCAGGGCCAGGCCAGTGCCAAGACCTGGGCAGGGCCAGGGCCAGGGCCATAGAAACGGCCTGGGCAGGACCAGGTTTGGGGCAGGAGCAAAACAAGGGCAAGGACAGTGCAGGTTCTTGGCACAGCCAGGGTCCAGGACAGTGTCAGGGCAGGGCCAAGGCAGGGTCTGGGCCATGGTAAGACCAGCAACAGGGCTGGGGCTAGGTCAGTGACAGGACCAGAGTCAGGGCAAGGGCCAGAGCAGGGCAAGGCCAGGGTAGGGCCAGGCATTTCAGGGTCAGGGCCATGGGAGAACCAGGGCAAGGTCTCAAGCAGGGAAGGGCCAGGGCCAGGACAGGTCCAGGGCAGGGTCATGACAGGGCCAGGGGCTGCATTAGGGCAAGGGCAGGGCCAGAGCAAGGTAAGGGTCAGGGCCAAGGCTAGGGTAGGGACAGGGCAAGAAATATGGCAGGACCAGGGGCAATGCCAAGGCCAAGGCTGAGTCAGGGCTGAGTCAGGGCAGGGCAGGGCAGGGCATGGTATGGCCAGTGCAGGACAGGACAAGAGCCGGTCCACAGAGAGAGCAGGGCTGATGCCAAGAATGAGCCAGGCTAGTGCCAAGGCTGAGGCAGTGTCAGAGCATGTCCAGGGCAGGGCCGGGGCCAGGGCCAGAACCGAGCCAGGGCACAGCCAAGGCAGGGTAGGGCGGGGAAATAGCGTGGCCGGGTCAGTACTGGGACAGGGCAGAGCAGGGCAAGGCGATGGTAGGGGCAGGGCAGAGACAGGCCAATGCAGAGCCATGTTACACCGGGGCCAGGACACCTCCAAGTCCACTTCAGGGCCAAAGCTATGGCAGGACAAAGACCAGGGCCAGGGTCAGAGCCAGGTCTGTGCTGGGCCTAGCGAAGACTAGGGTGAGGGCCAAGGCAAGGCCAGGGCAGGGTCAAAGGCAGAGTAGAGCCAGGGCAGGGTGATGACACATCCAGAGCACAGCAGGGCAGGGTGATGGCAAGACCAGGGGCAGACCACTGCCAGCTCAGGGCCAGGGAAAGACCAGTGCAGAGCCAGGAAAGGGTCTGGGTCTGGGTCAGGGCCAGGAACAAGGCAGAGCAGGGCCAGGGCCATGGCAGAGTCAGGGCAGGTCCTTGACAGGACCAGGTTCCAGGCCAGGGCCAGGGCAGCAGCAGGGGCAGGGCCTGGATAAGGGCAGGGTCAGGGATATGGCAGGACCAGGGCTAGGGCCAGGGCCAGGGCCAGGCCATAGTGAGGGCAGGGCAAAAGCCAAGGCAGGGTCAGGGCAGGTCCAGGGCAGGTCCAGGAAGCGGCCAGCACCAAGCGGGGCCAAGGCACAACCAGCGCAGGGTAAGGCAGGGCAATGGCACCACTGGGCCATGACAGGGCCAGGTCAGTGCCAGGAGAGGGCAGAACAGGAAGGCCCATGGTGGGGCCAGGGCAGGGATGGGCCAAAGCAGAGCCAGGACATTTCCAAGGCCAGGTCAGGGCCAGAACAGGAGCAGGACCATGACCACTGGCAGGGCCAGTGCCATGACAGGACCAGGGTCAGGACAAGGGGCAGAGCCAGAGCCAAGGTCAGGCCAGTGCAGGTTCAGGGCAGGGCCAGTGCCAGGGCAAGACCAGGGCAGGGACAGGGTAGCACGGGGCCAAGACAGGGTCAGGATGGGACCAGAGCAGGACAGGGCTGAGAGTCCAGGTAACAGTAGGGCAGGTACAGGGCAAGGCAGGGCAGTACAGGGCCAGATCCACGGCAGGCACAGGGCAAAGCCAGGCCCATTGCCAATGCACCAGCCCTCCCTACAAGGCTCCTACCACCTGGCCACTGCTGCAGCCCGTCCATCGCTGTAAGCCTGACTCCCAACCCTGCCTGCAGCCGCCCGCCCTCCTAGCGTGGCCACTCTCCTACCACTCTGGCGCACTGCAGTCTCCGTCACTGCCACCCACCCGCAGCGAGGTGAGCCGTGGTGTTGCAGGCTCTAGGTGTCTCCTCCTCCTCCTGGCATGGAGCAGCTGGGCGGGCAAAGCCAGAAAAGCCTAGAGGAAGTTGTGAGGAGTGGAAGCGTTAGAGCCTCAAGTTGTCGTGCCGGCCACTGGGTGGCAGGGGCCAGTTTCAGCAAAGGCACTCACACCCACCCTCCAAAGTCCAGCCTCTCCTTTTGGCCCAAGCTGGCTGGGAACTGGGGTCTGGGGTGGGTGCTGGAGACACCACAGCACCCAGCTCCCCACTCCACAGGAACCACTGGGCCCACCGGGGCTGCACTCCTCGGGGAACAGGAGAAGCAGAAAAATTCAGACCCAGCCAGCCCTCCGCACCCAGGTGCCAATTCCTGTTCCGGATGCCTCCACACACAGGGCCCTGTTCCCCGTGGTGTCCCCAGGGGTGCCTGGCAGCCTCTGAGGCACAGACCCAGAGTGCACAGGCTCAGGAACCACGGTGGGTGTGGGGGCTCTGCCATGCTCAGGATTCCCATGCAAACGCTGCGTGCCCTGCCGCACTCCAGTATGACCAAGAGTGGTTCGCCCTCTGGAGTGTGGAGTCAGGGAGAGGAGAACCACTCCTTCCTTGGATGCCAACTCTGTTGACTGCCGCCAGCAGTGCAGCCCCTGATAGCACCGAACTCGCCCCCGCTCCACGGCTAGTCCTGCCCTCAATAGCGCCCCCCACCTCCGTCCCCCAATGCCGCCAGTAGCATATACCCGATATGCCCTAACCTGTCCTCCTCCATGGGCATTGCAGCCCCAGAAAGCACCCATAACCCACCCTCCCTGCTGTGGGCAGTGCAGCCCTGTGCAGTGCTACCAACCAGTACCCCTAATGCAGGCAATGACACCCTGGATAGCGCCCCCAACCCACCCCACACTGCGAAAGGTGCAGCCCTGGATAGCCCCTGTCCTACCACTCTGGTCATGCTGCAGTCTCTGTCACTGCCACCACCAACTACAGTGAGGCAAGCCAGTGGGCCGCAGGCTCTAGCTCCCAGCAGCCAGGCATGGAGCAGCTCTCGCTGATGGCCGGCTCCTACCACACTGACCATGCTGCTCTCTGTCTCCGTGGCAATCTTCTTTCACTACAAAGAAATAAAACTAGGTATCAATAAGAAAAGTAATTTTGGAAACAATACAATCACATGGAAGTTAAACACTACCCTCCTGAATAAATGACCTGAATAAATAAAGGTCAATGAAGATACTAAGACAGAAATTCAAAAATTTCATGAAACAAAGGGTAATGAAAACACAGTATACCAAAACTTGTTACGCAGAAAGCAGTACAAAGGCAGAGATTTACAGCTATAAGTGCCTACCATCCAAACAAAAGAAAAACTTCAAATAAACAATACATCTTAAAGAACTAGTAAAGTAAGAACAAACTAAACCGAAAATAAGAAAATAAATAAGATCGTAGCAGAAACAAAATTGAAATAAAAAACACACAAGATTAAACGAAAAGTTGGTTTTCTGGAAAGCTAAACAAAATTGACAAACTTTTAACCAGCCTAAGAAAAGAGACAAGATTCAAATAAATAAAATCAACAGATTAAAAAAAGGAGACATTACAACTAATACTTCAGAAATTCAAAGGATCATAACTGGCTATTATATGCCAATAAATTGGAAAGCCTAGTAGAAATTGGCAAATTCCTAGATGCATACAACCTACTTAGGTTAAACAATGAAAACATCCAAGACCAGAACAGATTGGTAACAAGTAATGAGATTGAAGCCATCAGAAAAAGTCTCCCAGTAAAGAAAAGCCCAGGAACTGATGATGTCTTCACTGCTGATGGCTTCACACCAAACAATTTAAAGACCTAGTACAAATCCTGCTCAAATTATTTTGAAAAACAGGAGGGAATACTTCCAAACTTATTCTATGAGACCATTATTACTGTGATACGAAAATCAGATAAAAGCATCAAAGAAGAAAACTACAGGACAGGATCTCTAATATTGATGCAAAAATCCTCAACAGAATACCAGTGAATCAAATTCAGTAATACATTAAAAAGATAATTCATCATGATCAACTGGGATGTATCCCTGGAATGCAAGAGTCACTCAACATACAATGTGATACATCATATCAACCAAATAAACGACAAAAACCGTATGATCATGTCAACTGAAACCAAAAAAGCATGTGATGAAATTCAACATCCCTTCATGCTATAAATCCTCAAAGAAACAGGCACAGAAGAAACATACCGCAACATAATAAAAACTACAGGAAAGACACCCACAGCTAGAATCATATGGAATGGGGAAAAATGGAAAGCTTTTCCTCTAAGATCTGGAACATGATAAGGATGCCCCCTGTCACCACTGTTGTTTAACATAGTACCAGAAATCCTAGCTAAAGCAATCAGTGCAGCCCCTGATATGGCCCCCAACCCACCCTGCCCCCTACCACCAGCAGTGTCGCCCCCCCCCAATAGCACACCCAACATACCCTAACCGCCCCGCCTCCCCGCACCATGGGCATTACAGCAGCCCATAGCGCCCTCAACCCAAAACCGCCACCCCCCCCCACAGCCACACAGTGCAGCCCCAGATAGCACACTTAACCCACCTCACTGTTGCCAGCAATACAGTCTGGGATAGTGCCCCCAACCGGCTCCCCGCCAAAGGCAGTGCAGCCCCGGTTTGAGCCCCCAAACCGCCCCCCCCCCGCCCCCGGGCAGGCAGCACAGCCCCAGATAGCACACCCAACCAGCCACCCAAGACGGGCAGTGACGCCTGAGATAGGGCTCCCAACCCGTCCCAGGCCACCAGCAGTGCAGCCTGGATGGCGCACTTACCCCAATGCCTTTCTACACTGGCTGGCTGCAGTCTCCATCGCTGCCACCAACCACAAACATGGCTGCAAACAGGAAGGATTTTATTCACCGTCGATGCGGCCCCGAGTTGTCCCAAAGCGAGGCAGTGCCCCAAGGTCTATGCAGAGCAGAACGCAGCTCCGCCCTCGCAATGCTCTCCGGGTCTGTGCCGAGGAGAACGCAGCTCCGCCCTTGCAAAGGCACACAGCGCCGGTGCCGGCGTGGCGGAGAAGCGGACAGCGGCGGAGAGGCGGTCGGCGGCGGCGCGGCGGAGAGGCGGTCGGCGGCGGCGCGGCGGAGAGGCGGTCGGCGGCGGGGCGGCGGAGAGGCGGTCGGCGGCGGGGCGGCGGAGAGGCGGGCGGCGGCGGCGCGGCGGAGAGGCGGGCGGCGGCGGCGCGGCGGAGAGGCGGGCGGCGGCGGCGAGGCGGGCGGCGGCGGCGAGGCGGGCGGCGGCGGCGCGGCGGAGAGCGGCGGCGCGGCGGAGAGCGGCGGCGCGGCGGAGAGCGGCGGAGAGGCGCACAGCGGCGGCGCAGGCGCACAGCGGCGGCGCAGGCGCGGAGAGGCGCAGGCCCAGGCTCCACTCCCCAGCTCTGAAAACTCATCCTGGTCAGAGTTCAGAAGGACATGTGGAGTATAAGGTCAGATGCGGAGATAAAGGGAGATGGTGTGGCCCTCCTGCCTGGGGGTGCTGAGCAGGTTGCTGGAGGCGGTGATCTCACTCTGAAGGAGACAGACACAGAAATGTGTGTACAGTTGATGGTGAGCATCTGAGTTGCGTCTTGTTAGTGAGGCCAGGAGTGCCTGTGTAAGCTGGAACAGATTAGGTATATGATTTGTGAAACGGAGTTTCATCCTAGATCTTCATCTAGTCAAAGGACTGTTTCCTGATTAGGCATTAGCTTAGTGGTTGCTAGTCTGTGTTGACCTTTGAAAGGCATGACTAGGCTAACTCTGAAGTTTCTGCTTCACACCATTTACAATTTAAAATTACCTAGAGCCTTGTGGGCCATTGGAAGAGACTGAATGTTTCACTCTGAAATGGGAGTCCTTGGAGGGTTTTGAGCAGAGGAGAGACATTCAGGTAATCAGATCACTCTGCCAAGACATCAGTCCGGTAGAGATCAGTCCGGTGGCACAAACCAGAGGGCTGGCAGTGGAGATGAGACAAAGAGTCAAACCCGGATAGAGTTTATTTGGAAGCTGGGTCAGTAGGATCTCCTGGTGGACTGAATGTGGGGTGTGTGAGGAAATGAGGATGGCGACTGGAAGTTCCTGGAAGGATGGGTTGTTGCAGGTTAGATAGGAAACTGTCTGCAGATGCAGTTTTGGGAAGATGATGTTTGTTTCGGCTGGGTATCATGCAGACAAGCGGAGTGTCAAGTCTGGAGAGACAGGTCTGGCCAGGGACTTAGATGTACAGCCCTCAGCATGTAGATGCCACTTAACTCTGTGAGGTGGCCGGGGAGTGAGTGCAGAGTGACTGGGAGGAGCAAGACTGGCATGGGCGAGATGGGGCGATTGCGGCCGTGAGGCCTGAGCAGTGCCTAGGAGGGAGAGGGAGAAGCAGTGTGAGCCTGCAGGCACGCAGGAGTCCAGTTGTACACGGAGGCGAAACACTGTTCAGATCCCGCTGCAGTGTTAACTATGGTAAAGGCAGAGTTGACCACCGGAGGAGTCCTTCAGCGTGGAGGCCTTCAGCGATCTTGGCAAGCACCAATTTTCATGGATGTAGGAGAATGGGAGCAGAGGAACTGGAGGCTGCAACTGTGGAAAACTTTTGTGGGGTTTTGCTGCAGAGAGAAGCAGAGAAATGAAGCAGTTTTTGGTGGAAGAAGTGGAATCAAAAGGTTTTGAGATGAGAGAGAGAACAGAGGGAAGAGCTGTTGGAATAAAGTCCAGGAAGAGTGGATGGTGTCTAGTGAGCAAGTGATGTGTGGCCCTGAGTAGAGGCATGGACAAATCATCTGTGCCTGAGCTGCCCGTAGAACTTTCTGTGATCATGGAGATGCACATCTGTGCTTCCCAATATTGTAACACTGGCCACAGGTTGATACGGACCACTTCCAGTGTGACTAGTGTGATTGAGGAACTGCATTTTAAATATTATGTAATTGTAATTAATTTTAATTTAAATAGCCACACATAGCTCCTCTATGGGGCAGGTCAGAGCTCTGATAAGGCTGGATATGGGAGGAAACCCTGGTATAGGGTTGACCGTAGAGGTTCTTTTGGTTTTGGAGTGAATCAGGAAACAGCCATCAGCTGAGTGAAGGTGAGGGTGGTGGTGGGTGTTTGAAGACAAGGGAAAAGTGTGAAAGAATTATTTGGAGAGGAAGGAAAGAAAGTGTGGACTGGGGATGTTTCTAATGTTTGAGCACGCAGGGCTCCACAGTTATCTACATTTGCTGTCCCTTGGAGCAGGAGAGAAGAAAATGGTTGGGACATATTCTGAACAGACTGTAGAGGTAAAATGTGTAGGGTTTTTTTTTGTTTTTTTGTTTTTTGAGATGGAATCTCGCTCTATTGCCCAGGCTGGAGTGCAGTGGCACGATCTTGACTCACTGCAACCTCCGTCTCCCAGGTTCAAGCGATTCTCTCACCTCTGCCTCCTGAGTAGTTGGGACTACAGGCACGCACCACCATGCCCAGCTGATTTTGGTATTTTTAGTAGAGACAGGGTTTCACCATGTTGGCGAGGCTGGTTTCAAACTCCTGACCTCATGTGATCTGCCCGCCTCGGCCTCCCAAAGTGCTGGATTACAGGCATGAGCCACTGTACCCGGCCAAATGTGTAGTATTTTTAATAGGATAAAGCCTACATAATTCTGTCCACAGTTCCTTTACTTAGAAATTGCTCATTTGTTCATGTTAATCCTATGTTTATTACAAATAACAGCATACAGGTTTCCGCCCCCCCCCACCCCATCATGTACAGCTGAATCACGTAGAATTTGAAGATCAAGATGATGAAGCCAGAGTTCAGTATGAGGGTTTTCGACCTGGGATGTATGTCCGCGTTGAGATTGAAAATGTTCCCTGTGAATTTGTGCAGAACTTTGACCCCCATTACCCCATTATCCTGGGTGGCTTGGGCAACAGTGAGGGAAATGTTGGACACGTGCAGGTGGGTCCCTTTGCTGCGTATTTGGTGCCTGAGGCTCTGTGGATTTCCCCTCCATCAATCATCTTACCCTCTCATCCCCTTCAGATGCGTCTGAAGAAGCATCGCTGGTATAAGAAAATCCTCAAGTCCCAAGATCCAATCATATTTTCTGTAGGGTGGAGGAGGTTTCAGACCATCCTGCTCTATTATATCGAAGACCACAATGGAAGACAAAGGCTTCTAAAGTATACGCCACAGCACATCCATTGTGGAGCAGCCTTTTGGGGTAAAATATGATTACAATAACTTGCCTATTGCCGAGATTAAACTTTACAGGCTGTGTTATTTTAGCTTTGTGCTTTTCCTTTCATAAAATTCCACTCCTAAGATGTTTCTCTTTTCTGGGAGCGGGGAGGTGGTTTGGAGTATATATGTACATCTATATCCAAATCTAAGTGTCCATATCCAGTATGTTAAACTAGAATCTAAAATTTCTGGTTTGCTATATTTCTTTTTTTCCTTTTCCTTTAAGACCCTATCACTCCACAGGGAACTGGTTTCTTGGCAATACAGTCTGTCAGTGGCATAATGGTAACTATCTTGGACGATTTCTTTTACAGATTGGTTTGAGAAATATATCCTGAATGTGGGTTATTATGTACATGAGACTTTAAGTTGAAAATTACTCATTTTTATTAATATAAAGTAAATTTCCCTTTGCTTTTAATCTTCGTACATCCTTTTCAGTAGGGTGTGGGATTAGAGGAGGGGAGGTGGAAGAATTATAATGGTACATTTCCTATTTTTATGCATCTTTTGCATTTATTTATCCAAGCAAGTATTTAAGCAGTGCTCACCATGTGCTAAGCACTATATGAGGTTATGAGGAGCCATCAGAGACCACCCAGACACAAGACTCCCTGCAGCTGTGCTGGGGTAGCATTCTGTTCACTCCATTTTCATTTGACCAGTCAGGCAGGGCAGGGTTTACTGGTCCCATTTAACAGAGAAGAAAGCAGAATAATGAGCAGATGGAATCTTCCCTGGAGGTCCAAATTTTAATTTCCTAAACATTGCAACTGTATTTTTCTTTTCCATTTCGTTCCAAATAAATTATTATAGTAAAATTACATTCCTCTGAAATCACTCTCAGGAAAGTACTCAAGTAGCCTTTTTTTTTCTTTCTTTTTTTTTTTTTTTTTTTTTTGAGACCGAGTCACACTCTGTCTTCCAGGCTGGAGTGCAGTGGCACGATCTTGGCTCGCTGCAACCTCTGCCTCCTGGGTTTAAGCGGTTCTCCTGCCTCGGCCTCCCGAGTAGCTGGGATTACAGGTATGCACCATCATGCCGAGCTAATTTTTGTATTTTTAGTAGAGACGGAATTTCGCCATGTTGGCCAGACTGGTTTCAAACTTCTGACCTCAGGTGATCCACCTGCCTTGGCCTCCCAAAGTGCTGGGATTACAGGTATGAGCCACTGTGCCTGGCCTCAAGTCACCCTTGTTAGTTTGGCTTACCAACTTTAAAGTTTTGGATTGCTTTTGTCAAACCAATGGGTTGCAAGTTCAGATGGTCTCTCTTGTTTTTCTTAACTAATTGTAAGTAAAATTCACTTTGGTAATTTATTGTGTCACATAGAATTGAAGTTTTTCTCTTGCTAATATTATTCCTATTTTCAAATTTTGGGGCTCCTGTTAGCCTGATTTTCGGATAGCTGCCACAGGAGTTGTCCTTGATCTGGATAAATCCATAAAAATTGTGAAGAAATTAAAGCTAACTGGTTTTCCATATAAAATTTTCAAGAACACTTCATTTATTAAGGTCTGTATATCTATATATTCTCATATTTATAAATGTCCATATTGTTTGAGAAAAGGAATGAAATACCTCTAAAATGTGGGCCTCTTATTTTTAGAAAAGTGTTTGAAATCTTTTATAAACTTCATATTTTGTTTGCTCCTTTATATTCTGTATTACTTAAATATGCGCAAAAAAGCAGTGGTAAACAGCTATTTAGGAATTGAGGCTGTTACTCCTGACTTCCATGTGAGACTGCCACAGAACTCATATTGAAAATATGTCATTTTATCCACTAGGTTTTGTTTCCTACTTTTTAAATTGGTGTTAAGAAAGGGAAAAAAATCACAAGTTTGTCTAACTCAGTAGAAAAATCGACAAAGCATTTGCAGACAACTTGGCAAGGGTACAGAGAAATGGATGTACTGTTTTTCAGTATTTTGGGAGGGTGGTTTGAGCAGCATTTATTGACAATTTCATTAGTGGGGATGTTTCTATTGAAAACAGAGTTAGGAAGTCATAAAATGTTCTTGCAATATAAGGTAATAATACCACTGGCGTTTATCTTACTGTTTTCATGTTCTAAGTGCATGCATCTGAGTAAAAGGATCTGGGCTGCAGTCCAGTCTGAGAGATGCCAGCAAAGGCTTCCTAGGCCAATTCAGTCCAGTAAATCCCTCTTCGATCTTCTCTTCCACACAGACAGCAGTGATGAGCATGCCCATGAACTCACATGATTATTTTGGGGAAAATGAAAGAGTTGTATTCTTTTTGAGGTAGTAATTCCACTTTCAGGGGCAAATACATTTTGATTATTTTATCACCCTTCAGTGAGTTGTTTTTGTTCTTTAATCACGGATGTATGTTTGAAGTAAGAAGTAAAGCATAAAGTATATGATTTTGTGTGTGTGTGTGTTTT
Organism: Homo sapiens; assembly: GCF_000001405.40. Taxonomy (NCBI): domain Eukaryota; kingdom Metazoa; phylum Chordata; class Mammalia; order Primates; family Hominidae; genus Homo; species Homo sapiens. The sequence goes on along the minus strand of NC_000009.12, from coordinate 64,706,418 downwards.
TATCTTGCTATACCTGTAGGGAATGTTTAATTCTGCCTTGGAAGTGGCCAAATTTGAAGATGCTGTGATTCGAACTGTCAGTGGGATAAGGGGGCAGATCAAGAGAGCACTCTGAGCTCCAGAAGGAGCTTTCCAGGATAGCTTTGAGGATAAGCTGCGGATGAGCGGTGAGTGTCTTAAGTAGTGTTCAGGGCAGGGTGTTACCATTCATGCTTGACTTCTAGCCAGTGTGACGAGAGGCTGGAGTCAGGTCTCCAGAGAGTTGAGCAGCTCCAGCCTTAGATCTCCCAGTCTTATGCAGTGTGCCCATTTGCCTTGTGTCTGCAGTCCCCTGGCCACACTCAGTAACAGTTCTTTGATCTATAAGAATAGTTTCCTTAGCGAGCTTTCCCTTCAAATACTTTGCAGTCAGGTAGAGAAGTTTGGAGTGAAGATTTTGTTCTTTGTTTCTTCACAATATGGATATGAATCTTCTTTTGAAAACGTTAAAGTAAATTACCTCTTTTCAGATATTGTCTTCATGCGAACTTGGTATCCTGTTTCCATCCCAGCCTTCTATAACCCAGTAACATCTTTGTTGAAACCAGTGGGTGAGAAAGACACCTGGTCAGGAATGTGGACCACGGGCCAACTCAGGCTCGCCCATGGTGTCAGACTAAAGACAAACAAGGACTCTCTGTATAAGGTACTGGTCGTGTGTGTGTTAGTGGAGATGAAGCCTGTGCTCTACAGACAGGGAGTCACACAGACACTTTTCTATAATTTCTTACATACTTTGAATGTTCAAGTATAAAGTCTAATGTTAAATTTGATTGAACAATTGTATATTTGTGGGATATTTTGGAATGGAACACCAAAAAATGGTAATAGTGGTTCTTTCTGGATTGAAGGAAAACTTTTCTTTTTTAAAATAAATTTTATTTTATATATTTGAGGTTGACAACATGATCTTAAAGGATACATATAGATAGTAAACTGGTTACTATAGTGAAGCAAATTAACATAGCTACCATCTCACATAGTTAGATTTTTGTTTGTGTGACAGGAACAGCTAAAATCTACTTATTTAACAAAAATCCCAAAGACAATATATTTTTATTAACTATTGCCCTCATGATGTACACTAGATCTCTAACTTGTTCATCCTACATGTCTGCTACTTTGTATTATTTTAATGTACATCTCCCCATTTCCTATTGGTCATTTCCTATTTGGCCCATTTTTCAACTGGGTTGTTTTTCTGCTCTTAAGTTGTAAGAGTTCTTTACTGATTTTTGGATATTAACACTTTATCAGATATGTGGTAGCAAATATTTCTTCCAGTCTGTAGGTTCCCCTTTCATTTTGTTGGTTGTTCCTTTGCTGTGCAGAAGCTTTTTAGTTTGATGCAGTCCTCCTTGTTTATGTTTACATTTGTAGCCTGGCTTGTGGTGCGATATCCAAAAAATTATTGCTAAGGCCAATGTCAAGAGGCTTTCCCCCTATGTTTTCTTCTAGGAGTTTTATGGTTTCAGGTCTTATTTGGGTCTTTGGTCTTGTATCTGTTTTGAGTTGATTTTTGTGTATGGTGTATGATCAGGGTCCAATTTTATTCTTTTGCATGTGAAAATCCTATTATTGAAGAGACTATCTTTTTTACCATTGTGTTGTCTTGTTTGCCCTTGTCAAAAATTAGTTGACAGTATATGTTTGGATTTATTTCAAAGGTCTCTGTTACGTTCCATTGGTCTATTTTTTTGTTTTTATGCCAGCACCATACTGTTTTGATTACTATAGCTTTGTAATGCAATTTTAAATCAAGAGGTGTGATGCCTCCAACTTTTTCTTTCACAGTGATCTGTTGGCTGTTTGGGGTTTTTTGTGGTTCCATATGAGTTTCAGGATTGTTTTTTCTTTTCTTTTCTTTTTTTTTTTTTTTTTGAGGTGAAGTCTCACTCTGTCACCCAAGCTGGAGTGCAGTGGCATAATCTCGGCTCACTAAAACCTCTGCCTCCTGGATTCAAGCAATTCTTCTGCCTCAGCCTCCCAGGTAGCTGGGACTACAGGCACATGCCACTATGCCCGGCCAATTTTTGTAGTTTTAGTAGAGACAGGGTTTCACTATGTTGGCCGGGCTGGTCTCCAACTCCTGACCTCATGATCCACCCGCTGCAGTCTCCCAAAGTGCTGGAATTACAGGCGTGAGCCACTGTGCCTGGCCAGGATTGTTTTATTCTGTTCTGTGAAGAATGTCATCAGAACTTTGATGAGGATTGTGTTAAATCTGTATATTTGCTTTGGGTAGTGTGAACATTTTAACAATATTAATTCTTCTGATCCATAAACATAGGATGTCTTTTCATTTGTTCATGTCTAAATTTCTTTCATCAATGTTTTATGGTTTTTAAGTGTACACATCTCTCACCTTCTTGGTTAAATTTATTCCTAAGTTTTTGTTTTTCTTTGATGCTATCGTAAATGAGATTATTTTCTTGATTGCTTCATCAGCTAGGTTATTTGTATACAGAAATGCAACTGATTTTTATATGTTGAGTTTATACCTTGCAGCTTAACTGAATTGATTTAGTAGCTCTCACAGTTTTTTGTGGACTCTTTGGAGTTTTTTACGTAAAGGATCTTGTCATCTGCAAATAGAGATAATTTTACTTCTTTAATTTAGTTGCCTTTTTTTTCTCATCTGATTGCTCTTGCAAGTACTCTGTTGAATAAAAGTGATGAGGCTGGCCATCCCTATCTTGTACTCAATCTTAGTGGAAAAGCTTTAGTTGTTCCCCACTAACTATGATTAGACTGTGGGTTTTTCATAAATGGTGTTTATTATGTTGAGGAACTTTCCTTCTATACATAAACTATTAAGAGGTTTTATCAAGAAATGTTGCTAAACTTTGTTAAATGCTTTTACTGCATCAATTGAGGTGACCATGTCATTTTATCTTTCATTTTGTTAATGTGATGTATCACATTGATTGATTTACATATTTTAAACCAGCCTTGCATGCCAGGGATAAATCCCACTTAAACACGATGTATAATGTTTTTGATGTGTTGTTGAATTCTATTTGCTAAAATTTTTTTAGGATGTTTGCATCAGTATTTAATTTATTGGAGAAGTTGACCTGTAGTTTTTGTTCGGTGTGTGCGTGTGTGTGTGTGTGTGTGTGTGTGTGTGTGTGTGTGTGTGTTTTGGTTTGGCTTAGGTATTAAGGTGATACTGGCCTGGTAAAATGTGTTTGGAATTATTTCCTCTCACTCTGTTTTTGCGAAGAGTTTAAGAAGTAAACTCCCAGGGGATGGGAGTGACTCTGGACATGGGAGTGACATGATAGTGACTCTGGACCCTGCAGTGGTGGGACACAGCAGCATCTCAGTCTCTGAAAGGCCAGGCACAGCATCAGCAAGGACCCCAGAATGGTGGAGCACTACTGTGGCTTGAGCCCTCGGGGGCAGGGACCAGTACAGCAACTACTTCTCTCCCTGGGGAGGCAGGTGCCTGGGCAACTCAGATTCTCCAGGGCTAGTCCAGTTCCAAGGAAGCAGGGTTCTACAGTTGTTTGTCCTGAAGGGCAAGGTACCCCAGTTCAGCCAATGCCGTTTTCCTGGGATATGGGGGTGCCATGTTGGCTCATCCCTGGCAGGTGTGGCTGCTCAGCTCAGCCAAGACACTGATTCTCTGTGAAGCAGGGCAGTGCTTCAGCTCTCATGCAGTGGGGGGTGTGACTGCTTAGACTGGCCAAGACACTGATTCCCTGGAAAGCAGGGCACCAAGTCAGCTCAGGCTCCAAGGGGCAGGGCGCAATGGCAGCTGGGAGGGGAGGGGCACAGCAGCGTGGCCCCGCAGGTGGGGTGTGTGCTGTGATGTGGACATCATTTGTTCCCACCAGCCATTTGAAATTTCATCCATTTGAAATTTGATTTCAAATGTGGTGGTGTGGGAGGTGGGGCCTAGTGGGAGTTATTTGAGTCACAGGGCAGATCCTTTATGAATAGATTAATGCCTTTTCATGGGACTGGATTAGTTACCAGGAGTGGATTGTTATCAGAGTGAGTTCAGCTTCCTAGACTCTTGTGTTTCCTCTCTTGCCATGTGAGCCCCTTGCATACACCTGTTTCGCCTTCCACTTTCCCCATGAGATGAAGCAGCACAAGACCCTCACCAGTTGTGCTGCCCGATCTCGGACTTTTCAGACACAAGCAGGGTGAGCCAAATAAACCTTTTTTATAAAATAAGTTACCCCGAGTCTCAAGTATTCTGTTACAGCCACACTAAATGGCCTAAGACAGTGTAACAGCGGCTCAGGGGTGGTGAGCCACTAGGTGGGTGTGATATAGAGCAACAAAGCCTGAGGATGGAAGAAGGGTGCGGTGGCTGCTCACCCTGGGTGGGACATGCTCCCGAAGTGGTCCAGGTCCAGGAGGGCACGTTGCAGCAGCAGCTGGTCCATGGGGGTGGGGCACAATGTCAGTTCCTTCTCTGAGGGGAGTGCTGGGGCTACTGGGCCCCTCTTGCTTCCTTATTCCTGCAGGGAGACATCCCCTCTGCTTCAGGCTGATCCCTCTGGGGGAATGGGTGGTGGGGGCCAGATGTTTCCTTCCCTCCTTTATGTGACCGTCCTGTTTTCCGGGCTCTACTGGATTTCTGCTACTCCTTGATGCACTCTGGGGCTCTCCTTTAGTGACTTTCATCAAAATATAGCTGTTTGCTGCTTTGGCTGTCTTTGTCAGGGGATGAGTGCAAGGGGCTATTGATCAGCCCTTAGCTGGCATCACTCCCTCTTAAACTTTTCACTGGATACTCTTTTGAACTGTTTTTTTCCCCCACCATATACATGTATTTTTTAAACGCTAATGTGCTAATTTCTACTGAAGCAATGTGGATTTTTCTGAAAGCTTTAATGTTTTAATAAGCTTTTTATTGAAATGTTAATGTACATACAGAAGAGTGCCCGAATCATAAGTGTGCATCTAGATGAACTGTAGCACACCAGGCTGCCACGCCCTGGACCAAGCAGTAGCCTTGACCTGTGGCCTCTCCCAGGCACTGCTGCCCCAACCCACAAAATAGCTACTTTCCCAGTTCCTGATGTAGATTTGTTCTGCCTGGTTTTGACTTCTATAAAATACAGCACATTCTATTTAGCCTGGCTTCTTTGGTTCAGTATTACAGAACACATCCATGTTCTTGTCTATGGCAGACATTGATTTATCGTCATTGTTGAGTTCCATTATATGACTGTGTCACCATTTTTCCATTGATGAGTAAAATGATTTCCTATTTTTGGCTGTTATCCCACAGCCCTGAACAGTAGGTCTGCATATGGGACTTGCAGGTATGCAGGGGCACACCCACTTCTGCTGGAGGATCCCTGGGTGGGGTGGAGACTCCAGGGCACCTGTGCTCTGCTTCAGTGTGGAGGCTTCTGTGTTGTGTTCTGGGAGCACAGTGGCTTGGCCTCCGCCACCAGCAGCAGCTTGAAGAGTTCCTGCTGTTCCACATGCTTGCCAACAATTGGCCTCTTCAGTTTTTTTTTTTTTTTTTTAGGTTTTCAGTGCCTGCCTGGACTTGTGTTTTCATTTAGATTTTGGTTTCTTAGAACTTTCGTTATTCTCTTCACAGCTTAACAATGCATTTGAAAAGATTTGTTTTCATGTGGAGTATTCAGTTTTGTAATAGGAGGGTTGTTCAAGGCATCAGTCTGCCACTCTGCTAGAAACAGAATTCTCCCAGGCATTTCTTTTTATATAAAGTAGTTAATGAAATTTTGAACCATCTTACATGAATTTTTATTAAAATACACTTCAGGATGTGGTGCCCATTATCCATTCTACTCTTTTGTAACAAGTAGATTTCTCTGAATTCTTGAATTTGAAAACAATTGGGGTTCCTAAACAGAGAATATGGAATATTATTGGGGATGATGTCTTTAATAATACATCTCAAGATAGGAGAAACTTTTTCTATATAGTTGACTTTAATAAAAGCCTAGGGCAAAACTTTCAATATATTAACAGTATTTATGAGGCAGTTAAGAATTTGGGTCATCTCTGTCTCCACTAAAAATACAAAAAGTTAGCCAGGTGTGGTGGCGGGTGCCTGTAGTCCCTGCTACTTGGGAGGCTGAGGCAGGAGAATGGTGTGAACCCGGGAGGTGGAGGTTGCAGTGAGCCGAGATCATGCCACTGCACTTTAGCCTGGGCAACAGAGCGAGACTGCGTATCAAAAAAAAAAAAAAAAAAGAATTTGGGTCATCTCAATTAAACATAGAATTTAAGATTACATTGAAAATTCAGTACAGAGTATTTTGCCTTCATCTGTTGTTTGAGTCTCCCTTCTTTCAGCCATCCTTCCATCAGAAATAGAATACCAAGTTAAACTTCTTAATTAGAATCAGGAATCAGGACTCTTTGGCTGCTGATTGAAGGAAGAACTGTCCTTAAATCCAGAGTGGGCCGGGCATGGTGGCTCATGCCTGTAATCCTAGCACTTTGGGAGGCCAAGGCAGATGGATCACCTGAGGTCAGGAGTTCAAGAGCAGCATGACCAACATGGTGAAACCCCATCTCTACTGAAAATACAAAAATTAGCCGGGCGTGGTGGTGTGTGCCTATAGTCCCAGATACTTCGGAGGCTGAGATAAGAGAATTGCTTGAACCTGGGAGGTGGAGGTTATGTGAGCCAAGATCACGCCACTGCACTCTAGCCTGGGCGACAGGGCGAGACTCCATCTCAAAAAAAAAAAAAAAAAAAAAAAATCCAGAGTGGTTGGTAGTCAAGACAAAAAGCTAGATTATTTTTGTTAGTCTGGGAACTAAAAAAAATAGTTGTAACTTTGAAGCCTTTTTATGGATCAACATGAAGATTGAGGGATCTCAAACAGAAAGGGCATCCTGGTGGCAAAGGTTAATCATTACCAGACTGCAAGAGTAGTTTCAATGGCAAGAAAGCAGCAACAGAATCAATGAAAACAAAGCAATGATTAGAATGCCCTTTCCCCTTCTCCTCCTGACTTGTAGACACTGATTGTCTTCCTTGGACTTAGGGAACCCCTTAGGTTCTTGAAAAATTCAATGATCAGGCTATAGTAGATGGTCCCCAGTACACAGCACAAGATTTTTTGATAAACTGGACATTTTGAAACCCAAATAACTAATTAGAAAAATCAAACATGTGAAACTACTTTATCCCATGCATAGGGGTTATACTGGAAATAAAATGTACAACATTGGAATCCTGAAGGAGAAAAGTCCTAAAAGTTTCAATATCAAGAATCCTGCACCTGCTGCTACTTATCTAGCCTTTTGCTTGATTTCTGGCTGATGAACTTGCACAACTCTTGAAAACTTAAAAACTTGAAAATTTGTCACTTGAAAACTACTTGAACCAAACTATGAAATCTCACCTGATATATAAGATGCAATTGTTACAATTATTTTAAACTTCAATTTACTGTTTTGCTCTATCAAAAGAAAGTTTCAACTCTGTTAGTTGAGTACACACATCCTAAACAAGTTTCTGAGAATGCTTCTGTCTAGTTTTTATGGGAAGATATTTCCTTTTTCACCTTAGGCCTCAATGCGCTCCAAATGTGCACTTCCAGATACTACAAAAAGAGTGTTTCAAACCTGCTCTATGAAAGGGAATGTTCAACTCTGTGACTTGAATGCAAACATCACAGAGATGTTTCTGAGAATGCTTCTGTCTAGATTTTATATGAAGATATTCCCGTTTCCAACGAAATCCTCAAAGCTATCCAAATATCCACTTGCAGATTCTACAAAAAGAGTGTTTCAAAACTGCTCTATCAAAAGAAAGGTTCAACTCTGTCAGTTGAGTACACACATCACAAACAAGTTTCTGAGAATGCTTCTGTCTAGTTTTTATGGGAAGATATTTCCTTTTTCACCATAGGCCACAAAGCGCTCCAAATGTCCAGTTGCAGATACTACAAAAAGAGTGTTTCAAACCTGCTCTATGAAAGCGAATGTTCAACTTTGTGACTTGAATGCAAACATCACAAAGACGTTTCTGATAATGCTTCTGTCTAGATTTTATCTGAAGATATTCCCGTTTCTAACGAAAACCTCAAAGCTATCCAAATATCCACTTGCAGATTCTACAAAAAGAGTGTTTCAAAACTGCTGTATCAAAGGAAAGGTTCAACTCTGTGAGTTCAGTACACACATCACAAGGAAGATTCTGAGAATTCTTCTGTCTAGTTTTTATGGGAAGATATTTCCTTTTTCACAATAGTCCTCAACGCCCTCCGAGTTTCCATTTGCAGATTCGACAAAAAGAGTGTCTTAAAACTGCTCTGTGAAAAGGAATATTCAACTCACTGAGTTGATTGCAAGCACCAAAAAGAAGTTTCTGAGAATGCTTCTGTCTAGTTTTTATGTGAAGATATTCCCGTTTCCAATGAAAGCTGCCAAGCTATCCAAATATCCACTTGTAGATACTACAAAAAGACTGTTTCAAACTGGTGTATCAAAAGAAATGTTAAACTCTGTGAGTTGAGTACACACATCACAAAGAGGTTTCTGAGAATGCTTCTGTCTTGTTTTTATGTGAAGATATTCCTGTTTCCAACAAAATCCTCAAAGCTATCCATATATCCACTTGCAGATTCTACAAAAAGTGTGTTTCAAAACTGCTCTATCAAAAGAAAAGTTCAACTCTGTGAGTTGAGTACACACATCACAAAGAAGTTTCTGAGAATTCTTCTGTCTAGTTTTTATGGAAGATATTTCCTTTCTCACCATAGGCCTCAAAGCGCTCCAAGTTTCCACTTCCATATACTACAAAAATTGTGTTTCCAAACTGCTCTATGAAAAGGAATGTTCAACTCAGTGAGTTGAATGCAAGCATCACAAAGAAGTTTCTGAGAATGCTTCTCTCTAGTTTCTATGTGAAGTTATTCCCGTTTCCAATGAAATACTCAAAGCTGTCCTAATATCCACTTGTAAAGTCTACAAAAACAGTTTTTCAAAACTGCCTTATCAAAGGAAAGGTTTAACTCTGTAAGTTGAGTAAACACGTCACAAAGTAGTTTCTGAGAATCCTTCCGTCCACTTTTTAGGTGAAGATATTTCGTTTTTCACCATAGGTCTCAAATCGCTCCAAATGTCCACTTGCAGATTTCACAAAAAGAGAGTTTCAAAACTGCTCTATGAAAGGGAATGTTCAACTCTGTGAGTGGAATGCAAAGATAACAAAGAAGTTTCTGAGAATGCTTCTGTCTAGTTTTTACATGAAGATATTCCCCCTTTACAACGAAAGCCTCAAAGCTATCTAAATATCCACTTGCAGATTCTAAAAAGGAGTGTTTCAAACGTGCTGTATCAAAAGAAAGGTTAAACTCTGTGAGTTGAGTACACACATGACAAAGAAGTTTCTGAGAATGCTTCTGTCTCGTTTTTATGTGAGGATATTTCGTTTTTTACCATAGGCCTCAAAGCGCTCCAAATGTCCACTACCAGATACAAAAAAAAAGAGTGTTTCAGAACTTCTGTATGAAAAGGAATGTTCAACTCTGAGAGTTGAATGCAAACATCACAAAGTGGTTTCTGAGAATGCTTCTGTCTGGTTTTTATGTGAAGATAATCCCGTTTCGAATGAAATCCTCAAAGATATCCAAATATGCACTTGCAGATTTTACAAAAAGTGTGTTTCAAAACAGCTCTATCAAAAGAAAAGTTCAACTCTGTTAATTGAGTACACACATCACAAAGAAGTTTCTGAGAGTTCTTCTGTCTAGTTTTTATGGGAAGATATTTCGTTTTTCACCATAGGCCTCAAAGCGCTTCAAGTTTCCACTTACAGATTCTACAAAAAAAGTGTTTCAAAACTACTCTATGAAAAGGAATGTTCCACTCAGTGAGTTGATTGCAAGCACCACAAGGAAGTTTCTGAGAATGCTTCTGTGTAGTTTTTATGTGAAGGGATACCCGTTTCCAACGAAGGCCTCAAAGCTGTCCAAACATCCACTTGCAAATACTACAACAAAAGTGGTTCCAATCTGCTCTATCAAAAGAAAGATTCAACTCTGTGAGTTGAATGCACACATCACAAAGAAGTTTCTGAGAATGCTTCTGTATAGTTTTTAATTGAAGATATTCCCGTTTCCAACGAAATCCTCAAAGCTATCCAAATATCCACTTGCAGATTCTACAAAAAGAGTGTTTCAAACCTGCTCTATCAAAAGAAAAATTCAACTCTGTGAGTTGAATGCACACATCACTAAGAGGTTTCAGAGAATGCTTCTGTCTAGTCTTTATGTGAAGGTATTCCCGTTTCCAGCGAAGGCCTCAGAGCGGTCCAAATATCCCCTTACGAAGTCTACTAAAAGAGTGTTTCAAAACTGCTCTATGATAAGGTATGTTCAAATCTGTGGGTTGAATGCAAACATCACAAAGAAGTTTCTGAGAATGCTTCTGTCTAGTTTTTATTTGAAGTTATTTCCTTTTCCACCATTGGCCTCAAAGTGCTGCAAATGTCCACTTGCAGATTCTACAAAAAAGTATTTCAAACCTGCTCTATCAAAAGAAAGGTTCAACTCTCTGAGTTGAATGCACACATCACAAAGAAGTTTCTGAGAATTCTTCTTTCTGGTTTTTATCTAAAAATATTTCCATTTCCACCGTAGGCCTAAGAGCGATCCAAATGTCCACTTGCAGATTATACAAAAACAGTGTCTCAAAACTGCTCTATCGAAAAGAAGGTTCAACTCTGTGAATTGAATGCACACATCACAAAGAAGTTTCTGAGAATGCTTCTGTCTAGTGTTTATGTGAAGGTATTCCTGTTTCCACCGAAGACCTCAAAGCACTCCAAATATCCACTTGCAGATTCTACAAAAAGTGTGTTTCAAAACTGTTCTGTCAAGAGCAATGGTGAACTCCATGAGTTGAATGCACAAATCACAAAGAAGTTTCTGAGAATGCTTCTGTCTAGTTTTTGTGTGATGATATTTCCTTTTCCAACATAGGCCTCAGAGCAGTCCAAGTATCCACTTGCAGATTCTACAAAAAGAGTGCTGCAAAACTGCTCTGACTAAAGGAATGTTCAACTCTTTGAGTTGAATGCACACATCACAAAGTAGTTTCTGTGAATGCTTCTATCTAGTTTCTGTATGAACATATTTCCTTTTCTACCATAGGTCTCAAAGCGCTCCAAATATCCACCTGCAGATTCTACAAAAAGAGTGTTTCAAAACTGCTCTACCAAAAGGAAGTTTCAACTCTCTGAGTTTAATGCAGACAGCACAAAGAAGTTTATCTGACTACTTCTGTGTTGTTTTTATTTAAAGATATTTCCTTTTCCAACACAGAGCGCAAAGGGCTCCAAATATCCACTTGCAGTTTCTTCAAAAGAGAGATTCTAAACTGCCCAATCAAAAGATAGGTTCATCTTTGTGAGTTGAATGCATACATCACAAAGAAGTTTCTCTGAATGGTTCTGTGTAGTTTTATTTAAAGATAATTCCTTTTCCACCATAGGGCACAAATGGCTCCAAATATCCACTTGTAGATTCTACAAAACCAGAGATTCAAAACTGCTCATTGAGAAGATAAGTTCGACTCAGTGATTTGAATGTACACATCACGAAGAAGTTTCTTAGAATGTTTCTGTGCAGTTTTTATTGAAGATATTTCCTTTTCCACCATAGGGCGCATTGGGCTCCAAATATCCTCTTGCAGATGCTAGAAAAAGAGAAACTCTAAACTGCTCAATCAACAGATAGGTTCAACTCTGTGAGTTGAATGCCCACATCACAAAGAAGTTTCTCAGAATGCTTCTGAGTAGTTTTTATGTGAAGATGTTTCCTTTTCCACAATAAGCAGCAAAGTTCTCCAAATATCCACTTGAAGATTCTACAAAAACGGTGTTTCAAAACTGCTCAATGAAAAGAAAGTTTCAACCCTGTGAGATGAATGCACACATCACAAAGAAGTTTCTCAGAATCCTTCTGTGTTGTTTTTATGTGAAGATATTTCCTTACCACTGTGGGCCTCAGTGGGCTCCAAATATCCACTTCCATATTCTACAAAAAGAGTGTTTCAAAACTGCTCAATCATGAGATAAATTCATCCCTGTGAGATGAATTCACACGTCATGAAGTAGTTTCACAGAATGCTTCTGTGTAATTTTTATGTGAGGATATTTGCTTTTCCACAGTAGTCCTCAAAGGGCTCCAAATATCCACCTGCAGATTCTGCAAAAAGAGAGATTCAAAACTGCTGAATCAAAAGATATTTTCAACTCTGTGAGTTGAATGCACACATCGCAAATAAGTTTGTCTGAATGCTTCTTTGTAGTTTTTATTTCAAGATATTTCCTTTTGCACCATAGGGCTCAAAGGGCTCCAAATATCCACTTGCAGATTCTACAAAAAAAGAGATTCAAAACTGCTCAATGAGAAGATAAGATCAACTCTGTGAGTTGAATGCACACCTCACAAAGAAGTTTCTCAGAATACTTCTCTGTAGTTTTTATGTGAAGATATTTCCTTTTCCACAATAGTCCTCAAAGCTCTCCAAACATCCACTAACAGATTCTGCAAAAAGAGAGATTCAAAACTGCTCAATCAAAAGATAGGTTCAACTCTGTGAGTTGAATGCACACATCACAAAGAAGTTTCTCAGAATGCTTCTGTTTAGTTTTTATGTGAACATATTTGATTTTCCACAGTAGGCCTCACAACGCTCCAAATATCCACTTGCAGATTGTGCAAAAAGAGAGATTCAAAACTGTTCAATCAAAAGATAGGTTCAACTCTGTGAGTTGAATGCATACATCATGAAGAAGTTTCTGAGAATGCTTCTGTATAGTTTTTATTTGAAGTTATTTCCTTTTCCACAGTAGGCCTCGAAGGTCTCCAAATATCCACCTGCAGATTCTGCATAAAGAGAGTTTCAAAACTGCTCAAACAAAACATAAGTTCACCTCTGTGAGTTGAATGCACGCATCACAAAGCAGTTTCTCTGAATGCTTCTATGTAGTTTTTATTTGAAGATATTTCCTTTTCCACCATAGGACGCAAAGGGCTCCTAATATCCACTTGCAGATTCTACAAAAAGAGAGATTCAAAACTGCTCAATCAAAAGATAGGTTCAACTCTGTGAGTTGAATGCACACATCACAAAGCAGTTTCTCTGAGTGATTCTGTGTAGTTTTTATGTGAACATATTTGATTTTCCACAGCAGGCCTCAAAATGCTCCAAATATCCACTTGCAGATTCAGCAAAAAGAGGTATTCAAAACTGCTCAATCAAAAGATAGGTTCAACTTTGTGAGTGGAATGCATACATCAGAAAGAAGTTTCTCTGAATGGTTCTGTGTAGTTCTATTTGAAGATAATTCCTTTTCCACGATAGGGCACAAAGGGCTCTAAATATCTACTTGCAGAATCTACAAAACCAGAGATTCAAAACTGCTCATTGAGAAGATAAGTTCAACTCAATGAGTTGACTGTACACATCATGAAGAAGTTTCTTAGAATGCTTCTGTGTAGTTTTTATTGAAGATATTTTCTTTTCCACCATAGGGTGCAAAGGGCTCCAAATATCCACTTGCAGATTATAGAAAAAGAGAGACTCTAAACTGCTCAATCAAAAGGTAGGTTCAACTCTGTGAGTTGAATGCCCACATCACAAAGAAGTTTCTCAGAATGCTTCTGAGTAGTTTTTATGTGAAGATGTTTCCTTTTCCACAATAGGCGGCAAAGTTCTCCAAATATCCACTTGCAGATTGTACAAAAATGGTGTTTCAAAACTGCGCAATGAAAAGAAAGATTCAACTCAGTGAGATGAATGCACACATCACAAAGAAGTTTCTCAGAATCCTTCTGTGTTGTTTTTATGTGAAGATATTTCCTTTCCACTATAGGCCTCAATGGGCTCCAAATATCCACTTCCATATTCTACAAAAAGAGTGTTTCAAAACTGCTCAATCATGAGATAGATTCAACCCTGTGAGATGAATGCACACGTCACGAAGTAGTTTCTCAGAATACTTCTGTGTAATTTTTATGTGAAGATATTTGCTTTTCCACAGTAGGCCTCAAAGGGCTCCAAATATCCACCTGCAGATTTTGCAAAAAGAGAGATTCAAAACTGCTCAATCAAAAGATACGTTCAACTCTGTGAGTTGAATGCATGCATCACAAAGAAGTTTGTCTGAATGCTTCTTTGTAGTTTTTATTTCAAGATATTTCCTTTTGCACCACAGGGCTCAAAGGGCTCCAAATATCCACTTGCAGATTCTACAAAAGGAGAGATTCAAAACTGCTCAATGAGAAGATAAGATCAACTCTGTGAGTTGAATGCATACCTCACAAAGAAGTTTCTCAGAATGCTTCTCTGTAGTTTTTATGTGAAGATATTTCCTTTTCCACAATAGGCCTCCAAGCTCTCCAAACATCCACATACAGGTTCTGCAAAAAGAGAGATTCAAAACTGCTCAATCAAAAGATAGGTTCAACTCTGTGACTTGAATGCACACATCGCAAAGAAGCTTCTCAGAATCTTTCTGTGTAGTTTTTATGTGAACATATTTGATTTTCCACAGTAAGCCTCAAAAGGCTCCAGATATCCACCTGCAGATTCTGCAAAAAGAGGGATTCAAAACTGCTCAATCAAAAGATAGGATCAACTCTGTGAGTTGAATGTGTACATCACAAAGAAGTTTCTCTGAATGATTCTGTGTAGTTTTATTTGCAGATATTTCCTTTTCCACAATAGGGTGAAAGGGCTCCAAACATCCACTTCCAGATTCTACAAAACAGAGATTGAAAACTACTCAATGAGAAGATAAGTTCAACTCAGTCAGTTGAATGCACACATCACGAAGAAGTTTCTTAGAATTCTTCTGTGTAGTTTTTATTGAAGATATTTCCTTTTCAACCATAGGGTGCAAAGGGCTCCAAATATCCACTTGCAGATTCTACAAAAAGAGTGTTTCAAAACTGCTCAATCAAAAGAAAGGTTCAACTCTGTGAGTTGAATGCCCATATCAGAAAGAAGTTTCTCAGAGTGCTTCTGAGTAGATTTTATGTGAAGATATTTCCTTTTCCACAATAGGCCTCAAAGTTCTCCAAATATCCACTTGCAGATTCTACAAAAAGAGTGTTTCAAAACTGCTCAATCAAAAGAAAGGTTCAACTCTGTGAGATGAATGCACACATCACAAAGAAGTTTCTCAGAATGCTTCTGTGTAGTTTTTATGTGAAGCTATTTCCTTTTCCACCATAGGCCTCAAAGCTCTCCCAACATCCACTTGCAGATTCTGCAAAAAGAGATTCAAAAGTGCTAATTGAAAGACAGGTTGAACTCTGTGAGTTGAATGCACACAGCACAAAGAAGTTTCTCAGAATGCTTCTCTGTAGTTTTTATGTGAACATATTTGATTTTCCACAATAGGCCTCACAGCGCTCCAAATATCCACTTGCAGATTCTACAAAAAGAGAGATTCAAAACTGTTCAATCAAAAGATAGGTTCAACTCTGTGAGTTGAACGCATACATCATTAAGAAGTTTCTGGGAATGCTTCTTTGTAGTTTTTATTTGAAGATATTTCCTTTTCCACCATAGGCTGCAGAGGGCTCCAAATATCCACTTGCAGATTCAACAGAAAGAGTGTTTCAAAACTGCTCAATCAAAAGAAAGTTTCAACTCTGTGAGATGAATGCACACATCACAAAGAAGTTTCTCAGAATGCTTCTGTGTAGTTCTTATTTGAAGATATTTGGTTTTCCACTGTAGGCCTCAAAGCGCTCCAAATATCCACTTGAAGATCCTACAAAAAGAGTGTTTCAAAACTGCTCAATCATAAGCTAGGTTCAACCCTGTGAGATGAATGCACACATCACAAAGCAGTTTCTCTGAGTGATTCTGTGTAGTTTTTATTTGAAGATATTTCCTTTTCCACCATAGGGCGCAAAGGGCTCCAAATATCCACTTGGAGATTCTACCAAAAGATAAATTCAAAACTGCTCAATGAGAAGATAAGTTCAACTCTGTGAGTTGAATGCACACCTCACAAAGTAGTTTCTCACAATGCTTCTGCATAGTTTTTATGTGAAGATATTTGCTTTTCCACTGTAGGCCTCAAAGGGCTCAAAATATCCACCTTCAGATTGTGCAAACAGAGAGATTCAAAACTGCTCAATCAAAAGATAGGTTCAACTCTGTGAGTTGAATGCACATATCACGAAGAAGTTTCTCTGAATGCTTCTGTGTAGTTTTTATTTCAAGATATTTCCTTTTCCACCATAGGGCACAAAGGTCGTCAAATATCCACTTGCAGATTCTACAAAAAGTGAGATTGAAAACTCCTCAAAGAAAAGATAATTTCAACTCTGTGAGTTGAATGCACACCTCACAAAGTAGTTTCTCAGAATGCTTCTGTGTAGTTTTTATGTGAAGATATTTCCTTTTCCACAATAGGCCTCAAAGCTTTCCAAACATACACTTGTAGTTTCTGCAAAAAGAGAGATTCAAAACTGCTCAATCAAAATGTAGTTTCAACTCTGTGAGTTGAATGCAAACATGACAATGGTGTTTCTCAGAATGCTTCTGAGTAGTTTTTATGTGAAGAAATTTCCTTTTCCACAATAGGCCTCAAAGGGCTCCAAATATCCACTTGCAGATTCCACGAAGAGAGTGTTTCAAAACTGCTCAATCAAAAGAAAGTTTCAACTCTGTGAGATGAATGAACACATCACAAAGGAGTTTCTCAGATTGCTTCCTTCTAGATTTTATGTGAAGATATTTCCTTTTCTATCATAGGCCACAAAGCGCTCCAAATGTCCACTTGCCGATTCTACAAAAAGGGTGTTTCCAAACTACACAATCAAAAGAAAGGTTCAACTCTGTTAGATGAACGTACACATCATAAAAAAGATTCTCAGAATTCTTCTTTTTTTGTGTGAAGATATTTTCTTTTCCAACTTAAGCCTCAAGGTGCTTGAAATGTCCCCTTGCAGATTCTCCAAAAAGAGTATTTGAAAACTGGTTCTCCTAAAGAAAGTTGGAACTCCAGGAGATGAGTGCAGACATCACAGAGAACTTTCTCAGAATGCTTCTATCTACTTTTTATGTGAAGATATTTCCTTCTCCACCACAGGCCTCGAAGCGCTGCCAAATGTCCACTTGCAGATTCTACAAAAAGAGAGTTTCCAATCTGCTCAATCAAAAGAAAGGTTTAACTCTGTGAGATTAATGCACGCATCACAAAAGTTTCTCAGATTGCTTCTGTCTAGATTTTATGTGAAGATATTTCCTTTTCTACCATTGGCCGCAAAGAGTTCCAAATGTCCACTTGCAGATTCTACAAAAAGAGTGTTTCCAAACTACTCAATCAAAAGAAACGTTCAACTCTGTGAGATGAACACACTCATCACAAAGAAGTTTCTCAGAATTCTTCTGTCTAATTTTTATGTGAAGATATTTCCTGTTCCACCATAGGCCTCAAGATGCTCTAAATGTTCACTTGCAGATTCTACAAAAAGAGAGTTTCAAAACTGCTCAATCAAAAGAAAGGGTTATCTCTGTGAGATGAATGCATATATCACAAACAAGTTTCTCATATTACTTCTGTCTAGATTATATGTGAAGATATTTACTTTTCTACCATAGACTGCAAAGCGCTCCAAATGTCCACTTGCAGACTCTACAAGAAAGAGTGGTACCAAACTGCTCAATCGAAAGAACGGTTACACTCTGTGAGAAGAACGCACACATCACAAAGAAGTTTGTCAGAATTCTTCTTTCTAGTTTTTATGTGAAGATATCTCCTTTTCCACCATAGGCCTCAAGCGTTCCAAATGTCCACTTGCAGATTCTACAAAAAGAGAGTTTCAAAACTGCTGAATCAAAAGAAAGTTTAAACTCTGTGAGATGAATGCACCCATCACTAAGAAGTTTCTCCGATTTCTTCTCTCTAGATTTTATGTGAAGGTATTACTTTTTCTACCATAGGTCGCAAAGTGCTTCAAATGTCCATTTGCAGATTCTACAAAAAAGAGTGTTTCCAAACTGCTCAATCAAAAGAAAGGTTCAAGTCTGTGAGATGAACGCACACATTCCCAAGAAGTTTGTCAGAATTCTTCTGTCTAGTTTTTATGTGAAGATATTACCTTTTCCACCATAGGCCTCAAAGCTCTCCAAATGTCCACTTGCAGATTCTACAAAAAGAGAGTTTCAAAACCGCTCAATCCAAAGAAAGGTTTAACTCTGTGAGATGAATGCACACATCACAAAGAAGTTTCTCAGATTGTTTCTTTCTAGATTTTATGTGAAGATATTTCTGTTTCAACCATAGGCCGCAAAGCGTTGCAAATGTCCACTTGCAGATTCTACAAAAAGAGTGTTTCCAAACTGCTCAATCAAAAGAAAATTTCAGCTTTGTGAGATGAACACACACATCACAAAGAAGATTATCAGAATTCTTCCATCTAGTTTTTATGTGAAGATATTTCCTTTTCCACCATAGGCCTCTAAGTGCTCCAAATGTCCACTTTGAGATTCTACAAAAAGAGTGTTTCCAAACTGCTCAATCAAAAGAAAGGTTTAACTCTGTGAGATGAATGCACACATCACAAAGAAGTTTCTCAGATGGCTTCTGTCTAGATTTTATGTGAAGATATTTCCTTTTCTACCATACGCCACAAAGTTCTCCAAATGTCCACTTGCATATTCTACAGAAAGAGTGTCTCCGAACTGTTCAATCAAAAGATAGGTTCAAATCTGTGAGATGAATGCACACGTCCCAAAGAAGTTTCTCAGAATTCTTCTGTCTAGTTTTTATGTGCAGATATTTCCTTTTCCACTGTTGGCCTCAAAGAGTTCCAAATATCCATTTGCGGATTCTACAAAAAGAGAGCTTCAAGACTGCTCAATCAAAAGAAAAGTTTAACTCCATGAGATGAATGCACACATCACAAAGAAGTTTCTCAGATTTCTTCTGTCTAGACTTTATGTGAAGATATTTCCTTTTCTACTACAGGCCGCAAAGCACTCCAAATGTGCACTTGCAGATTCTACAAAAGAGTGTTTCCAACCTGCTGTATCAAAAGAAAGTTTCAACTATGGGAGATGAAAGCACGCATCACAAAGAAGTTTTTCAAAATTCTTCTGTCTAGTTTTTATGTGAAGAGATTTCCTTTTCTACCACAGGCCTAAAAGGGCTCCAAATGTCCACTTGCAGATACTACAAAAAGAGAGTTTCAAAACTGCTCAATAAAAAGAAAGGTTTAACTCTGTGAGATGAATGCACACATCACAAAGAAGTTTGTCAGATTGCTTCTGTCTAGATTTTATGTGAAGATATTTCCTTTTCTACCATAGGCCGCAAAGCGCTAAAATTGTCCACTTGTAGATTCTACAAAAAGAGTGTTTCCAAACAGCCCAATGAAAGGAAACTTTCAACTCTGTGTGATGAACGCACGCATCACAAAGTGATTTCACAGTATTCTTCTGTCTAGTTTTTATGTGAAGATATTTCCTTTTCCACCACAGTTCTCAAAGAGCTTCAAATGTCCACTTGCAGATTGTTCAAAAAGTGTGGTTCCAAACTGCTCGATCAAAAAAAGTTTAACTCTGTGAGATGAACGCACACATCACAAAATAGTTTCTCAGAATTCTTTTGTCTAGTTTTTTGCGAAGGTATTTCCTTTTCCACCATAGGCCACAAAATGCTCCATATGTCCCCTTGCAAATTCCTCAAAAAGTGAGTTTCAAAACTGCTCAATCAAAAGAAAGGTTTAACTCTGAGACGAATGCACACTTCACAAAGAAGCTTCACAGATTGCTTCTGTCTATATTTTATGTGAAGATATTTCCTTTCCTACCATAGGCCGCAAAGCACTCCAAATGTCCACTTGCAGACCCTTCAAAAAGAGTGTTTCCAAACTGCTCAAATAAAAGAAAGATTCAACTCTGTGAGAATAAAGCACAAAAAACAAAGAAGTTTCTCAAAATTCTTCTGTCTAGTTTTTATGTGAAGATATTTCATTTTCCACCATAGACCTTAATGCGCTCGAAATGTCCACTTGCAGATTCCACGAAAAGAGTATTTCAAAACTAGTCCATCAAAAGAAAGGTTCAGACTTGGGAGATGAATGCACACATCACAAAGAAGTTTCACAGAATGCTTCTATCTATTTTTTATGTGAAGATATTTCCTATTCCACCATAGGCCTCAAAGCGCACCACATGTCCACTTGCAGATATTACAAAAAGAGAGTTTCAAAACTGCTGAATCAAAAGAAAGGTTAAACTCTATGAGATCAATGCACGCATCAGAAAGGAGTTTCTCAGATTACTTCTGTCTAGATTTTATATGGAGATATTTCCTTTTCAACCATAGGCTGCAAAACACACCAAATGTTCACTTGCAGATTCTGCAAAAAGAGTGTTTCCAGACTGCTCAATCGTAAGGAAAGTTCAAATGAGATGAAAACACACTTCAAAAAGAAGTTTCTCAGAATTCTTCAGTCTAGATTTTATATGAAGATATTTCCATTTCCACCATAGGCTTCAAAGCGCTCCAAAAGTCCACTTGCAGATTTTACAAAAAGAGAGTTTCAAAACTACTCCATGAAAAGAAAAGTTCAACTCTCTGAAATTAATGCACATATCACAATGAAGTTTCTCTGATTGCTTCTGTTAGATTTTATGTGAAGATATTTCCTTTTCCACCATAGGCCTCAAAGCACTCCAAATGTCCACTTGCAGATTCTACAAAAAGAGTGTTTCCAAACTGCTCAATCAAAGGAAAGGTTCAACTCTCTCAGATGAACGCATTCATCAAAAAGAAGTTTCTCAGAATTTTTCTGTCATTTTTTTATGTGAAGATATTTCCTTTTCCACCATAGGCCTGAAAGTGCTCCAAATGTCCACTTGCACATTCTATAAAAAGAGAGTTTCAAAACTGCTCTATCAAAAGAAAGGTTCTACTCTGTGAGATGAACACAAACATCACAAAGAAGTCTGTCAGAATTCTTCTGTCTAGTTTTTATGTGAAGATATTTCCTTTTCCACCGTACACCTCAAAGCACTCCAAATGTCCACTGGCAGATTCTACAAAAAGAGAGTCTCAAAACTGCTCAATCAAAAGAAAGGTTTAACTCTGTGAGATAAATGCATACATCAGAAAGAAGTTTCTCAGATTGCTTCTGTCTAGATTTTATGTGAAGGTATTTCCTTTTCTACCATAGGCCGAAAAGTGCTCCAAATGTCCACTTGCAGATTCTACAAAAAGAGTGTTTCCAAACTACTCAATCAAAATAAAGATTCAACTCAGTGAGATGAACACACACATCACAAGGAAGTTTGTCAGAATTCTTCTGTCTAGTTTTTATGTGAAGATATTTCCTTTTCTACCATAGACCTCAAAGCGCTCCAAATGTCCACTTGCAGATTCTACAAAAAGAGAGTTTCAAAACTGCTCAATCAAACTGAAGTTTTAACTCTCTGAGTTGAATGCACACATTACAAAGAAGTTTCTCAGATTGCTACTGTCTAGATTTTATATGAAGATATTTCGTTTTCGTCCATAGGCCAAAAAGCACTCCAAATGTCCACTTGCAGATTCTACAAAAAGACTCTTTCCAAGCTGCTCAATCAAAAGAAAGTTTGAACTCTGTGAGATGAACGCATACATCATAAAGAAGTTTGTCAGAATTCTCTCTAGTTTTTATGTGAAGATAAATTCCTTTTCCACCACAGGCCTCAAAGCACTCCAAACGACAATTTGCAGATTCTACAAGAAGAGGGTTTCAACACTGCTCAATCAAAAGAAAGGCTCAATTCTGTGAGATGAATGCACACATCACAAAGAAGTTTGTCCAAATTCTTCTGTCTAGTTTTTATGTGAAGATATTTCCTTTTCCACCATAGGCCTGAAAGCACTCCAAATGTCCACTTGCAGATTCTACAAAAAGAGAGTTTCAATACTGCTCTATCAAAAGGAAGGTTTAACTCTGTGAGACGAATGCACACATCCCAAAGAAATTTCTCAGATTGCTTCTGTCTAGATTTAATGTGAAGATATTTCCTTTTCTACCATAGTCCGCAAAGCGCTCCAAATGTCCACTTGCACATTCTACAAAAAGAGGGATTCCAAACTGCTCAATCAAAAGGAAGGTTCAACTCTGTGAGATGAATGCACACATCACAAAGAAGTTTCTCAGATTGCTTCTGTCTAGGTTTTATGTGAAGATATTTCCTTTTCCACCATAGGCTTCAAAGTGCTCCAAGTGTCCACATGCAGATTCTACAAAAAGAGTGTTTCCAAACTGCTTAATCAAAAAAAAAGTTCAACTCTGTGGGATGAATGCACACATCACAAAGAAGTTTCTCAGAAATCTTCTGGCTAGTTTTTATATGACGATACTTCCTTTTCCACCATCGTCCTGAAACAGCTCCAAATATCTACTTGCAGATTCTAAAAAAAGAGAGTTTCAAAACTGCTCAATTGAAAGAATGGTTTAACTCAGTGAGATGCATGCACACATCACAAAGAAGTTTCTCAGATTGCTTCTGTCTAGATTTTATATGAAGATATTTCCTTTTCTAGCATAGGCCACAAATTCCTCCAAATATCCACTTGCAGTTTCCACAAAAAGAGGGTTTCCAAACTGCTCAATCAAAAGGAAGGTTCAACTCTGAGGTGAATGCACCCATCACAAAGATGTTTCTCAGAATTCTTCTGTGTAGCTTTTATGTGAAGATATATCCTTTTCCAACATTGGCCTCAAAGCACTCCAAATGTCCACTTGCAGATTCTACAAAAAGGTAGTTTAAAAACTGCTCAATCAAAAGAAAGGTTTAAATCTGTGAGACGAATGCGCTCATCACAAAGACGTTTCTCAGATTGCTTCTGTCTACATTTTATGTGAAGAAATTTCCTTTTCTACCATAGGACGCAAAGCACTCCAAATATCCACGTGCAGATTATACAAAAGGAGTGTTTCTGAACTGGTCAATCAAAAGAAAGTTTCAACTCTGTGATATGAACCCACACATCACAAAGAGGTTTCTCAGAATGCTTCTATCTAGTTTTTATGTGAAGATATTTCCTTTACCACCATAGGCCTCAAAGCGCTCCAAATGTCCACATGCAGATTCTAAAAAAAGAGAGTTTCAAAACTGCTCAATAAAGAGAAAGTTTTAACTCTGTTAGATGAATGCACACATCACAAACAAGTTTCTCAGATTTCTTCTGTCTAGATTTTATGTGAAGATATTTCCTTTTCTATCATAGGCCGCAAAGTGCTCCAAATATCCACTTACACATTCTACAAAAGAATGTTTCCAAACTGCTCAATCAAAAGAAAGCTTCAACTCTGTAACATGAAAGCACACATCACGAAGAAGTTTCTCAGAATTCTTCTGTCTAGTTTTTATGTGAAGGTATTTCTTTTTCCACCAGAGGCCGCAAAGCGCTCCAAATGTCCACTTGCAGATTCAATGAAAAGAGAGTTCCAAAACTGCTCAATCAATAAAATGTTTTACTCTGTGAGATGAATGCACACCTCACAAAGATATTTCTCAGAATTCTTCTGTCTAGTTTTTATGTGAAGATATTTCCTTTTCAAAGATAGGCCTTAAAGCTCTCCAAATGTCCAGTTGCAGATTCTACAAAAACAGTGTTTCCAAACTGCTCAATAAAAAGAAAGGTCCAACTCTGTGATATGAGTGCACACATCACAAAGAAGTTTCTCAGAATTCTTCTGTCTAGTTTTTATGTGAAGATATTTCCTTTTCCAGCATAGGCCTCAAAGTGCTCCGAATGTCTACTTGCAGATTCTACAAAAAGTTTCAAAACTGCTCAATCAAAAGAAATGTTTAACTCTATGAGATGAATGCAGACAACACAAAGAAGTTTCTCAGATTGCTTCTGTCTAGAATTTATGTGAAGATATTTCCTTGTCTACCATAGGCTTCACAGTACTCCAAATGGTCCCTTGCAGATTCTACAAAAAGAGTGTTTCCAAACTGCTCAATCAAAAGGAAGTTTCAACTCTGTGAGATGAATGCACACATCACAAAGAAGTTTCTCAGAATTCTTCTGTCTAGTTTTTATGGGAAGATATTTCCTTTTCCACCATAGGCCTAAAAGCGCTCCAAATTTTCACTTGCAGATTCTACAAACAGAGAGTTTCAAAACTGCTCAATCAAAAAAAAGTTTTAACTCTGTGAGATGAAAGCACACATCACAAAGAAGTTTCTCAGATTGCTTTTGTCTAGATTTTATGTGAAGATGTTTCTTTTACTACCATAGGCCTCAAAGCGCTCCAAATGTCCACTTGCAGGTTCTACAAAATAGAGTTTCAAGACAGCTCAATCAAAAGAAAAGTTTAACTCTGTGAAATGAATGTGCACATCACAAAATAGTTTCTCAGATTGCTTCTGTCTGAATTCTATGTGAAGATATTTCCTTTTCTACCATAGGCCACAAAGTGCTCCAAATGTCCACTTGCAGATTCTACAAAATAGAGTTTCAAGACAGCTCAATCAAAAGAAAAGTTTAACTCTGTGAAATGAATGTGCACATCACAAAGTAGTTTCTCAGATTGCTTCTGTCTGAATTCTATGTGAAGATATTTCCTTTTCTACCATAGGCCACAAAGTGCTCCAAATGTCCACTTGCAGATTCTACAAAATAGAGTTTCAAGACAGCTCAATCAAAAGAAAAGTTTAACTCTGTGAAATGAATGTGCACATCACAAAGCAGTTTCTCAGATTGCTTCTGTCTGAATTCTATGTGAAGATATTTCCTTTTCTACCATAGGCCACAAAGTGCTCCAAATGTCCACTTGCAGATTCTACAAAAAGAGTGTTTCCAAACAGCTCAATCAAAAGAAAGGTTCCACTCTGTGAGATGAACGCACACATCACAAAGAAGTTTCCCAGTATTCTTCAATCTGGTTTTGATGTGAAGATATTTTCTTTTCCACATTGTCCTCAAACCGCTCCAAATGTACACTTCCAGATTCTACAAAAACAGAGTTTAAAAAATGCTCCATCAAAAGAAATGTTTAAGTCTCTGAGAAGAATGCACACATCACAAATTATTTTCTCATATTGCTTCTGTCTAGATTTTATTTGCAGGTATTTCCTTTTCTACCACTGGCCACAAAGCGCTCCAAATCTGCACTTGCAGATTCTGCAAAAGGAGTGCTTCCAAAATGCTCAATCAAAATGAAGGTTCAACTCAGTGAGATTAATGCACACATCACAAAGAAGTTTCTCAGAATTCTTCTGTCTAGTATTTATGTGAAGATATTACCTTTTCCACCAGAGGCCTAACAGCGCTCCAAATGTCCACTTGCAGATTCTACAAAAAGAGAGTTTCAAAACTGCTCAAGCCAACTAAAGTTTTCACTTGTGAAATGAATGCACACATCACAAAGTAGTTTCTCAGATTGGCTCTCTCTGAATTTTATGTGAAGATATTTATTTTTCTATCATAGGCCACAAAGTGCTCCAAATGTCCACTTGCAGACTCTACAAAAAGAGTGTTTCCAAACAGCTCAATCAAAAGAAAGTTTCAACTCTGTGAGATGAACGCACACATCAGAAAGAAGTTTGTCAGAATTCTTCTCTCTAGTTTTTATGTGAAGATAAATTCCTTTTCCACCGTAGGCTTCAAAGTGCTGCAAATGACCATTTGCAGATTCTACAAAAAGAGGGTTTCAACACTGCTCAATCAAAAGAAAGGCTCAATTCTGCGAGATGAACGCACATATCACAAAGAACTTTCTCAGAATTCTTCTGTCTTGTTTTTATGTGAAGATATTTCCTTTTAAACCATAGGCCTCAAGGCACTCGAAATGTCCACTTGAAGATTCTACAAACAGAGTATTTCAAAACTGGTCCTTCAAAAGAAAGATTCAACTCTGGGTGATTAATGCGCACATCACAAAATCTTTCTCAGAATGCTTCTATGTAGTTTTTATGTGAAGATATTTCCTTTTCCACCATAGGCCTCAAAGCGCTCCAAATGTCCACTTGCAGATTCTACAAAAAGACAGTTTCAAAACTGCTCAATCAAAAGAAATGTTTATCTCTGTGAGATGAATGCACACATCACAAAGTTGTTTCTCAGATTACTTCTGTCTAGATTTTATGAGAACATATTTCCTAGTCTACCATAGGCCGCAACGTGCTCCAAATGTCCACTTGCAGAGTCTATAAAAAGAGGGTTTCCAAACTGCTCAATCAAAAGAAAGTTTCAACTCTGTGAGATGAACGTGCCCATCACAAAGTTTTTCAGAATTCTTCTGTCTACTTTTTATGGGAAGATATTTCCTTTTTCACCATAAGCCTCAAAGTGCTCGAAATGTCCACTTGCAGAGTCTACGAAAAGAGAGGTTCAAAACTGCTCAATCAAAAGAATGGCTTAACTCTGTGAGATGAATGCACATATCACAAAGAAGTTTCTCAGATTGCTTCTGTCTAGATATTATGTGAAGATAATTCCTTTTCTACCATAGGCCGCAAAGCGCTCCAAATGTCCACTTGCAGATTCTAAAAAAGAGAGTTTCCAAACTACTCAATCAACAGAAATGTTCAAATCTGTGAAATGAATGCACACATCACAAAGAAGTTTCTCAGAAATCTTCTGTCTATTTTTATGTGGAGATATTTTCTTTTCCACCGAAGGCCTCGAAGTGCTCCAATTGTCCACTTGCAGATTCTACAAAAAGAGAGTTTCAAAACTCCTCAATCAAAAGAAAGGTTTAACTCTGTGAGATGAAAGCACACATCACAAAGAAGTTTCTCAGATTGCTTCTGTGTAGGTTTTATGTGAAGATATTTCCTTTTCTACCATAGGCCGCATAGCGCTCCAAATGTCCACTTGCAGATTCTACAAAAAGAGAGTTTCCAAACTGCTCAATCAAAAGAAAGTTTCAACTCTGTGAGATGAACGCACACATCACCAAGAAGTTTCTCAGAATTCTTCTGTCTAGTTTTTATGGGAAGATATTTCTTTTTCCACCATAGGCCTAAAAGGGCTCCAAATGTCCACTTCCAGATTCTACAAAAAGAGAGTTTGAAAACTGCTCAATCATAAGAAATTTTAACTCTGTGAGATGAATGCACACATCACAAAGAAGTTTCTCAGATTGCTTTTGTCTAGATTTTATGTGAAGATATTTCCTTTTCTACCATAAGCCTCAAAGCGCTCCAAATGTCCACTTGCAGATTCTACAAAATAGAGTTTCAAGACAGCTCAATCAAAAGAAATGTTTAACTCTGTGAGATGAATGCACACATCACAAAGATGTTTCTCAGAATGCTTCTGTCTAGTTCTTAAATGAAGATGTTTCCTATTCCACCATAGGACTCAAAGGGCTCCCAATGTCCACTTGCAGATTCTACAAAAAGAGTGTTTAAACCTGCTCAATCAGAAGAAATGTTCAATCCGGTGAGATGAATGCCCACAACACAAAGGATTTTCTATGAATGATTCTGTCTAGTTTTTATGTGCACATATTTCCTTTTAAACCATAGGCCTCAAAGCGCTTCAAATGTACACTTGCAGATTCCACAAAAAGAGTTTTTCAAAACTGCTCAATGAAAAGAAAGGTTCTAATCTGTGTGAAGAATGTACACATAACAAAGAAGTTTGTCAGAATATTTCTGTATAGTTTTTATATTAAGGTATTTACTTTTCCACCATAGGCCTCAAAGAGCTCCAAATGTCCACATGCAGATTCTACAAAAAGAGTGTTTCAAAGCTGCTCATTCAAAAGAAAGGTTCAACTCTGTGACATGAATGCGCAATCATGAAGAAGTTTGTCAGAATGCTTCTGTCTAGTTTTTATGTGAAGATATTTCCTTTTCCACCATGGGCCACAAAGCGCACCAAATGTCCAAATTCAGATTCTACAAATAGAGTCTTTCAAAACTACTCAATCAAAAGAAAGGTTCTACTCTGTGAGATGAATCCACACATCTCAGTGAAGTTTTTCAGAATGTTTCTGTATAGTTCTTGTGTGAAGATATTTCTTTTTCCACCATTGCCTCAAAGCGCCAAAAATGTCCACTTGTAGATACTACAGAAAGAGTGTTTCAGAGTTGCTCTTGTCCGATTGCTTCTGTCTAGATTGTATGTGAACATAGTTCCTTTTCTACCATAGGCCACTAAGTGCTCCAATTGTCCACCTGAAGATTCTTCAAAAAGTGTGTTTCCAAACTGCTCAATCAAAAGAAAGGTTCAACTCTGTAACATGAAGACACACATCTCAAAGAAGTTTCTCAGAATTCTTCTGTCTAGTTTTTATGTGAAGATATTACATTTTCCACCATTGCCTCAAAGCGCCAAAAATGTCCACTTGCAGATACTACAGAAAGAGTGTTTCAAAGTGGCTCAATCAAAAGAAAGTTTCAACTCTATGAGATGAATGCACACATCACATAGAAGTTTCTCAGAATGCTTCTGTCTAGTTATTATGTGAAGATATTTCGTTTTCCACCATAGGCATCAAAGCGCTCCAAATGTCCACTTACAGATTCTACAAAAGGAGTGTTTCAAAACTGCTCAATCGAAATTAAGGTTCCACTCTGCGAGATGAATGCACACATCACAAAAACTTTGTCAGATTGCTTCTGGCTAGTTTTGTGTGAAGATATTTCCTTTTCCACCACAGGCCTCAAAGCTCTCCAAATGTCCACTTGCAGATTCTACAAAAGGAGTGTTTCAAAACTGCTCTATCGAAAGTTAAGTTCAACTCCATGAGATAAATGGCAACTCCATGAGATAAATGACAAATAAGCTTGTCAGAATGCTTCTGCCTAGTTTTAATGTGAAGATATTTCCTTCTCCACCATAGGCCGCAAAGTGCTCCAAATGTCCACTTGCAGATTCTACAAAATGAGAGTTCTCAAAACTGCTAAATTAAAATAAAGTTTCAGCTCTGTGAGAGGAATGCACACATCACAAAGCAGTTTCACAGAATGCTTCCATCTAGTTCTTAAATGAAGATATTTCCTTTTCCACCATAGGCCAAAAAGCGCTCCAAATGTCCACTTGCAGATATTACAAAAAGAGCTTTTCAAAACTGCTCAATGTCTGTTCATGTCCTTCACCCACTTTTTGATGGGGTTGTTTGTTCTTTTCTTGTAAATTTGTTTGAGTTCATTGTAGATTCTGGATATTAGCCCTTTGTCAGATGAGTAGCTTGTGAAACTTTTCTCCCATTTTGTTGGTTGCCTGTTCACTCTGATGATAGTTTCTTTTGCTGTGCAGAAGCCCTTTAGTTTAATTAGATCCTATTTGTCAATGTTGGCTTTTGTTGCCATTGCTTTTGGTGTTTTAGACATGAAGTCCTTGCCCATGCCTATGTTCTGAATGGTAATGACTCGGTTTTCTTCTAGGGTTTTTATGCTTTTAAGTCAAAAGTTTAAGTCTTTAATCCATCTTGAATTGATTTTTGTGTAAGGTGTAAGGAAGGGATCCAGTTTCAGCTTTGTACATATGGCTAGCCAGTTTTCCCAGAACCATTTATTAAATAGGGAATCCTTTCCCCATTTCTTGTTTTTCTCAGGTTTGTCAAAGATCAGATAGTTGTAGATATGTGGCGTTATTTCTGAGGGCTCTGTTCTGTTCCATTGATCTATATATCTGTTTTGGTACCAGTACCATGCTGTTTTGGTTACTGTAGCCTTCTAGTATAGTTTGAAGTCAGGTAGTGTGATGCCTCCAGCGTTGTTCTTTTGGCTTAGGATTGACTTGGCGATGCGGGCTCTTTTTTGGTTCCATATGAACTTTAAAATAGTTTTTTCCAATTGTGTGAAGAAAGTCATTGGTAGCTTGATGGGGATGGCATTGAATGTGTAAATTACCTTGGGCAGTATGGCCATTTTCACGATATTGATTCTTCCTACCCAAGAGCATGGAATGTTCTTCCATTTGTTTGTATCCTCTTTTATTTCCTTGAGCAGTGGTTTGTAGTTCTCCTTGAAGAGGTCCTTCACATCCCTTGTAAGTTGGATTCCTAGGTATTTTATTCTCTTTGAAGCAATTGTGAATGGGAGTTCACTCATGATTTGGCTCTCTGTTTGTCTGTTGTTGGTGTATAAGAATGCTTGTGATGTTTGTACATTGATTTTTAAGGACATGAACAGACATTTCTCAAAAGAAGACATTTATGCAGCCAAAAAACACATGAAAAAATGCTCACCATCACTGGCCATCAGATAAATGCAAATCAAAACCACAATGAGATACCATCTCACACCAGTTAGAATGGCAATCATTAAAAAGTCAGGAAACAACACGTGCTGGAGAGGATGTGGAGAAATAGGAACACTTTTACACTGTTGGTGGGACTGTAAACTAGTTCAACCACTGTGGAAGTCAGTGTGGCAATTCCTCAGGGATCTAGAACTAGAAATACCATTTGACCCAGCCATCCCATTACTGGGTATATACCCAAAGGACTATAAATCATGCCGCTATAAAGACACATGCACACGTATGTTTATTGCGGCATTATTCACAATAGCAAAGACTTGGAACCAACCCAAATGTCCAACAATGATAGACTGGATTAAGAAAATGTGGCACATATACACCATGGAATACTATGCAGCCATAAAAAATGATGAGTTCATGTCCTTTGTAGGGACATGGATGAAATTGGAAATCATCATTCTCAGCAAACTATCGCAAGAACAAAAAACCAAACACCGCATATTCTCACTCATAGGTGGGAATTGAACAATGAGAACACATGGACACAGGAAGGGGAACATCACACTCTGGGGACTGTTGTGGGGTGGGGGGAGGGGGGAGGGATAGCATTGGGAGATATTCCTAATGCTAGATGACGAGTTAGTGGGTGCAGTGCACCAGCATGGCACATGTATACATATGTAACTAACCTGCACATTGTGCTCATGTACCCTAAAACTTAAAGTATAATAATAATAAATAAATAAATAAAAACTGCTCAATGAAATAAAGGTTCAACTCTGTGACATGAATGCACACATCAGGAAGAAGTTTCTCAGAATATTTCTGAATCATTTTTATGTGAAGATATTTCCTTTTCCACCATTGGCCTCAAAGCGCTCCAAATCTGCACATGCAGATTCTAAAAAAAGAGTGTTTCAAAGCTGCTCAATCAAAAGAAAGGTTCAACACTCTGAGATGAATGCACACGTCACAAAGAAGTTTCTCAGAATGCTTCTGTCTAGTTTTTATGTGAAGATATTTCCTTTTCCACCATTGGCCTCAAAGCACTCCAAATGTCCTCTTGCATATTCTACAAAAAGAGTGTTTCAAAGCTGCTGAATCAAAAGAAATGTTCAACTCTGTGAGATGAATGCACCCATCACAAAGAAGTTTCTCAGAATGCTTCTGTCTAGTTTTTTATTTGAAGATATTTCCTTTTACACCATAGGCCTCAAAACGCTCCAAATGTAAACATCCAGATCGTACAAAAAAAGTTTTTCCAAACTGCTCCATCAAAATAACGGTTTAACTCTGTGAGATGAATGCACACATCACAAAGAATTTTCTCTGAATGATTCTGTCTAGTTTTTACGTGAATATATTTCCTTTTCCACCATAGGACTCTAAGCGCTCCAAATGTCCAATTCTAGATGCTACAAAAAGAGTGTTTCAAAGCTGCTGAATCAAAAGAAAGGTTCAAATCTGTGAGATGAATGCATGCACACATCACAAAGAGTTTCTCAAAACACTTCTCTCTAGTTTTTATATGAAGATATTTCCTTTTCCTCCATAGGACTCTAAGGACTCCAAATGTCCAATTCTAGACACTACAAAAAGAGTGTTTAAAAATTGCTCAATCGAAAGTAAGTTTCAACCCTGTGAGATGAATGCACACATCACAAAGAGGTTTTTCAGAATGTTTCTGTCTAGTTTTTATGTGAAGATATTTCCTTTTCCACCATAGGCCTCAAAGCGCTCCAAATGTCCGCTTGCAGATTCTACGAAAAGAGTGTTTCAAAACTGCTCAATCAAAAGAAAGGTTCAACTCTGTGAGATGAATGCACACATCACAAAGAAGTTTCTGAGAATGCTTCTGTCTAGTTCTTAAGTGAAGATATTTCCTTTTCCACCATTGGTCCCAAAGCACTCCAAATGTCCACTTCCGGATTCCACAAAAAGAGAGTTTCCAAACTACTCAATCAAAAAAAGGTTCACCTCAGTGAGATGAATGCACACATCACAAAGAAATTTGCGAGAATGCTTCTGTCTAGTCTTTATATGAAGATATTTCCTTTTCCACCATAGGCCCCAAAGGGCTGCAAATGTCCACTTGCAGATCCTGCAGAAAGAGTGTTTCAAAACTGCTCAATCAAAAGAAAGGTTCAACTCTGTGAGATGAATGCACATTTCACAAAGAAGTTTCTCAGAATTCTTCTGTCAGGTTCTTAAGTGTAGATATTTCCTTTTCCACCACAGGACTCAAAGCTCTCCAAATGTCCCCTTGCAGATTCTACAAAAAGAGTTTCCAAACCACTCTATCAAAAGAAAATTTCAACGCTGTGAGATAAATGCACATATCACAAAGAAGATTCTCAGAATGCTTGGGTCTAGTTATTATGTGAAGATATTACCTTTTCAACAATAGGCCTCAAAATGCTCCAAATTTCCACATGCAGATTCTACAAAAAGAGTGTTTCAAAGCTGTTCAATCAAAAGAAAGCTTCAACTCTGTGAGATGAATGCTCACATCACAAAGAAATTTCTCAGAATGCTTCTGTCCAGTTTTTATGTGAAGATATTTCCTTTTCCAGCATAGGCGTCAAAACGCTCCAAATGTCCACTTACAGATCCCACAAAAATAGTGTTTCAAAACTGCTCAATCAAAAGAAAGGTTCACCTCTGTGAGATGAATGCACACATCACAAATAATATTCTCAGAATAATTCTGTCTAGTGTTTATGTGCAGATATTTCCTTTTCCACCATAGTCCTCAAAGCACTCCAAATGTCCAATTGCAAATCCTACAAAAAGAGTGTTTCAAAACTGCTCAATCGAAGGTAGGGTTCAACTCTGTGAGGTGAATTCTCACATCAAAAAAAGTCTGTCAGAATGCTTCTGTCTAGTTTTCATATGAAGATGTTTCCTTTTCCACCGTAGGCCTCAAAGCACTCCAAATGTCCACATGCGGGTTCTATAAAAAGAGTGTTTCCAAACTGCTCAAGCAAAAGAAATGTTCAACTCTGTGATATGAAAGCACACATCACAAAGAAGTTTGTCAGAATGCTTCTATCTAGTTTTCATGTATAGATGTTTCCTTTTCCACCATAGGCTGCAAAGCGCTCCAAATGTCTACTTGCAGATTCTACAAAAAGATTGTTTCAAAACTGCTCAATGAAAAGAAAGTTTCAACTCTGTGAGATGAACGCACACATCACAAAGAAGTTTCTCTGAATGCTTCTGTCTAGTTCTTAAATGAAGATATTTCCTATTCCACCACAGGACTCAAAGGGCTCCTAATGTCCACTTGCAGATTCTACAAAAAGAGTGTTTAAACCTGCTCAATCAAAAGAAATGTTCAACCCGGTGAGATGAATGCTCACAACACAAAGGATTTTCTATGAATGATTCTGTCTAGTTTTTATGTGAACATATTTCCTTTTAAGCCATAGGCTTCAAAGCGCTTCAAATGTACAATTGCAGATTCCACAAAAAGAGTTTTTCAAAACTGCTCAATGGAAAGAAAGGTTCAAATCTGTGAGAAGAATGCACACATAACAAAGAAGTTTATCAGAATGTTTCTGTATAGTTTTTATGTGAAGGTATTTCGTTTTCCACCATAGGCCTCAAAGAGCTCCAAATGTCCACATGCAGATTCTACAAAAAGAGTGTTTCAAAGCCGCTCAATCAAAAGAAAGGTTCAACTCTGTGAGATGAATGCACAAATCACAAAGAAGTTTGTCAGAATGCTTCTGTCTAGTTTTTATGTGAAGATATTTCCTTTTCTACCATAGGCTGCAAAGCGCACCAAATGTCCAAATTCACATTCTACAAAAAGAGTCTTTCAAAACTGTTCAATCAAAAGAAAGGTTCAACTCTGTGAGATGAATCCACACATCTCACTGAAGTTTTTCAGAATGTTTCTGTATAGTTTTTATGTGAAGCTATTTCCTTTTCCACCATTGCCTCAAAGCGCCAAAAATGTCCACTTGCAGATACTACAAAAAGAGTGTTTCAAAGTTGCTCAATCAAAAGAAAGTTGAAATTCTGTGAGATGATTGCATATATTACATATAAGTTTCTCAGAATGCTTCTGTCTAGTTTTGTGTGAAGATATTTCCTTTTCCACCACAGGCCTCAAAGCTCTCCAAATGTCCACTTGCAGATTCTACAAAAAGAGTGTTTCAAAACTGCTCAATCGAAAGTAAGGTTCAACTCTTTGAGATGAATGCACCCATCACAAATAAGCTTGTCAGAATGCTTTTGTCTAGTTTGTATGTGAAGATATTTCCTTTTCCACCGTCGGCTGCAAAGCACTCCAAATGTCCACTTGCAATTTCTAGAAAAAGAGTTTTTCAAAACTGCTCAATTAAAATAAAGTTTCAGCTCTGTGAGAGGAATGCACACATCACAAAGCAGTTTCACAGAATGCTTCCGTCTACTTCTTAAATGAAGATATTTCCTTTTCCACCATAGGCCCAAATGCGCTCCAAATGTCCACTTGCAGATTCTACAAAAAGAGAGTTTCTAAGCTACTCAATCAAAAGAAAGGTTCAACTCTGTGAGATGAATGCACACATCACAAAGAAGTTACTCAGAATGCTTCTGTCTACTTCTTAAGTGAAGATATTACCTTTTCCACCTTAGGCCCCAAAGCACTCCTAATGTGCTCTTGCAGATCCTACAAAAAGAGAATTTCCAAACTACTCAACCAAAAGAAAGGTTCAACTCTGTTAGATGAATGCACACATCACAAAGTAATTGGTCAGAATGCTTCTGTCTAGTTTTTATGTGAACATATTTCCTTTTCAACCATAGGCCTCAAATCGCTTCAAATGTACAATTGCACATTCCACAAAAAGAGTTTTTCAAAACTGCTCAATGAACAGAAAGGTTCAACTCTATGAGATGAATGCACACATCACTAAGAAGTTTGTAAGAATGTTTCTGTATAGTTTTTATATGAAGATATTTCCTTTTCCACTATAGGCCTCAAAGCGCTCCAAATGTCCACATGCAGATTCTACAAAAAGAGTGTTTCAAAGCTGCTCAATCAGAAGAAATGCTCAACGCTATGAGATGAATGCATACATCACAAAGAAGTTTCTCAGAATTCTTCTGTCTAGTTTTTATGTGAAGATATTTCCTTTTCCACTATAGGCCACAAAGTTCTCCAAATGTCCACTTGCAGATTCTACAAAAAGAGTGTTTCCAAACTGCTCAATCAAAAGAAAGGTTCTACTCTGTGAGATGAACTCACACACCACAAAGAAATTTCTGAGAATTCTTCCGTCTAGTTTTTATGTGAAGATGTTTCCTTTTCCACCATAGGCCTCAAAGAGCTCAAAATGTCCAGTTGCTGATTCTACAAAAAGAGAGTTTCAAAAGTGCTCCATCACAGGAAATGTTTAACTCTGTGAGATGTATGCACACATCAAAAAGAAGTTTCTCAGATTGCTTCTGTCTAGTTTTTATGTGAAGATATCTCCATTTCCACCATAGGCCTCAAAGCACTCCAAATGTCCACTTGCAGATAGTACAAAAAGGGAGTTTCAAAACGGCTCAATTAAAAGTAAGGTTCAACACTGTGAGGTGAATGCACATATCACAAAGAAGTTTATCAGAATGCTTCTGTCTAGTTTTTATGTGAAGATATTTCCTTCTCTGCCATTGGCCTCAATGCGCTCCAAATGTCCACTTGCAGATTCTACAAAAAGAGAGTTTCCAAACTAGAAAATCAAAAGAAAGTTTCAACTCTGTGAGATGAATGCACTCATCACAAAGAAGTTTCTCACAATACTTCTGCATAGTTGTTACATGAAGATATTTTGTTTTCCATTACACTCCTCAAAGCGCTCCAAATGTCCACTTGCAGATTCTACAAAAAAAGCATTTCAAAGCTGCTCAATCAAAAGAAAGGTTCAACTCTGTGAAAAGAATGCACACATCACAAAGAAGTTTCTCAGAATGTTTCTGTCTACTTCTTATGTGAAGATATTTCCTTTTCCACCATAGGCCTCAAAGTGATCCAAATGTCCACTTGCAGATCCTTCAAAAAGATTTCCAAACTAGTCAATCAAAAGAAAGTTTCAACTCTGTGAGATGAATGCACATATAACAAAGACATTTCTAAGAATCCTTCTGTCTAGTTTTTATGTAAAGATATATACTTTTACACCATAGGCATCAACGCACTCCAAATGTCCACTTGTACCTAGTACAAAAAGGATGTTTCAAACCTGCTCAATCAACAGTAAGGTTCAACTCTGTCAGATGAATGCACACATCACAAAGTATTTTCTCAGAATGATTCTTTGCACTTCTTAAGTGAAGATATTTCCTTTTCCACCAGAGGCCTCAGAGCCCTCCAAATGTCCACTTGCAGATACTGCAAAAAGAGTGTTTCCAAACTGTTCAATCAAAAGAAAGGTTCAAATCTTTGAGATGAATATACACATCATGAAGAAGTTTCTCAGAATGTTTCTGTCCATGTTTTATGAGCAGATATTTCCTTTTCCACCATAGACCTCAAAGCACACCAAGTGTCCACTTGTAGATTCTACAAAAAGAGTGTTTCAAAACTGCTCATTGAAAAGAAATGTTCAACTATGTGAGATGAATGCACACACCACAAAGAAGTTTCTCAGAATGTTCTGTCTAGTTCTTAAGTGAAGATATTTCCTTTTACACCATAAGCCTCAAAGTGCTCCAAATGTCCACTTGCAGATTGTACAAAAACAGTGTTTCAAAACTGCTCAATGGAAAGAAAGGTTCAATTCTGTGAGATGAATGCAAACAACACAAAGAAGTTTGTCAGCATGCTTCTGTCTAGTTTTTATGTGAAGATATTTCCTTTACCACCATATGCCACAAAGTGCTCAAATGTCCCTTTGCAGATTCTACAAAAAGAGTGTTTCAAACTGCTCAATCAAAAGAAAGTTCAACTCTGTGAGATGCATGCACACATCCCAAAAAAATTTCCCAGAATAATTCTGTGTAGTTTTTCTGTGAAGATATTTCCTTTTCCACCGTAGGCCCCAAAGAATTCCAAATGTCCACTTGCAGATTCTACCAAAAGAGTGTTTCAAAATAGATTAATGAAAAGAAATGTTCAACTCTGTGACTTGAAAGCACGCATTCCAAAGAAGTTTGTGACAATGCTTCTGTCTAGTTTTTATGTGAAGATATTTCCTTTTCTGCCATAGGCCTCAAAGTGCTCCTAATGTCCACTTGCAGATTCTACAAAAGAGTGTTTCAAAGCTGCTCAATCAAAAGAAAGTTTCAACTCCGTGAGATGAATACACACATCACAAAGAAGTTTCTGAGAATGCTGCTGTCTTGTTGTTATGTGAAGATATTTCCTTTTCCATAATTGGCTGCAAAGCGCTCCAAATGTCCACTTGCAGATTCTACAAAAAGAGTGTTTCAAAACTGCTCAATCAAAAGAAAGGTTCAACTCTGTGAGATGAATGCACACATCACAAAGAAGTTTCTCAGAATGTTCTGTCTAGTTCTTAAGTGAAGATATTTCCTTTTCCACCATAGGCCTCAAAGCGCTCCAAATGTCCACTTGCAGATTGTACAAAAACAGTGTTTCAAAACTGCTCAATGGAAAGAAACGTTCAATTCTGTGAGATGAATGCAAACAACACAAAGAAGTTTGTCAGCATGCTTCTGTATAGTTTTTATGTGAAAATATTTCCTTTTCTACCATAGGCCTCAAGGCGCTCCAAAGGTCCACATGCAGATCCTACAAAAATAATGTTTCAAAGGTGCTCAATCAAAAGAAATGTTCAACTCTGTGAGATGACTGCACCCATCACGAAGAAGTTTCTCAGAATGCTTCTGTCAAGATCTTAAGTGAAGATATTTCCTTTTCCACCATAGGCCTCAAAGCGAACAAAATGTCCGCTTGCAGATTCTACAAAAAGAGTGTTTCCAAACTGCTCAACCAAAAGTAAGATTCAACTCTGTGGGTTGAATGAAAACATCACAAAGAAGTTTCTCAGGATGCTTCTGTCTAGTTCTTATGTGAGGATATTTCCTTTTCCACCGTAGGCCTAAAAGTGCTCCAAATATCAACTTGCAGATTCTACAAAAAGTGGGCTTCAAAACTTCTCAATCAAAAGTAAGGTTCAATTCCCTGAGATGAATGCACACATCACAAAGAAGTTTGTCAGAATTCTTCTGTCTAGTATTTAAGTGAAGATACTTCCTTTTCCACCATATGCCGCAAAGCGCTCCAAATATCCACTTGCAGATTCTACAAAAAGAGTGTTTCAAAACTGCTCAATCAAAAGAAAGTTCAACTCTGTGAGATGAATGCCCACATCACAAAGAAATTTCTCAGAATATTTCTGTCTAGCTTCTCTATGAAGATATTTCCTTTTCCACCATAGGCCTCAAAGTGTTCCAAATGTCCACTTACAGATTCTACAAAAAGAGTGTTTCAAAGCTGCTCAATCAAAAGAAATGTTCAACTCTGTGAGATTAATGCATACATCACAAACAACTTTCTCAGAATGCTTCTGTCTAGTTATTATGTGAAGATATTTCATTTTTCACCTTAGGCCTCAAATCACTCCAAATGTCCACTTGCAGATGTTACAGAAAGAGTGTTTGAAAACTACACAATCGAAGGAAAGGTTCAACTCTCTGAGATGAATGCACACATCACAAAGAATTTGTCAGAATGCTTCTGTCTAATATTTATGGGAAGATATTTCCTTTTCCACCATAGGCCTCAAAGCGCTCAAAATGTCCACTTGCAGATGCTACAAAAGGAGAGCTTCCAAACTATTCACTCAAAAGAAATGATCAACTCTGTGAGATGAATGCATACATCACAAAGTAATTTGTCAGAATGCTTCTGTCTAATTTTTATGTGAACATATTTCCTTTTCCACTGTAGGTCTCAAGCCACACAAAATGTCCATTTGCAGATAGTACCAAAAGGGTTTTTCAGAACTGCTTAATCAAAAGTAAGGTTCAACTCTGTGAGATGAATGCACATATCGCAAATAGGTTTGTCAGAATGTTTCCACCTAGTTTTTTTGTGAAGATATATCCTTTTCCACCTCAGGCCTCAAAGAGCTCCGCATGTCCCCTTACAGATTCTACAAAAAGAGTGTTTCAAAACTGCTCAATGAAAAGAAAGGTTCAACTCTGTGAGATGAATGCACACATCCCAAAGAAGTTTCTCAGAATGCTTCTGTGTAGTTTTTAGGTGAAGATATTTCCCTTTCCACCATAGGCCCCAAAGCGCTCCAAATATCCACTTGCAGATACTACAAAAAGTGTTTTTCAAAACTGCTGAATCCAAAGAAATGTTCAACTTTGTGAGATGAATGCACACATCAGAAAGAAGTTACACAGACTGCTTCTGTGTTGTTTTTAGGTGAAGATATTTCAGTTTCCACCATAGGTCTTGAAGCCCTCCAAATATCCACTTGCTCATTCCACAAAAAGTGTGCTTCAAATCTGCTCAATCAAAAGAAAGTTTCAATTCTGTGAGATGAATGCACACATCACAAAGTAGTTTCTCAGAATGCTTCTGTCCAGTTTTTATGTGAAGATATTTCCTTCTCCACCATAGACCTTAAGGCGTTCCAAATATCCACTTGCAGATTTTACAAAAAGAGTGTTTCAAACTGCTCAATCAAAAGAAAGGTTCAACTCTGTGTGTTGAATGCACAAATCACAAAGAAGTTTCTCAGAATGCTTCTGTGTAGTTTTTATGTGAAGATATTTCCTTCTCCACCGTAGACCTTAAAGCACTCCAATTATCCACTTGCAGATCGTACAAAAAGAGTGTTTCAAATGGCTCAATCAAAAGAAAGGTTCAACTCTGTGAGCTGAATGCATAAATCACAAAGAAGTTCTCAGAATGCTTCCATCCAGTTTTTATGTGAAGATGTTTCCTTTTACCACCATTGGCCACAAAGCGCTCCAAATATCCACTTGCAGATTCTACAAAAAGTGTTTCAAAACTGCTCAATCAAAAGAAAGGTTCATCTCTGAGACATGAATGCACACATCACAAAGGAGTTTCTCAGAAGGCTTCTGTCTAGTTTTTATGTGAAGATATTTCCGTTTCCACTATAGGCCGCAAAGCGCTCCAAATATCCACTTGCAGATTCTACAAAAAGAGATTTTTTAACTCCTCAATCAAAAGAAAGTTTAAACTCTGTGAGTTGAATGCACACATCACAAAGAAGTTTCTCAGAATGCTTCTGTCTAGTTTTTAATTGAAGATACTTCCTTTTCCACCATTGAGCTCAAAGCACTCCAAGTATCCACTTGCAGATTCTACAAAAAGAGTGTTTCAAAACTGCTCAATCAAAACAAAGTTTCAACTCTGTGAGATGAATGCACACATCACAGAGAAGTTTCTCAGAATGCTTCTGTCTAGTATTTATGTGAAGATATTTCCTCTTCTACAATAGGTCTCAAACCACTCCAAATATCCACTTGCAAATACTACAAAAAGATTGTTTCAAAACTGCTCAATCAAAAGAAATCTTCAACTATGTGAGTTGAATGCACACATCACAAAGAACTTTCTCAGAACGCTTCTGTGTAGTTTTTATTTGAAGATATTTCCTTTTCCACCACAGGCCCCAAACTGATCCAAATATCCACATGCAGATCCTTCAAAAGAAGTGTTTCAAAACTGTTCGATCAAAAGAAAGGTTCAATTCTGTGAGATGAATGCACACATCACAAAGAAGTTTCTCAGAAGGCATTTGTGTAGTTTTTATGTGAAGATGTTTCCTTTTCCTCCATAGGCCTCAAATCGCTCCCAATGTCCACTTGCAGATTCTACAAAAAGAGTGTTTCAAAGCTGCTCAATCAAAAGAAATGTTCAGCTCTGTGAGATGAATGCACACATCACAAAGAAGTTTCTCAGAATGCTTCTGTCTAGTTTTTAAGAGAAGATATTTCCCTTTCCTCTAGAGGTCCCAAAGTCCTCCAACTTTGCAGATACTACAAAAAGAGTGTTTCAAAACTGCTCAATCAAAAGAATATTTCAACTCTGTGAGTTGAATGCACACATCACAAAGAAGTTTCTCAGAATGTTTCTGTCTAGTTTTTATGTGAAGATATTTCCTTTTCCACCATAGGCCCCAAAGCACTCAAAATATCCACTTGCAGATTCTACAAAAACAGTGTTTCAGAACTGCTCAATCAAGAGAAACATTCAACTCTGTGAGATGAATGCATAGATCACAGAGGAGTTTCTCAGAATGCTTCTGTCTGGTTTTGATGTGAAGATATTTACTTTTCCACCATAGAATGTAAAGCGCTCCAAATATCCACTTGCAGACACTACAAAAAGAGTATTTCAAAAGTGCTAAATCAAAAGAAAAGTTCAACTCTGTGAGGTGAATGCACACATCACAAAGAAGTTTCTCAGAATGCTTCTTTCTTGTCTTTATGTGAAGATATTTCCTTTTCCATTCAGAACCTCGTAGCAGTGTTCTGTAATCCTGTGTGAGGGACAAACACTCAGAATCCAGCCACTGTGTACTGGAATCCTATCTGAGGGCACACATTTAAAATCCAGATGTAGTCTCCTTGCTTTAGTGAATACACTTATCTCCTTTTCCTGCTATACATTTAGGCAAATTATTTTTCTGTATCTTAAATAAATGGTAAATACCTGAAATTTCTTACTTTTTCCAGGCACAGTGTCTTCACTATGTAGCTGTAGAAGTATAACTATTTTTGTCTGTGTCACAATTTTGTACTCAGGAACCCTGGCCATGTCACTAGCCAAACGGACATAACTTATGGAATACATGGACAGCATCCGGTTGATATGCTCTAGAGAAAAATAGCAGCTACCATAGACTTCAGGAAAGACACATCGAGCAAATGACAAAAATGTGGGTTTCCTACCTTCAGGGAGTCTAAGAATGCAGTAGAAAGTGATGTGGAGCAAACATCTTTCAAATGGAAGGAAGGGATAGGGAAAGGAAGACTGTTAGAGGCTCTTTTGAATGTTAGAGGCAACATAAAACATATTTGGATGTGTATTCTAAATAAAATGCAAATGTCAAGAAGGATGTCAGCTGTGAGTGGGACTCAGAGAAAGAGAAACGTTTTGGACTACAGAGGCCTGCAGTACAAGTGGATCTACAATTTTGTTTAGGGAATCCAATGCCTCAGGTATCTATGAGAGGCAGAATTTTCCTATGGAGCCAGCGGCAAGGCTCCAGAGGAGAAATACAGTACAAGCCACTTTATTTTGGAGT
This sequence comes from Homo sapiens, assembly GCF_000001405.40. Classification (NCBI taxonomy): domain Eukaryota; kingdom Metazoa; phylum Chordata; class Mammalia; order Primates; family Hominidae; genus Homo; species Homo sapiens. The sequence goes on along the minus strand of NC_000009.12, from coordinate 64,663,980 downwards.
AAAAGCCTTTTGTACAAAAATTACCCGCCCCCTCCTTTTTTGAGAAACAATTTCACATTGGGATACTAATAAGAAGGAATGCTCAGTCATGAATAAGGGTGACCCCGTTGTGATCTGAGCATTATAGGATCATAGTAACTACAACCAGTCTTCCATCATTCCATGGAAATTGCATGTATGCCACGTTGCCTTCTCAGTTTCCAAGGGACCAATTAATGAACAGGCTACTCACATTTTCAGCATCCTACTCCTGACACACTCCCACCCTTCTTTCTATTTATCTGTGATTCATAGAGATTTGCCTATGACTGGATTCCTGAGGAGAAAAAAGTCTGGATTACAGATGGCATTCCTTGTTATGGAAGGCCCTTCCTTCTGAAAGTCTATTTCTATCATGTTCTTTCCCTGTGCTGTCAAAGGGTCACCCCTTTGTACAAAGGAGAAGAGAAATCCATCAAGTAAATAAAATTTCATTTACCTTTGTAAAAAATATTTCTACCAATTCACGTGGAGGACCTTATGGTTTGGTCCGATAATCAGAGATTTGAAAGAACCTGATATTGTTGGCCAGCAGATTAGAAAAGAGTTATTAGAGAGAGATGGCTCAAGTGATAATAACTCTGTGCCTTGTGAATGCTCACCTAAACCAAAGATCACTGAAGATAATGTATTTTACCATAATGTTTTAATCTCAGGTAAATGCCAATTAGGAGACAAACACTTGTTTATCTCCTGATTGGTATTGATCTGAATTAAGCTGTCTGCCATTTGGAGAAATTTAAATGCTATTTTAAACACACAGTCTTGTTACTTGAGTTATTTATGATCTTAAGCGGCTCCCCCCCTTTTGTGGGTTACATTGTGTCTTCAAAAAGAAAATATATATATTAGAGTTCTAGCCCCTGATGTCTGTGAGTATGACTTAATTTGAAATCAAATTATTTGCAGATGCTGTATAATTATGATATGCTAGATGAGCTCATAATGCATTAGAGTGGGCCATAATTCAATATGGTTGATATCCTCATAAGAAGGGAAGAGGAAACAGAGACGCAGGGAGGAGATGGCAATGTGAGGATGGAGGTAGAGAATAAAGTGAGGTATCCTCCAGCCAAGCAATGACAATGAAGCTCAGTGATCACCCGGTGCTAGAAGAAGCAAGAAAGGATTTTTTTCCAGGTCATTCAGAGAAAAATGCAGCACTGCTAACTCCTTCATTTAAGATTTCTAGCTTTCTGAACCGTAAAAGAATAACTTTATCTCATTTTAAGCGACCTAATGTGAACCACTTTGTCACAGCAGATATAGGAAATTACACCTCCTTAAAGAATGCAGAATCCTGGCCCGTGCTTGCCTCATACCTATTGAATGAGAATCTAAGGGCTCTAGAATCTGCATTTTGAAACTAATACATAATACACAAAGAGAACTCACTAAGTACTCTACATGTACTTCATCCTCACAAGCCATGAAGTAGTTTACTATTATAATTCTCATTTTACATATGGGAAACTGGAGCATGAAAAGATTAAGTAATTTGCCTACAGTCACTCACATAACCAGAAAGTGGAAGAGCTGGGATTCAATCCCAGTTCCAGACATCCTGATATCCTGGTTTCAGACACCACACACTTAGCAACTATTACACACTTAGCATTATTATTATTATTATTATTATTATTATTATTATTATTATTTTAATCACCATCTCCACCTTCTTAAGCACTCAAAAGTTGAAATCCAGTGGTGTGTTGCTGTTTCCATTCATAGCAAGTTATAGCCAAAATCATAAATTACACTTCCTCCAAAACAGTATACAGACTTCTCATCTCTTTTTAAAATCCCTTCCGTCGTTCTTTTCTTTCTTCTCTTCTCTTTTCTTTTCTCTTTTCTTTCTTTTGCTCTGTCACCCAGGCTGGAGTGCAGTGGCATCATCTCGGCTCACTGCGACCTCCACCTCCTGGGTTCAAGCGATTCTCCTGTCTCAGCCTCCCAAGTAGCTAGGATTACAGGTGCCCAACACCATGCCCGTTTAATTTTTGTATTTTTAGTAGAGATGGGGTTTCACATCTTGGCCAGGCTGGTCTTGAACTGCTGACGTCGTGATCCATCCACCTCGGCCTCCCAAAGTGCTGGGATTACAGGCATGAGCCACTGTGCCCAGCCTCTTTCACCCATTGAAATCTCATTTCAACAATTACCATCTTTTTTGAGTGGTATTTTTGAAGTTATAAATGAATTCCCTATAATACATAGTGAGAATATTTATGGGAGCTTCCTAATTGACTTTCTAAACATTCTGCATTGCTTTTCATTTCCTTCTTTAAATTTCCTTCTACCTTGACTTCCTTAAGACCACTCAATGTTGGCCCCATGCTTTCATTTTTTTCTTTTTTCTTTTTTTTTTGAGATGAAGTTTCCCTCTTTTCACCCAGGCTGGAGTGCAACAGTGTGATCTCAGCTCACTGCAACCTCCGCCTCCCAGTTTCAAGAGACTCTCCTGCCTCAGCCTCCCGAGTAGCTGCGATTACAAGCATGTGCCACCATGCCCAGCTAATTTTGTATTTTTACTAGAGATGGGGTTTCTTCATGTTGGTCAGGCTGGTCTCAAACTCCCAACCTCAGGTGATCCGCCCGCCTCGGCCTCCCAAAGTGCTGGGATTATAGGCATGAGCCACAATGCCCAGCCCATGCTTTCTTTTTAATAACTCCTTGCTGCCTAGTTTTTTCATGTCCACTGTGTAACTACTAGTCTTAATGGGTATTTCTTTTCTTACTATTCTGCACCAATGTTTCCCTGATTGACAATAGTTTTCCTGAAATGTATTCTTGGAATGGAATTGTATGATACGCTTAGAAAATTCTGCATACCTTATACTTCAGAATGTGTATGTAAAAGACTCCAGTAAATGATCCAGGGAAGCAAAAATATTTGTGTGTTTTGCGAGTTGTATTCATATGTGTATAAAATTCCCACAGCACTTTGGGTAACAATGCTCTGCACACTTTTCCTGTGCTCCTTTTATCCATTCCCACACTTCCAGCATTTCCTTTGACGTTTGATTTTCTTTATTTTTTTTTACTCCAATATTTTCCTGTAGGTTTCAAACCTATATTTTAAAATATCAACTGATTCTCTCCCTCTGTCTTCACCACCTGCATCTCAAATTTGACATAGCCATAAACACATTTTATATTTTGGCAAATAAATCTATTTCTTTTAAAGCATTGCCCATCTCAGCTAATGATGATAATATCAAGCCAGTCGCCAAGAAAATTTAGAGTATTTATACCTTGACTCTTCCTTCTAAATGAATTATTAAGTTCAGCTGTTTCTACCTTGAATTACCTTTCTATTCTGCCATTTCTCTTCTGTGTTGCTGCTAATGTTTTAATTTAGTTATTCATCACATCATGCCTGTACTGCTGGAATAATCTTGACTATTCTTTCTGACTTTTTCTTCTAACTGCATCTCAAAAACTTCTATCTAGAATGAAAATAAGTATATATATATACTATATATACATATATGCATATACACTATATGTATGTATATAGTATAAGTATAGACATGCTATATACTATATATACTATATATTTATATACACACACACCCACTATGCTTTTAAAAATTGTTTACTTATGTCCCATCATTGAAGGGTAAAATACAAAATCACTGATATTGAGAGACATTCTCCTCAATCATTTAACATTTTCCTTCACAAACCTGTGCTGTAGCCACACCCAGAACAGGTTATGTTCCTTCAAAGACACACACACTTTTCTATCACTCTCCTTTTACTCCTTCTATTCCATCTGCTTAGACCATTTTTTACTTGTTTTCTGTCTATCTCCATTCATTTTTCAGGATCCAATTAAAATATTGATACAAAGGCTGAGATCTTTCTATCTTCTCTTATTTAAATTCCTGGAGCACCAGATAACTTCCTCTATTATAATTCTTACTGTATACAACCATAACTCTCATTTGAAAACAATGAATACATAATTATAAAATCAGATATATCATAAAATGATTGGTATCAATATGTGAAAAAAAATCTTTAATGTTGAAAGTACAAGATTACAAGCCATCTGAAAGTAACTGAACATCAATCAGAGAAAAATGCTCATCATTTTTTGATGAAACCAAAAGTAAGAGAATTTGGTATTAATCTACTACATCATTGGTAAATTACATATTAATTATTGTGAGAAAGAAATATTTGACAGAATTTAAAGAAAATCGGTTTTCCTTTATTTTTATTATTCTACCTAAAAGTATTATATCTAATTAAAATCATGATTTTAAAATTATCCCATCAAGTATGTCATCACACTAAAATCCATTGTATTTAATTTCTCAACTGAGAAATTGTATTCAATTGTATTCATTTTCCCTACTGAAAAATTAATATAAAAGCAATCACATAGCATTCAGAAATTAATAAATATTTAAAGAAATTAAACAGCATTAGATTTTCTTGTTGTAAAATTTTTTTCTTCTCTCAGTATGGCTTATGTCTCTGCTTCTATTAAACATAGCACAATTCAAGTATTAATACAGCACCTTTATAAAAGTTGTGAATCTCAGAAATGAACAAGCTTACCTCCCTAGTTATTTATTAAAAGTTACAAGTCACTTTTTTTTAACTTCCTAATAATCTTAGAGGGGTATATTTTGTGTTTTTGTTTGCTATATCTTTCATAAAGAAGATCCCTAATGATTTGAAAGTTAGAACCAATTTTCTGAAGGATTGAGCCACGCTCCTTGAAGTTGTGTGTTTGTGGGTGGCACACTATGTCTTTTGCAGACCCGGAACCTACCCCTTGGTCTAGAACATATTTTCCTCCACCTGCCTTTTAAGTTTTTATTTCAGCAGGAGTGGGTGGTTTGTGGTTGACCGAAAATAGAACGGGCTACAAAAGCCCTTCCTGTTTGATATTGAATCTGCTATTTGAGTCACCCTTACATTATGAACTGACTGTTAATTAACACATTTGGTAAGAGAATATCCTGATCTGCTTTGCATGTGAGGCTCTCCCAGTAATAAACAAAGAAGCATAATCAAACAAGATTTTAATTTCTCTATGCCCTGTTAGAAATTCAGATATAATTCAAGTCATCTTGGAAATTTTAAGTTGCATTCTGATGTCGTCTCTGTTCTGGCCATTGTGCAATGGGCCTTCAAATGTTGTAGTAGAGGCCAACTGACATTCCATTGTTATTCATTTATACACAGGTACATATATGGTGTGTGTACGCAAATATATAAATATTCATATATGTGTACATGTGTACATACATACATATGGAGGTAATACAAGTTTGCATTGTTTTTAAAATTTTTTTACCCAAATTAACAATGACTCTATTGCATATCTTTATTGGTTATATCACATTTATATAAATAAATTTATATCAGTGACAATTTCCAAGTAAGTGAAATTTGAATTGGATTCAGGGTTTTATTTTTTTGAAATTTCTGATTAAAATTACTTGATTTTTTAAATTTTATCTTAAAATATTCAAGTCCCATTTGTAAAAAAAAAAATAGAGGATTAAAATGAAGTGTGTCTTTATGAGTCACAAATTTTTATTTTACTTTACTAATTGTTAAAATAATATTTTTTCCATGAGGCATTTTATAATGCCCTCTTTATTTTTTTGGTGATGTATTTTTTTATTATTATTATTATACTTTAAGTTTTAGGGTACATGTGCACAATGTGCAGGTTAGTTACATATGTATACATGTGCCATGCTGGTGCACTGCACCCACTAACTCGTCATCTAGCATTAGGAATATCTCCCAATGCTATCCCTCCCCCCTCCCCCCACCCCACAACAGTCCCCAGAGTGTGATGTTCCCCTTCCTGTGTCCATGTGTTCTCATTGTTCAATTCCCACCTATGAGTGAGAATATGCGGTGTTTGGTTTTTTGTTCTTGCGATAGTTTGCTGAGAATGATGATTTCCAATTTCATCCATGTCCCTACAAAGGACATGAACTCATCATTTTTTATGGCTGCATAGTATTCCATGGTGTATATGTGCCACATTTTCTTAATCCAGTCTATCATTGTTGGACATTTGGGTTGGTTCCAAGTCTTTGCTATTGTGAATAATGCCACAATAAACATACGTATGCATGTGTCTTTATAGCAGCATGATTTATAGTCCTTTGGGCATATAGCCAGTAATGGGATGGCTGGGTCAAATGGTATTTCTAGTTCTAGATCCCTGAGGAATTGCCACACTGACTTCCACAGTGGTTGAACTAGTTTACAGTCCCACCAACAGTGTAAAAGTGTTCCTATTTCTCCACATCCTCTCCAGTACCTGTTGTTTCCTGACTTTTTAATGATTGCCATTCTAACTGGTGTGAGATGGTATCTCATTGTGGTTTTGATTTGCATTTATCTGATGGCCAGTGATGGTGAGCATTTTTTCATGTGTTTTTTGGCTGCATAAATGTCTTCTTTTGAGAAGTGTCTGTTCATGTCCTTCGCCCACTTTTTGATGGGGTTGTTTGTTTTTTTCTTGTCAATTTGTTTGAGTTCATTGTAGATTCTAGATATTAGTCCTTTGTCAGATGAGTAGGTTGTGAAAATTTTCTCCCATTTTGTAGGTTGCCTGTTCACTCTGATGGTAGTTTCTTTTGCTGTGCAGAAGCTCTTTAGTTTAATTAGATCCCATTTGTCAATTTTGTCTTTTGTTGCCATTGCTTTTGGTGTTTTAGACATGAAGTCCTTGCCCATGCCTATGTCCTGAATGGTAATGCCTAGGTTTTCTTCTAGGGTTTTTATGGTTTTAGGTTGAACTTTTAAGTCTTTAATCCATCTTGAATTGATTTTTGTATAAGGTGTAAGGAAGGGATCCAGTTTCAGCTTTCTACATATGGCTAGCCAGTTTTCCCAGAACCATTTATTAAATAGGGAATCCTTTCCCCATTGCTTGTTTTTCTCAGGTTTGTCAAAGATCAGATAGTTGTAGATATGTGGCGTTATTTCTGAGGGCTCTGTTCTGTTCCATTGATCTATATATCTGTTTTGGTACCAGTACCATGCTGTTTTGGTTACTGTAGCCTTGTAGTATAGTTTGAAGTCAGGTAGTGTGATGCCTCCAGCGTTGTTGTTTTGGCTTAGGATTGACTTGGTGATGTGGGCTCTTTTTTGGTTCCATATGAACTTTAAAGTAGTTTTTTCCAATTCTGTGAAGAAAGTCATTGGTAGCTTGATGGGTATGGCATTGAATGTGTAAATTACCTTGGGCAGTATGGCCTTTTTCATGAGATTGATTCTTCCTACCCAAGAGCATGGAATGTTCTTCCATT